>NC_000017.11:76935980-77236390 GCF_000001405.40 Homo sapiens | reverse complement strand
ATGTTCACTACATATTTTGAGAGACAGAAAAACCAATATTCTTTAGTTTGTTTTTTTTATTTTGGGTTTTTTGTTTTGGGCTTTTGTTTTGTTTTTTGTTTTTTTCTTGAGACGCAGTTTCGGTCTTGTCACCCAGGCTGGAGTGCAGTGGCACAATCTCGGCTCACTGCAACCTCCGCCTCCCAGGTTCAATCAATTCTCCTGCCTCAGCCTCCTGAGCAGCTGGGATTACAGGCGCCTGCCACCACGCCTGGCTAATTTTTGTATTTTTAGTAGAGGGGGTTTCGCCATGTTGGCCAGGCTGGTCTCGAATTCCTGACCTCAGGTGATGCACCTGTCTCAGTCTCCCAAACTGCTGGGATTATGGGCATGAGCCACCATGCCCAGCCTGTTTGTTTTTTGAGAGAGGGTCTCTTGTTCTGTCACCTAGGCTGGAGTGCAGTGCTGCAATCTTGGCTCGCTACAACCTCCACATCCTGGGCTCAAGCGATTCTTCCACCTCAGTCTCATAAGTAGCTGAGACTGCAGGCTCGCGCCACCATGTCTGGCTACCAGGTTCTATTTAGTTTTTTTTAAAATAAAAATCTGCATGCCTCTTTCAAATCTGTAGTGGGAATCAGACCCCGCACAGGAAATGTCCATCAACTCCAGGGGCCCGGAAATGGCACTGGCCAAAAACACACGCCTGGCAGAGCCGAGCTGGTTTCCGGAAGAATGTGTCAGCAAAGCATCCCCACTTTTCTCCAGCTTGCATTTTCTCTTCAGCTTTCTCTTACGCTTTTCCAAACCACACAGCTTCTTGGGAGGCATGTTGAAGTGTTTAAAAATGAAGCAATAAAAATAAATCACTTGTTCTCGGAAGACAGCCGGCTGGTTATTTAGCTGCATGTTTCAGCGGACTAAATGCTGACACAGGGCTGTTCCTCGGGCACCCAGGCAGCTGTGCCGCAGACAGGGTGCCTCAGAAAAGACTCTTGTCATGTCCACCAAAGGACATTCTGCTCCCTGTGGTGGCCAAAAACCCCTTCACGCTGGGGCTACACAATGTGATGTTAGCACTGTGTTTTTTTTATTCCTGGGTTATTTCCACACTCCTTTTTTTTTTCTTTTGGAGACAGTTTCGCGCTTGTTGCCCAGGCTTGAGTGCAATGGTGTGATCTCCGCTCACTGCAACCTCCGCCTCCCAGGTTCGAGTGATTCTCCTGTCTCAGCCTCCCAAGTAGCTGAGATTACAGGTGCCCATCACCACACCCAGCTAATTTTTTGTAGAGAGGAGTTTTCACCATGTTGGCCAGGCTGGCCTCGAACTCCTAACCTCAGGTGATGCACCCGCTTTGGCCTCCCAGAGTACTGGGATTACGGGCATGAGCCACCACGCCTGGCCACCACACTCCTCATAATTGTCTAATTGTCCCAGGCAGCCACCCAGCCGGCCCTGGCCCTCCCTGGTGATCTGCTGGGGCTCCTCTCACCACCCCGATGCCCTTCCCACCCTAGACCCAGCATCAGTTCCCTAAAGGGTTTCTCCAGAGTTTCAAAGAGCTGGCCATAAGCTTTGTCATGCAGACACTGAATCTAGAGGACCATTTAGGACTCATTAAAAGCTCGACCTCACTCCTTACACAAAACCCACCAGATGCATCAGAGATTTCAGTGTAAAAAAATAAAGCCATGAAGGCCGGGTGCGGTGGCTCACGCCTGTAATCCCAGCACTTTGGGAGGCCGAGGCAGGAGGATCACTTGAGTTCGAGACCAGCCTGGCCAACGCAGTGAAACCCTGTCTCTACTAAAGATACAAAAATTAGCTGGGCATCATGGCACGTGCCTGTAATCCCAGCTACTTGGGAGGCTGAGGCACGACAATCACTTGAACTCGGAGGGGAAGGTTGCAGTGAGCCGAGATGGCACCACTGCACTCCAGCCTTGAGTGAGACTCTGCCTCTAAACAAAATAAAAATAAAATTTTAAAAAGCCATGAAAGTACGAGAAAAAAAGGTAGGAGGAGAATTAAACATGCAAAAGTCGTTTCCAAGCTGATACAAAACCCAGAGGCTACTGAGAAAGAGAATACCTTTGACCTCATAAATATTACGACTTTCATTGCAGCAGGTGGGGTTGAGGGGAGGAAGTCAAAGTCAAATGAGAAAAGGCAGCTGTTTCCCATCTCACTCAGAACTCAAGCCAAAAAGCTGGTGTCCTTACCAAGACCCATAAGGCCTTGCAGGACCTGACCGGCCCCCCACACCCGCCAAGTCCCGCTGACCTCATCCCTGTATTTGTCAGAATGAACTCATTTTTGCTGACCTCATCCCTCTATTTGTCAGAATGAACTCATTTTTGCTGACCTCATCCCTGTATTTGTCAGAATGAACTCATTTTGCTGACCTCATCCCTGTATTTGTCAGAATGAACTCATTTTTGCAGTGGTGACAAATAAGCCCTGATGTCTCCAAGACACGATACACTACAGATTTACTTCTCGCTCACGCTAAGTCCAGAGCGAGCCAGGCAGCTCCCCAGAGCAGCAGCGGCTCCACGCGGTGACTCACCCATCCAGGCTGCCACAATCTTGTTTCAACAAACTCAATGCGTGGCCTCCAGCCATCATCAAGAAGCAGAAGGCAGGCCAGGCATCGCTCACCTGTTCCTCATGCCTCTGCCCAGGAGTGGCCCACGTTCCTTCCCGTCGTGGGGGCCTGGGCCAACTGCGCGGTGCCGCCTGTCTGTAGCGGGGCCGGTTATGGGGGTGGCCATGAATTATTTGGTGAATGTGCCTCCCTCTCCCGCAGCTCACTCGCCCGGCTACACTGACTCTGGTGCTTTATCTTGAACACCCTGAACTCCTGTCTCATGGCCTTTAAATTAGCTCTTCTCTCTTTCTGGAATGTTCTTCTCCAGGGAATCTGCTTGGCTGGTTCCCTTACCTCCCTCAGTGTAATTCAACAGAAAAGCATCAAAGAATGTAATTAGAACATGGGCAAGAGATATGAAATATTTTACCAAAAAGGATATACGGATGGCAAATAAGCACGTGAAAAGACGTTCAATATCGTGAGCCATTAGGGAAATTCACATTACGACTACAATAAGATATCACTGCGTTAACTATCAGAACGGCTGAAACAAAAAATGGTGGCAACACCAAATGCTAATGAGGATGCAGAGAAATAAGATCACGCACACACTGCTGGCGGGAACAGTACAGTTACTCTGGAAAACAGTCTGGCAGTTTCTTTTCTTTTTTTGAGACGGGATCCCACTTTGTTACCCAGGCTGGGGTGCAGTGGTGTGATGTCGGCTTATTGCAACCTTGACCTCCTGGGCTCAAGTGATCCTCCCACCTCAGCCTCCTAAGTAGCCGGGACCACAGGCACATGCCACCATGCCTGACTAATTTTCTGTATTTTTAGTAAAGATGGGATTTCACCATGTTGCCCAGGCTGGTCTCAAACTCCTGAGCTCATGTGACCCTCCTGCCTTGGCCTCCCAAAGTGCTGGGATTACAAGCGTGAGCCACTGCGCCAGGACAGCAGTTTCTTATCAAACAAAACACGCAACTAACTACCACATGACACGGCGGCTATTGTACTGCCTGGAAAAACGAAAGTTTACGTCCACATAAAAATCAGTACACCTGCCTCAGAAGGAGCAGGCATCAAAAAAAAATTGGGACTGGGCACAGTGGCTCATGCCTGTAATCCCAGCACTTTGGGAGGCCAAGGCAGGTGGATCACTTGAGGTCAGGAGTTCGAGACCAGCCTGGCCAACATGGCGAAACCCCGGTCTCTACTAAAAATACAAAAATTGGCTGGGCGTGGTGCTGCACACTTGTAATCCCAGCTACTCGGGTGGCTGAAGCAGGAGAATCACTTGAACCTGGAAAGCGGAGGTTGCAGTGAGCTGAGATCACGTCACTGCACTCCAGCCTGGGCAACAGAGTGATACTCTGTCTCAATAAATAAATAAATAATAAGACTGGTGGATTGTCCCAACATTGATAGCCTGGTTGTGGTAGCGAATTATAATTTTGCAAGATGTTGCCATTGGCGGAAAATGAGTAAAGGGTCAAAGGAATTTCTCAGTGTGATTTCTTGCAATTGCATGTGGATCTACAATTATCTCCATCAAAATTTTAATTAAAAAACAGACACAAGGGCTGGGCGTGGTGGCTCACACCTGTAATCCCAGCACTTTGGGAGGCTGAGGTGGGCGGATCACCTGAGGTCAGGAGTTCGAGACCAGCCTGGCCAACATGGTGAAAACCCATCTCTATTAAAAATACCAAAAAAATTAGCCGGGCATTGTGGCCAGTGCCTGTAATCCCAGCTACTCGGGAGGCTGAGGCAGGAGAATAATCGCTTGAACCTGGGAGGCGGAGGTTGCAGTGAGCCGAGATGGCGCCACTGCACTCCAGCCTGGGCAACAAGAGCGAAACTCCGTCTCAAACAAACAAACAAACAAAATAGACACAAGGCTTTTCCTTCATTATTGTGAAACCCAATTCAATTGCTTCATTTTGGTTTTGCTGTTTAAAAAAATAAAATAAATTAAAATAAATAAACCAGGGTGGCATTACTAGCAAACTTGTAATCACACAGAATCCACTTTGGCTGGAAGACCCGGCTTCTGTGCAAACACTCTGGAGTCCTGTCTTCATTGACTCTGGATCTTGTGGCAAGAGAAGGTGCACAACACCGTCACCATCTGAGCACAGGGAAACACGGCCCATCTCCTCAGCTAAGTCCTAATTAGCTTAGTCCTGTGGTCGTAAAACCAAATTCCACAGGAGTGGAGAATGTCAAGAGGGGGCCGTGCACAGAATTACAATAGGTCCCTGTCCTTGCTCTTCTTGCATAGCTCAGATGTTCTCTATTTTGCTTTCAAAAGCAAAGGGCCTTCCATCCCTTCCATCCATTGCTCTCTCCATAGAGTCAGCAAAGATCAGTAGTTCATAAACTAGGAGCACAGCAGCATGTGGGTCCTTCACTCATCTACACCCTGAAAATGTTCTTGAAAAGTTCTCAAGCAAGAAGCCAACTGCTCCTCTTCCTGCGGCCCCAGCAAATCTCAGCAGGCCCCAAAGGCTGGAACCAGACAAGCGGGCCCATACATCCCCATGTCCTAGAGCAGGAACCTGGGCCACCCCTGCAGGAATCCCTGAGGATCAGGAAATCGGTTCACCAGCGTGGCTCGTCATCCAACCCCACTACAGACAGGTTTTAGATCAGTGACATTCCCAGAAGTATTTCCCCTCCATTCCCAGATCACCTGCTGTATTAGTCCATTTCCACACTGCCATAAAGATACTACCCGAGACTAGGTAATTTATCAGCCAGGGAGGTTTAATTGACTCACAGTTCCACATGGCTGGGGAGACCTCAGGAAACTTACACTCACGGCAGAAGGGGAAGCAGACGCCTTCTTCGCAAGGCAGCAGGAGAGAAAGAGAAGGAATAGGAAGGGAGAAGAGCCCCTTATAAAACCATCAGACCTCGTGAGAACCCACTCACTATCACGAGAACAGCACTGGGGAAGCTGCCTCCATGATCCAATCACCTCCCTCCCTCCACATGTGGGGATTACAATTCAAGATGAGATTTGGGTGGGGACACAGAGCCAAACCAGATCACCTGGCTCACCCAGACCTGGGACCTGGATGCCCCCTCACTTCTCAGTGTCAGGCTACTCCTCCATAAGCAGGCATCCAAGGACCCTCAAGGACCGTCGGTGGCTCCCTCCCTCCTTCCATCAAGCCTTCACCGGGTGGTTGGCCCCAAGGCCCCCATCCATGGCCCCTGCCTGCTGCTGTCTTCTGGGTTCCCTGTGCTTGCCTTCAGGGAGCTCCCAGCCTTCTGGCCATGAGCCTCGAAGTCCGGGGCTGTCTCCTCCCTCGGGGTCCTGGAAGTATCTTTCTTGCACCTGCCCCCTCCCAGGCAGGCACCTCTGAAGTCCCCCCAGTTGGGGTCCCTCGTGCTCCTAGGGCTCCTCTCCAATCCACTGCCTGCTGGGGGAGGGATGCATCCGGGGGCCTGGTCCACGGAGCCAGGCCACCGTGAAGGCCCATCTCACCTGGCACAGGCCTGGTGGACACCGGCTGGCCGCAGCATCACCGAGCCTTCCAGAGGCAGGGTGCCGTCCCCACAGGCCGGCCCGGGCAGCATCTGCTGCTTCCCGCTGTGGCCAGCAGGCAAAAGAATCCCTCCCTGAGTCCCAGGAAGGGAGGGAAAGTCCAGACTAGCACTGAGACACTGAGGGCTTTGGGGCGGGCAGGAGCATGTAGGGGAGAGGCCGACGCCAATCCCCCGACTCTCTGCATGGCTCACCGCTTCCCTGCTGTGTCTCCCAGAAGCAGCCATCACTGTCTGCTCCAGAACGTTCCTCTCCATCTTACTCCGCGAGGGCAGGGAAATTGGACAGTCTATTTGCTGTCACGTCCCCGTACCCACAGTGGGAGAAGCCAAGAGGAGCTGGGGCCTCACCTGGCTGGGATGGGCCTGCCAGGAATGCTGCTGGCTGGTTCCTTGTCCCAGCTGTGGGCACATTCCCAGTCCTCCGGTCGGGCTCTGTGGCGAGTCCTGAGGAGCACCCCATCCTCTGGGTCCCGGGTGGGAAGATAAAACAGAGGTCAGCAGAGCAGGGCCTGGGGCCGGACTGGATCCTGTTCTCCATTTTGTTGGCTGAAACTGTGGGCAAATTTCCCCAACCCCTCTGAGCCTCAGTTTCCCCATCTGTGCAGTGGGGACAGTAGGACTGACCCTGCAGGGATGGGTGGGGACTAAAATGGTGGGGGTGAGGCACTGAGCTCAGCATACGGCCAGAGGGAGGGCTCCGGGGCACTCCTGGGCTGGGTTATCCAATCAGAACTGCGGGAGGGCTGGGTGCGGTGCCTCACACCTGTAATCTCGGCACTTTAGAGGCCAAGGCCAGTGGATCACCTGAGGTCCGGAGTTCGAGACCAGCCTGGCCAACATGGTGAAACCCCGTCTCTACTAAAAATACAAAATTAGCCGAGCGTGGTGGCACATGCCTGTAGTCTCAGCTACTCGGGAAGCTGAGATAGGAGAATCGCTTGAACCCAGGAAGCGGAGGCTGCAGTGAGCCAAGACTGCGCCATTGCACTCCAGCCTGGGCGAGACAGGTAGAGACTCTGTCTCAAAAAAAAAAAAAAAAAAAAAGCTCTGGCCTGTGAATGCAGCCTGAGAAGCCTGGACTAGAAGCAGTTCAGCTTCCTTCCACATCCCAGGCGCCCACCCATGCTGTGGTAGGACCTGCCCTTCTCGCGGGGGAAGGGAGGCCCTTCTGACCTCCACCTTCCATGCACCAGCACCTTCTGTGTGTCCAGCACAGCTCGAGGGCCCGGTCACACAGAGGTAGGAAGGAGAAGGAGACAGACGTGGGACAAGTCAGTTCCATGAACATCACAGGGCCGGGCACGGTGGCTTGTGTCTGTGCCTTTTGGGAGGCCGAAGCGGGAGGATCGCTTGAGCCTAGGAATTTGAGACCAGCCTGGGCAACATGGTTAGACCCCATCACTACAAGAGATAAAAAATAAAATAAATCATCGCAGCGTTGCACAAAAGTCTGTGCAGGGGACAAGGGGGACAGGAAGGGAGGCTGGCCAAGCCCCCACAAATGTCTTCAGGGAAGAGCTTCCTGAGTTCTCCTTCTCCAGGGGCGGGAGCGTCCCAGGCAGACGAAACAGCGGAAGCACAGCACTGGAGGCCTGGCCTGGGCGGGAAGGGGAGGAGAGCGGCATGGCCACTCAGGGACCTGCATGGAGGTCCCACTGCCATGTGACACTCAGCAAGCTCAGATCCTTTTACAAATAATCAGCCACTTCTAGGAGAGAGATTAGTCCAGATTCCCCGGGAGCTTTTGACTTTCAGAGTCAACAAAGGATAAATTAATGCATCACTCTCTGCTCCTTCTGAGAACACGTGTCTAACCAGACCAGCTGCACCTTTGAGGCTGGGATCAGAGGGAGCAGCTGAGGGCCCAGAGTGAGCCCGAATGAGTGACTCTGGGAGCCGGGCGAGACGGGGCAGCAGGGAGGGCGCCCGCCACCCATTGTGACCCTCTGGCCTTCCCGTCCAGCCTCTTCCCACACTGTGTGCCCCCCGAGCCCTCCTTGCTCTGGGGATGGCAGAGAGGCTGAAGCCAGGAGGCTCTCAGGTATGTCATGAGTCAACCCAGACAGAAACAGAAAACGAAGGAGACAGGAGCAGGTGGGAGGGAGGGAAGAACTGGAGGGCCATGGGGAGGCTCAGGACAGGGGTGGCCCTAGCCCATCACTGGGCACTTCACTGAGACACCACACGAGGGCTTCGCCAGCTGCCCCTGTCCCCCCAGGGCAGAGAATGTGGGCAGCCCAGGCAAAGCTGTCCTGATGCCTACACCCTCAGCGCCCAGCCCTTCCAGCCATGCCACAGGAGGCTCATCCAACGGTGCGGAGAGAAGCGGGGAACAGGCCACAACTCACTGAAGGTCTCCAGAGCCTTCTCCCCACCAGCCGCAGAGCCTTCTGGAAGCATTCGGTTCATGTGCTCCTCTGATGCTGCCAGAGCTAGGGGCTGGCACCTCCTGCAGGGAACAATCAGACAGCATGCGGCTGGAGGGGCGGATGCCAGGCCTACGAAAGCAGCAGCCCTCCAGGAAGCGGAGCCCCGTGACCAGCCTGTCCCACGCCCCAATAGTCGGCTAACTGCTCCTCCTCTCCTACAGAGCCTCCCCGGCACAGCTCACAATGGCAATCAGGGCACAGATTCTTCCAGGAACTCCACAGGTACCAGACACTGCCCCATCGGGGACGCAGAGGGTGAGCACAGCCCCCAGCACAGCCTCACACCGATGCCCGTGGCAGGGGGTGAGAGGAGGCGGCGCCCTCCCTTCAAGGAAGAGCTTGTTCAATCTTCCCCCAGATTCTAGGTTCTGGGAGAGCAGAGGGCAGGGCTGGCTGGGGCAGGACTCAGGGATTACCTGTCGTCCAGCTTGGCCACTGACCGTGACACTGGGCAGGTCCCCTTCTTTCCCACCCCACAGGGCAGGGCTCGGGGGCTCTGAGGAAGGGAGGAGGGCCACCTTCTCCACTGGGCCCATGATCCTTTAGGTGTCCACAAAAATGTTTTAATTTTATTTTCCTTTTTTTTTTTTTTTTTTTTTTGGAGACAGAGCCTCACTCTGTCACCCAGGCTGGTGTGCAGTGGCACGATCTCGGCTCACTGCAACCTCTGCCTCCCAGGTTCAATTGATTCTTGTGCCTCAGCCTCCCAAGTAGCTGGTATTATAGGCGCCCACCACCACACCCAGCTAATCTTTGTGTTTTTAGTAGAGATGGGGTTTCACCATGTTAGTCAGGCTGGTCTCGAACCCCTGGGCTCAAGCGATCTGCCTGCCTCAGCCTCCTACAGTGCTGGGATTACAGGAGTGAGCCACTGCAACCGGTTGGGATAAGCCTATTGATGGGAAGAAAAACCCCAAACACACACATACACACACACATACGAACCAAGGAGAGATGATTCCAGATTAACCCATTTTTTGTAGAAGTCAAAGGTTTTGCAGTTCCAGGATTTTGGAGCACATCTCCTATAGAAACAGAACAACAGGGTGTATGTACATGTGTGTAGAGAGACAGAGAATCACACACACAGAGATGACAAGGATTCGGCTCATGTGATTGCAGAGGTTAAGTCCCAAGATCTGCTGCAGTCGGCAAGCTGGAGGCCCAGGAGAGCGGACCACAGGGTTCCAGTCTGAGGCTTGAGGCCCAAGAAGAGCCAGCATTCAAGTTCCAAGGCAGGAAAAAGCCAGTGTCCCAGTCTGAAGGCAGGCAGTCCGGAGAATTCTCTTCCTCGGGGGAGGGTGAGGCTTTTTGTTCTATGCAGGCCTTCAACTGACTGGATGAGGCCCCCCCACACTAGGGAGCACAGTCTACTCCTCTCAGTCCACTGATTTAAATGTTAAACTCACCCACAGACACCCAGAATAATGTCTGACCACACATCTGGGAACCCCGTGGCCCAGTCAAGCTGACACATAAAAGTACCCAGGTAAGGCTGGGCGCAGTGGCTCAAGCCTGTAATCCCAGCACTTTGGGAGGCCGAGATGGGTGGATCACCTGAGGTCAGGAGTTTGAGACCAGCCTGGCCAACATGGTGAAACCCCTCTCTACTAAAAATATACAAAATTAGCCGGGAGTGGTGGCAGGTGACTGTAATCCCAGATACTCAAGAGGCTGAGGCAGGAGAATCACTTGAACCCAGGAAGCAGAGGTTGCAGTGAGCCAAGATCGCGCCATTTCACTCCAGCCTGGGAGACAAGAGTGAAACTCCATATCAAGAAAAAACAAACGAACCAACAACCCACACACAAAAAAAGGGACCCGGGTAGGACTCCAGTGGACATGAGGGCTGGAGGGTCTCCCCTCGTGGCTCTGACTCCAAGGGCAGAGCTGAAGGGGGCAAAGGCTGTCACTGCCCCAAGCTCTGAGAGCTTCAGCCAGGTTACAAGAGACACAGGATAGTGCCAGAGGAGGAGTGACTCTTGGCAGAGCCAGGACTACCTCCAGGGGCCTCCGCCTTAGGGGGCTGTTGCTTGGCTTCACTCTTGGGTGTAAACTGGCTGATATGGTTTGGATCCATGTCCCCACCCAAATCTCATTTTGAATTGTAATCCCCAGTGTTGAAGGTGGGGCCTGGTGGGAGGTGACTGGATTATGCAGGTGGCATTCTCATGAATGGCTTAGCACCATCTAATATGGTTTGGCTGTGTCCCCACCCAAATCTCATAATCCCCACCCGTGGTGAGAGGGACCCAGTGGGAGGCAATTGGATCATGGAGGCAGTTCCCCCATGCTGTTCTCATGATATTGAGTTAGTTCTCATGAGATCTGATGGTTTTATAAGGGGCTTTCCCCACTTTCATTCTGTACTTCTCCTTCCTGCTGCCATGTGGAGAAGGACATGTGTTTGCTTCCCCTTCTGCCATGGTTGTAAGTTTCCTGAGGCCTCCCAAGCCATGCTGAACTGGGACTCAATTAAGCCTTTTCTGTTTATAAGTTACCCAGTCTTGGGTATGTCCTTATTAGCAGAATGAGGATGGACTAATGCACCATCCTCCCTTGGTACTGTATAGTGAGTGAGTTACCAAAAGATCTGGTTGTTAAAAAGTGTGTGGCAGGCTGGATGCGGTGGCTCACGCCTGTAATCCCAGCACTTTGAGAGGCTGAGGCGGGCAGATCACGAGGTCAGGAGATCGAGACCATCATGGCTAATATGGTGAAATCCCGTTCTCTACTAAAAATACAAAAAAATTAGCCGGGTGTGGTGGCACCCACCTGTAGTCCCAGCTACTCGGGAGGCTGAGGCAGGAGAGTTGCTTAAACCCAGGAGGCGGAGGTTGCAGTGAGCCGAGATTGCACCACTGCACTCCAGTCTGGGTGACAGAACAAGACTCCATCTCAAAAAAAAAAAAGTGTGTGGCAACCTTCCCCTGGCTGTGTCTTGCTCCTGCTCCTGCCATATCAGAAGCCTGTTCCCGCTCTACCTTCCACATGAGTGAAAGCTCCCCGAGGCCTCCCCAGAAACAGATGCCGCCATGCTTCCAGTAGCCTGCAGAACCGTGAGCCAATGAAACCCGTTTTCTTTATAAATTACCCAGGCTCAGGTATTTCTTTATAGCAATGCGAGAGCAGACTAATACACCGCCCTGGCAAAGTGGAAAGGACAGGCAGGGCTTGGCAGCCAGACAAGGACTTAACTTTCAACTTGGGACTGAACATTCACCCAACGGAAACGAGATGGCTCTGCAGATGGAGCTGGAAGGGTCCCCCTTCTCTCTGCACCCCGTTCTCTCCTTCAGGAGTTGCACCGGCCTCTTGCCCCTCACTGGTTCTCAGCTCAGAGAGGGCAGGCAGCAGGTTTTTCTCTCCCTCGTGTCTCTAATCGGACATAAAGTGGCTGGGGACAGTGCAAAGAGACTCAGTAAGGGCTCATGATGATTTGTCACTGTCAAAACTGGGTCCTGGTGACAGTTTCTTAAGCCCAAAGGCAAGGTCGGAGTGGGAAATAGTCTGGTTGCTTCTATTTGAAGGCAGGACAGGTCACAGACAGTACACCACAGGGGACAGAGCTTTAATTGGAACAACCTCAGATTCTCTCCTGGGGAACAGAAGCGACCAGGAACACGGAAGCTGCTGCCCTCGGCACAGCCGGCACGCACATCGGACCAGACACGAGCTAGTGCAGGACATGTCCTCAATGGCACCTGTGCCACAGGTCACAGCAGCCCCGTGATTTGGATAGAAGACGACCTGAGTTCCTAATAACCAGTGTTAACTTTTCTTCAAGGCAAGCTAACCTGTCTAAAGCCATTAACCAAAAACAAAAAACAACCAAACAATAATAAACCTTTTTATTGTAAAGTAAACACGGAAATGCACACAAGCGCACAGAGGACCCCAGGAGCCAGGACTGCCCCGACCCCACACCACACCACAGCCTCTGCCCAGGGAGGAGCCGCTTTCCGGCTGCTGTGATGATCGCTTCCTCGTGTTTTAAAACTTACAATAGATCTGCTCCAAGAAAAAGAAAGGAATTGGGTGGGACATTTCCTACAAATTAAAGAGACTGAGCCTTCTGTTCGGGCGGGGTGGTTCACGCCTGTAATCCCAACACTTTGGGAGGCCGACGCGGGCGCATCATTTGAGGTCAGGGGTTCGAGACCAGCCTGGCCAACATAGTGAAGGTCCGTCTTTACCAAAACCACACAAAAAATAGCTGGACATGGTGGCGTATGCCTGTAGTCCCAGCTACTCAGAAGGCTGAGGCAGGAGAATCACTTCAACTCAGGAGGCAGAGGTTGCAGTAAGCCGAGATCGCACCACTGCACTCCAGCCTGGGCGACAGAGCAAGATTCCATCTCAACAACAACAAAAAAAAGATAAAGAGCCTGAGCCTTCTGACTTCAGTTTCCCACAGTACAGTTCAACAGGTTCCTTGGTCTCTATTTCTTGCAAATTGGCAGCTGGATTCAGAGACTGGATCTATTCAGTCTGGATAACAAAACTCTGGCAAGACTGTAGATCTCTAGGAGACACAGGACATCTGCTTGTCTTTTGTGTGTGTGATGTTAGCAGCTGATGCTTAATATTTCTATCTATTTATTCATCAGGATTACAGAATGATGTTATTCTATCATTTTTATAGTTAGTGAAAGTTGAAATACTTTTATAGATACTCATCTTCATCTATCGTGCATTTAGGAAAGGCTGGGATAAATGCTTGCTTCTTATTTACCAGTTTTCAAAATAAATGGTTCCCTATCATCCAAAATTATGTTATATATTAAAATTATGAACTCATGAATCTTAACATTCAATGGCGTCCTGCAATTATTATTATAGGACAATAATAATTGGGACAAGTTGAACTTGTCTCGTTTCTGGCCAGTGAAGGCCTCTTTGAGTCTGCTGAGTCCTTTTGACATGACCCTATTTTTTATTTTTCGAGATGGTCTCTGTCACCCAGGCTGGAGTGCAGTGGCACAATCTTGGCTCACTGCAACCTCCAGCTTCCAGGTTCAAGTGATTCTCCTGCCTCAGCCTCCCATGTAGCTGGGATTACAGGTGCCTGCCACCACGCCTGGCTAATTTTGTATTTTTAGTAGAGACAGAGTTTCACCATGTGGGCCAGGCTGGTCTCGAACTTCTGGGCTCAAGCAATCTGCCACGTTTGCCTCCATGAGCCACTGTGCCCACCCCCTAATAGTCTTTGATCGCTTTTTTCCCAAGTGATACATGACAAGACGTCCCAGGCTCATCTGGCCCATTTCCTGTCCCAGACTTGGAATGAGTCATTTTAACAGGAACGCCTGGGTTCAATCGGGATGTTAGAGATTCTCTTTGTAATGGGCTGCTCATTGTTTCTAAGTAAATTCACTTAAACTCACCACACATACACATTTAAAGATAAAAATACCTCATGAATTCATATTAACCTTCCAATTCAAATCTGAGACTACAGGGCTTCTTCTTTTTTTTTTTTTTTTTTTTTTTTTGAGACGGAGTCTTGCTTTGTTGCCCAAGCTGGAGTGCAATGGCACAATCTCGCCTCACTGCAACCTCCGCCTCCCGGGTTCAAGCGATTCTCCTGCCTCAGCCTCCCAAGGAGCTGGGATTATAGGCGTGCACCACCATGCCCGGGTAATTTTTTTATTTTTAGTAGCGATGGGGTTTCACCTGGCCAGGCTGGTCTCGAACTCCTGACCTCAGGTGATCCGCCCACCCTGGTCTCCCAGCGATGGGATTACAGGCGTGAGCCACCACACCTGGCGACTACAGGGCTTCTATTTAACCACTCCCTGATCTATCTTCCACACAGACAACCTTCAACACAGGACCTGGGGAAAGCTGGCTGAGGACAGCCCCTAATTACTCACTTGTTACCATACAAAAACTCAGCATAACGATGTTAATACTGCCCCTAATATAACCACTAAAACAACAGATATTTGCAAATGTTCCCTCTATTCTCCTCCCATTTTAAAACACAATTTTGCTGGCCAAGCATGGTGGCTCAAATCTGTAATCCCAGCACTTTGGGATGGCAACGTGGCAGGACTGCTTAGGGCCAGGAGTTTGAGACCAACCTAGGCAACACAGCCAGACCTCATCTCTACAAAAATAAAAATAAATTAGCTGAGTGTACTTGCACATGCCTGCAGTCCTACTTGGGCAGCTGAGGCAGGAGGATCACTGGAGCCCAGGAGGTCAAGTTGGAGGCTGTAGAGAGCCGTGATTGTGCCACTGCACAGTCTGAGTGACAGAGCAAGATCGTCTCAAAAAAAACAAAAAACAAAAACAAAAACAGGCCAGGCATGGTGGCTCACCTGTAATCCTAACACTCTGGGAGGCCAAGGCAGGTGGATTGCTTAAGCCCAGGAGTTGGAGACCAACTTGGGCAACATGGTGAAATCCGATCTCTACCAAAAATACAAAAATTAGCTGGGTGCAGTGGTGCATGCCTGTAGTCCCAGCTACTCAGGTGGCTAAAGCTGGAGGATTGCTGGAGCTTAGGATGTTGAGATAGCAGTGAGCCACGATCAGGCTACTGCACTTCAGCCTGGGCGAGAGCAAGACCCTGTCTCAAAACAAACAAAAACTTTCGTGTGATCAATACATTGTCGGAGCCAATACACACTGCCCCCTTGCCCTCATTAGCCTCGGCTGTACAGATGGGCAGGACCCTGAGCCCACCGCCAGGTCTCATGACTCTCCACCACACTACCTGAAGCCTAGTCGCTGGATAGCTCAGGAAGGGTGGTAGGCCCAAGCTGCTGCACACTGATAGCTTTATCAGCGCCCTTTACTTTTTTTTTTTTTTTTTTTTTTTTTGAGATGAGTTTCGTTCTTGTTGCCCAGGCTGGAAGGCAATGGTGCAATCTTGGCTCACTGCAACCTCCACCTCCAGGGTTCAAGCAATTCTCCTGCCTCAGCCTCCCGAGTAGCTGGGATTACAGGCACCCACCACCACTCTGGGCTAATATTTGTATTTTTAGTAGAGATGAGGTTTCACCACATTGGCCAGGCTGGTCTCGAACTCCTGACCTCAGGTGATCCGCCTGCCTCAGCCTCCCAAAGTGCTGGGATTATAGGTGTGAGCCAACATGCCTGGCCTGTATCAGCACCCTTTATACGTGGAGGTCAGTCTTGCTGGACATAAAATTTTTGGCTCTTTCCTTGAAAAGTCTTAATTAATCCATTTCCTTCTGGCAGAAAGCTCAGTCCTCAAAAAACCTGATTCCCAGGATGCCCCAAGGATTTTTTAAGTCCAGAACTTTTCCTAAAATACTCTTGGTGTTGGTCCTTCTCAGACCCTCACTCTTTCAGTGGCACTCATGTGTTTGCTTATTTTCAACAGCATCACTTTTGAAGGCTTTCCATCCTTTTCGATTTATAAAATCAGCCAGGCGCGGTGGCTCACGCCTGTAATCTCAGCACTTTGGGAGGTCGAGGCCGGTGGATCACGAGGTCAAGATATCGAGACCATCCTAGCCAACATGGTGAAACCCCGTCTCTACTAAAAATACAAAAAATTAGCCATGCGTGGTAGCGGGCGCCTGTAGTCCCAGTTACTCGGGAGGCTGAGGCAGGAGAATGGCGTGAGCCTGGGAGGCAGAGCTTGCAGTGAGCCAAGATCACGCCACTGCACTCCAGCCTGGGTGACAGAGTGAGACTCCATCTCAAAAAAAAAAAAAAAAAAACCATCCTCATTTTCACTTGGCATTGTTTTTTCACTTTGCATTCCCTCTACTTTGTCTCAATTTCTGAAAGGATTCCTGCATTTCTAATCTTTCTTGAGTTCTGTCACTTCATTTCTGAGTTTTTCTAACTCTGATTATGCTTTTCACGTTTCATATCATTTTCTTTAAGTTTTTTTAGTTCATTTTTAAAATTGTTTTTAGACTGGGCGTGTGGGATCACGCCTTTAATCCCAGCACTTTGGGAGGCTGAGGAGGGTGATTACATGAGGCCAGGAGTTCGAGACAAGCCTGGCCAACATGGTGAAACCCCATCTGTACTAAAAATACAAAAATTAGCCAGGCGTGGTGGTGCACACCTATAGTCCCAGCGACTAGGGAGGCTGAGGCAGAAGAATTGCTTGAACCCAGGAGGCAGCGGTTGTAGTGAGCAGAGATCATGCCACTGCACTCCAGCCTGGACGACACAGCAAGACTCCGTCTCAAAAAATAAAAAACAAAATAAAATACAAAATAAAAATAAAACAAAAATAGTTTTTAAATGTGTTTTCTTTGGTCTGTTTTGCAGGCATGCCTTTCTGGCTTGCTTTCATTGTTGGTGGGAGTATTATTCTGCTCCCTACTCTGAGCCTTCTATAGGTTTGACTTTGCTACTTTTCTGATGCTCATTTTTATGGAAAAGTATTTCATAAACATTCAGAATGAAGTATGCTTCAAGAAAGCTGCTCTAATTTTGCGGTGCTCCCTCTGTTGTTTTGTGAAACGTTTAAAACATCACATCCGTCTGCTTTCACCGCTGCCCTGCCCATGACCCTCCCAGGCACCTGCACAGACTCGGTCCCCATCCTGCTTGACTTTATTCCCTCCAAGCAGTGGAATATGCTTTATTTCCTCACTGTGAGGTTCCTTCCAGAAGTGAGCCCTGGCAGGTCAGTCCAGGGAGTCCAGAGGGCCTGGTCTGCTCCCCTCAACCCGATCCTCTTCCCAACAGCCTCCGTGTCCCCAGGCTCCAGGTGCAGCCCAGCTGGGCCGTGTTACCTGCTGAGCACACACTGGCCTCCCACTGGGGTTCGTGGGGCCTCGTGGCTTCTCCTGCTCTCCCATCCATCAGACGTTTTGCATGTAACCTCTGCTTTCTCCCTCAGACACGGATAACCTATGGGTCCGGAAGCTCTGGAAACTATTGGTGGTTTACCCCGACTCACCCCTGGTTTGGGGTTTATGGGGATACTTTATCAGCTAGTGTTGCCGTAAATGATGTCCATAGGCTGTTCTTACTATCGTGCCAAAACACATACACAAACGCTGCCATTTCAACCATTTTAAAGTGACCATTCAGTCATCCACCGGTTTTAGGTTTTGCAGTCTAGTTGTATTACCATCTTCCCAGAATCCCTGGCTTTCCAAAGCCCTCACTTTTCAAGCAAAACTGATTCCAACTGGTTTGTTTCATGGTGACATTAATAAGAATGCCTCCACCACAACTTAAGAACTGGAAGACAACCTACGGTTTGGGCTCTGCCAAAGTTCTGCAGAGATGGAGTATTAAAGGAAACATGATATATTTAAGAATCATCACATTGGCCGGGTGCAGTGGCTCACGCCTGAAATACCAGCACTTTAGGGGGCCAAGGTGGGTGGATCATTTGAGGTCAGGAGTTCAAGACCAGCATGGCCAACATGGCAAAAACCCATCTCTACTAAAAATACAAAAATTAGCCAGGTGTGGTGGTGGATGCCTGTAGCCCCAGCTACTCAGGAGGCTCAGGCAGGAGAATCACTTGAACCTGAGAACGGAGGTTGCAGTGAGCCGAGATTGTGCCACTGCACTCCAGCCTGGGTGACAGAGCACAGAGCAAGACTCTGTCTCAAAAAAAAAAAAAAAAAAAACCCACAACAACAGAGAACAAACGCATTACTAATGGTTTGGTGGCCCAATATAAACACACTGCTGTTCAAGACACTCCATTTCAGTGTGGCCCTTTCTGAAGGTGGTCAGGAGACGGGCTGCGGGTTATCATCCTACGACCCTCAGTTAGTTTCCAAGCTGCCTCTGGCTTCCACCCTGAGAACTGGACCGCCAAGCCAAAAGCTTGGTAACAGTAGGTCCGACTTGACAACAGACACAGAAATATGAGGGCATAAAGGGAATCCAGGTAAAAAGCCTCTTCCTTCCATCGCAGGTTGACTAAATCATCAGATTTTGGCACGGCTAAGGTCCTGACTGCCTGTGGACACACTGACGGCCCAGGCCCAGCATGGACGTGCAGGGCACCCTCGGTCTCCCCTGCTTCCCACCCAGGTGCCAGCCAGACCCCTTGGCTGTGTCCCACCAAGGACAGATACGGACTACTAGGAATGCCAATGATCCTGCGGTTCCCAGTTAGGGAGGCACTGGCTTCTGCACCCTGGCACGCTGCCCTGAGCCGCCTTCTGGCCTGCCCTGAGCTTCACCGAGCCAGCAGCCTGCTCTGCCCACTGGTTTATGACCCCCCGAAGACCCACTGATTGGCAGGGGAGTGGAGATAAGGTAATCCAGGCTTCTAAAGGTCCACACCTGCCTCTTTTATTTTCTTGGAGGCGCCTGATGAAAGCAATCCTTTTTATCACAACGGAAACATCACAGCAGGGATCGCCCCATCACAGTGATGTTAGATCTGGCTGCGTTTAAGAAAAACCACATCATGTCTTCTTACAGAAGCGAGGACAAACACTGGGTTCGCTTCTGCATCAGCAAACATACGGCTGTGACCTGAGGCCGGACCGCTCACCTGTGAAACAATCCCACAGGAGCTAAAGCTCTTCTTGAACGACCACTCACCTGTGAAACACTCCCACATGAGCTAAAGCTCTTCTGAGGCCGGACCGCTCACCTGTGAAACACTCCCACACAAGCTAAAGCTCTTCTTGAACTTCTAGAGCATCAGTACTCTGGCTTCAGAAGCTCTCTTCTTTCTTCAATCTCTAAATTCTCCTAAGAATCTCAAACTCTTCAAGGGAAACTGTTGTTTCACAATAAGAAAAAGACATTCTTTTCTTTAAATAGTTCACATTTATTATTGATAACAATAAAAAAATCTTTTAAAGACTATCAGTATTGTATTACCAAGTGAGGTAATATGTTTACAAAACATTTACAGAATTTGATATGCAAATAACAAATTTAGGAAGGAAAGTGAATTAAGACATAATAGAGGGAGAATCAAAGAATCATTAGTACTAAGAAATGGGAAATGACAGCAGCGTTTTAAAAGAGTGGCAAGGTACTAAAGGTAGAAACACGATGCAAACTGCATACTCAAACCATAGCTGCCCCAGAATTCCCTTACAAGGGGAGTGAGATTGGATTACTCGGGAGGAAACCCTGTAAGCATTTGTGCGGTCATGTGCTTTGAGCTCTTCAAGATGCACTACAGTCTTTGGGTATAAAAGAATGCCACTCCCGAATCAACTTAAAAAGAACAGATCTTCAGCCTGGGAGGGGGCAGGGGATGGCTGCAATTCAAACAGTTCTATAAACATCTCTGGGCACATGAGGACTGTTGAGTGAAGCATTTTCTTGGCAGCTGTCAGCAAAATCGCCATCTGAGACACAGAGAAAGAGAAAGAGAAAGCAGGGACCACCTTCAGGCCCTTGTGATTTGGGAACAGGAAGCACCAGGTGGAAGCAGCACAGACGCGCTACTAACCCTACCTACGAACCCTACCTACGAACCCTACCTACGAACCCTACCTACTAGCCCTACCTACTAGCCCTACCTACTAGCCCTACCTACTAGCCCTACCTACTAACCCTACCTACTAGCCCTACCTACTAGCCCTACCTACTAGCCCTACCTACGAACCCTACCTACTAACCCTACCTACGAACCCTACCTACGAACCCTACCTACGAACCCTACCTACGAACCCTACCTACTAGCCCTACCTACTAGCCCTACCTACTAACCCTACCTACTAGCCCTACCTACGAACCCTACCTACGAACCCTACCTACTAGCCCTACCTACTAACCCTACCTACGAACCCTACCTACTAGCCCTACCTACTAACCCTACCTACTAGCCCTACCTACTAGCCCTACCTACTAACCCTACCTACTAGCCCTACCTACGAACCCTACCTACGAACCCTACCTACTAGCCCTACCTACTAACCCTACCTACGAACCCTACCTAACCCTACCTACGAACCCTACCTACGAACCCTACCTACTAACCCTACCTACTAGCCCTACCTACGAACCCTACCTACGAACCCTACCTACGAACCCTACCTACTAACCCTACCTACTAGCCCTACCTACTAACCCTACCTACCAGCCCTACCTACGAACCCTACCTACGAACCCTACCTACTAGCCCTACCTACTAGCCCTACCTACTAACCCTACCTACTAGCCCTACCTACGAACCCTACCGCGCTTTCCGGAAGCAAAGGCTTCAGGTACCACTGAGGAGCTCGATCTCTAAGAGCAAACACAAATGTGGTCCAAAGGCAGGTGATCACAGCACAGGCCCTGGGACGTCTACAGTGTGCAGGCAGCCACTAGGGCTGACCCGACCGGGCAAGAGGGCTGCTCGGTCCCTCCCCCGCCCTCCTGATCCCTGCACGGGGCACACATGGCCTCCACACAGCTCTCCAGTCACGCAGCACCCACACAGTGCCTTCAGAGCGGAGCTGAGACGGCACAACCAGGATCTCCATGCCTACCACGCACACAGTTGACAGCCGCGTGGGGTTTGGCATGAAAAACACGGCCTCTGCTGCACACAGAAACACGTGTTGCATGTCCTTATCGTGGAGGCCATCCCCTATGCAACTTCTGGACAGATTCTCAAATAACCTGCTTTTCCCATAAAAAGCTGAAAAAATAAGGGCCTGTACCAGATAGAGCAGGCTTTAAAATCAGGAATTAAACAAAATGTAAAAGGCAAACAAATCCCATATTCTGATTTGCTTCTGTGAAGATTCCTTCATTACTCAAACTAAGTTTCCACTCACCCCGTCCCCCCAGCACCCCCACCGTCATGCACACATGCACACACACAGCACATGCACACACACACACGCATGAGTCCACAATTCCCATGTACAAAGAAGCAGGACTCCTACATGCCACACGCCACCCTGAAGTGGATGCGAGAGCTGCTGCTTAGCTACTAATAAAACCCCATGGACAGTGTCAAGTGGCAAATGCGACTTGCTGGTTCCAAGACGGCCTCCTAGTGGCTGGAACTGTCTGGGCTCTGAGGACAATGAGCCACCAGAGGGCACAGAGGAGATGGCCTACACTGGGCTGGGAGCTGACTGCAGGTGAGAGGGGCGACGCACGGAAGGAAACGGGAAGAACCCCCCCACCCAAGTTCACATACAGAAAAATCCTGCTCTAAAAAGTATCAAAAAGATTTGAAAAGGAGGAAAGAGAAAGTAATGTTTAACGATGGCAGCATTTTCCTGGAGTCACCAGGAGTCCCTGAGAGCCCCTCCTGAGCCCCCGGCCCCACTGCAGGACAGTGGGTGGTGTGGGTGTGTCTGGCCCTGGGACAAGGTACTCCGCAGGCAACCTCTGAATCCTCAGAGGATAAGGACCTCAAGGGCTGGCCCTAAGTCCACAGACCATCTTGACTGGCGGGAAGCATGGGGGCCGTGAGGCGGCGTGCGGGCCATGAGGCAGCTTGGGGGAAGCGAGCTGGCAGCTTCCGTCCCAGGTGAGGAGGGGCCATCTCTGGAGGATGTCACAGGAATTCATTCACTAATGGACAATGCGGAGTTCGTTGGAAAAATTTTTTGCATCAATATCTGAGACCACGTCAATCCTTTAATTGGTACAGAAACTACTTTTCTTTCAAGAGAGCCCTTGCGCTCTGGTTGGATTTTGTGCACAACGTATACAAAATCTATGGCTATTGAGTTAAGTTAGGATCAGAGTTAAAACTACCTGCCAAGGTAGTTTTGGGATCAAACGACTACGTTTACCATCTGAGAGCTATTTGCTATCTAGAGGTGAGAGGAGTCTGTACAATGTCGCCGCTGGGTGGGCGGGTGCAGCTGGCTGTCCGAGGAGGGGCGGCCGTCCCCTCTGCACACTAGGTGCAGGCAGCGCGGCACTACCTGGAGATCATGGAGCTGGAGTGGGACTGGCTGGAGGAGGTGGTGGCGGCACTCAGCTGGGAGAAGCCGCTGTGGCTGGACTCCAGGCTCGTCATGGAACCTCTGTAATGGCACAGGGAGGGGCGAGGCGTGAGGACCACCCTGCCAACCACCCGCCGGCCCACACTGCCTGCTGGACTTCGTGGCCCACCCTGTTCTCTGCTCACTTCTCATCCCCATCAGTGCTTGCAAACGGGGGATGGACATGAGTAACCCACCAGGGGGACCGGCTTCCCACAGCCTGCACGCAGACGGCAGTGTGAGCTAAAGCAAAGGCAGTCAGTCGGCTCTGTCTCCGACACTCTCCCTCTGCAGACAGGCAGGGAGTCACCGTGCCAACAAATGACCCCAAAGCCACTCCCTCCTGGCCCTCCAAGCATTCCTGACACCCGCCGCCACTGCTGATCCTGCACACGGCGTGGGACTGCAGGCTCCCTCCAACCATGCCCAGCTGTCCGCAGCACCTGCTGTGGCGAGGGTGGCCGCACCTGAAATCCTCCGAGCCGATCACCTCGGTGTAGTACATCACTTTACACTTGTGCGAAGAGACCTGCAGGGACGCAAGCACGTCGTCCACCCGGGGAAGGCTGCTGGCGGCGCACGCAGGCATGCTGTGGAATTTCCACTGCAGGATGTAGAAGCCCGGCCACCTGGTCACATGGGAACCCTAGAACAAGTAGGGCAGTGGCAGCTGAGGGCGACTCGCTTCCGACCCCTGGCCTACCACAGGCCTGACAAGCGCCAAGGGGACTGTCTTTAGGATTTCATGTAGCTACGGAAACTATCTCAATGGGATTCAGAACCTGCTATTTTGCTTCAGCAGCAGGTTTGACAATGTCCTTCCCTCTACTGAGTGTGGTCACTCCCGGGTGCTGGGAAGCCCGGAGGGACAAGCTCCATGTCCGTGGCCCTCACGAGGCCTGCCCAGCCCACCCCACCTACGGAGGCAGGAGCCTGGCAGGCTGGTGGCACCCATGCTGGAGGGAGGGCTCAGCACAGCTTCCCTGGACCTGGCCTCACTTTCTCTGACATGCTGCCAATCATCCAGCATGTTCGGGGCTGAAGGCACGTCACCCTAAAGTGAGCCGTCAATCCGTGGAAAGCTCCTTCTCCATTCTCTCCGAAATTCATGACTGGTTAACACAGCTTAGCTGTTCATTGTTTTTAAAATGGACAAAGGATTCTTTTACTCTGCCTCTAAGACCACTGAAACACTGACAAGCCTTACCCCTGAAAACTGTAAAGGCAGCAAAACGATGCATCTATTATGAAGGCCAGAAGCAATGCCCCCGCCCCGAGGCTACTGTGAGCACAGGCACCCAAAATAACCAGCCACAATGTGAAAAGGGAACTGAAAGCATTTGAAACAAATTAGAAGGTTTGGTAATGAGAGCTAATAGTTCTCTAAGTACTTGTCCCTCTTACTTCTATTTAGGGTGATTTTCCTTTGAAAAAGACAAACACAACCCGGTGAAATGAGGCGGGGGGGAAAAATCCTATGAAGCCCAGCTGGGCCCGTGCGTGCGATGCCTTCCCTTCCTGTCACAGGCTGCTTTTGGGAAAAGTCGCAGATTCTGTCCAAAACCACTGCGAGGCCTGAACTCCTTCCTACGAGACCCACTTGGCTTCCTGCTCCTCCAGGCAAGCTGCTCCTCCACAAGCAGGGCCTCAAAAGCTACACAGGGCTGCTCAAGGAGCGAAGCAAAGAGTCTACTCAAGACAGAATCACCTGGCCGTGTGGAGTCACGGATGCGCGATTTGACCTGTGTGTGATTTTACCTGCACGCTTTCTCCTTCTTTGCAGATCAGAGGCGACTCCACCATGCTGTAGTCGCGGCCCAGCTGCCAGACTTTGTCTATGAGCTGCACATTGTTCCCACCCGGAGAGGTGATGCTGTGGGCTCCCAGGGAGTCCTTTTTGGGTGGTTGTGGCGACCTCTTGGAGTGATAGATGTTAAACACAATGTCCCCTTTGCACACGTCGAAATCCCAAGTGATGACTGACGAGGCATCCACAATCTGAATGAGAATCTGAAAAAGAGGCAGCGTTAGGCAGCCACGATCCACGAGCACCAGGCCGGCATGCTGCGAGCGCATCGTGCTCTCCAGGGGATCCAGGGTGCAGGTGCTGAAGCTGGGGAGGGAAACGCTGAATGCGTATGGACGGATCTCTTTCCCCAGAGTCACACACCACCATCCATTCAACCGCTGGATCCTGCTACATGTCATGCACCAAGCTCTGTGTTCTTTGTGACCTGCACCTAGAGGTCCAAGATCTCCCATACACCATCTTCACACACACTCTAAGAGGCCAGGTCTTAGAAACACCAAACACTGTGAGCTCGTACATGAGTGGTTCAGAGGACTGCCCTGGGCTGGACAGAACAGAAGGCCCTGGAGAAGGTGAAAGCTAAAGAAAGAGCAGGCAGGGGAGCCTGAGGACAGCGTTCCCAGCAAGGGGGAAGCAGGGGCATGGAACCGGGCCTGCCGTGTGAGGCTCACACGAGAGAACAGTGGCGAGGCTGGGTGAGCGGGATGAGCCCCTGGCATAGTAGAGATGGGGTTGAGGTGGTCACCCCCTGGGTGCTGAGAACCAATTGAAAACCAAACTTACACAGCACCGACAGAGCTACCCAGGAGGGAATAATCAAAGTTAGTTTCAAAGATTGGGCGGGGGCGGACGTGAGAATGAAAAGCAGCTGTGCAGAGTTCTGCAGTCACTGAAAACTCCACCTAAGGAAGCAGCAGAGCCAGGCCCACGGCCCCTCTCAGCCCATGCACGCTGTCTGCTGTGCCCTTCAGCGCGTGGCTGCTCTACGAGCCGGGCCCCTTTAATCCCACCACTGCCACCTCACCACTGAAACGCCACTTCAGAATGTCCTTCCACAGCAGATTCAGTGAGGTACAAGGGTCCTGTCTAAGAACAGCAGGCGGCACCACGTGGCACGGCCCCCTCTTCAGCAAAGTGGCTCCCCAGGCAGCTCCATCCTGAGGCCTCGGCCCCCTGTGCTGACGGAACCTCTTTCCTGCATTCACAGTGGGGGCCTCCGCTTCAGCCTTCCTTTCAGTTTGTTGCCATCTCGGATCTGTGCTTTATTTAATACCCAAAGCAGAACGGAGGTTTTTACCATGTGGATGTCTACAGATGCCCCCGATTCACACGAAACACACTGCACCCCAAGTTCTTGAAACATGGACAAGAGCGATAGTGCCTAACAAACAAGGAACAAGGACTCGGTCCCTGGAGCCTGCCCTCCCGGTAAGAAATGAATACAGACAATCCTCAAGACGTTATGAAATCTGAGATTCCTCTATGTATGTATCTACAAGTAAGGCACACCAAATCTGTCTCTGCTTGTTCAAACCATGGCAACAGCATTCCCTTATCCACCTGCCCTGCAAGCACCAGGTGAGCCACTCAGGAAGACACCCCAGCAGAAGCCACTGGCAGATGGCTGACCCAGGTGCCACCACGGCAGGAAGCAGGCCGCAGTCAGCTCCCGGCCAGCACCATTGCCCAAGCCAGCACCACATCCTCACTGACACCTGCTCTGCACAGAGTGCCACCATCCTCTCCAACAACTCTGGGCCACGAACCTTGTCCTAGCTGAGAAGGGAGATTCCGCTGCAGGCCCCTCCTGCTTCAGGTCACTCGTGATGCTACAGGACAGACATATGGCATGCACAGGAACACGGAACGCCCTTGCTTCTCTACCAAAAGTGACAGCAAAAAAGGAATACAGGAACACCCTCCTTGCTCCATTAGACTTACAGAAATCGGAAAATCCCCAAGATATCTATAAATAACCAAAACCCAGCCAAGAAAAAGTAGCAAACGGGCCAGGTACAGTGGCTCACACCTGTAATCCCAGCACTTTGGGAGGCCAAGGCAGGTGGATCACCTGAGGTCAGGTGTTCGAGACCAGCCTGGCCAACATGGTGAAACCCCACCTTTACTAAAAATACAAAAATTAGCCAGGCGTGGTGGCGGGTGCCTGTAATCCCAGCTACTTGGGAGGCTGAGGCAGGAGAATTGCTTGAACCCATAAGGCGGAGGTTGCAGTGAGTTGAGATCATGCCAGTGTACTCCAGCCTGGGCAACAGAGCAAAACTCTGTCTAGAAAAAAAAAAAGAAAAAGTAGCACATGAAACTTGTTCAATATAACCATGAAATAAACTAAATTCAGGAGTTAAGTGCTCCAACAAGGAAAGATTAGCTATTCCTATCTCTGTGTTTGGTGGCTTTAGTAAAATGGAGGTCAAGAGATCCAATTTCCTTTCCAGGCACTCTGATCAAGCACAGCTAGTTTCTATTCTGAGAGAGACCCATTCTTCGACGTTGACATTTACTGAAACTAAATATCGAGTGTCAACAAAAGCCTAAAGACAAAGAGCAGAAAAACGAGTGGACTGTTCTGAATGAAAGGCTGCCAGGAAGCCCTGCGAGGGCCAGGCCCTCTGCGGAGGAAGGGCCGGCCCAGGTGCAGGAAGGCGGAGGACGTACCTCATGTGGGGCTCCTTTGAAGACGCTTGCAGACTGGTAGATGGTCTCAGTCCAGAGCTTCAGGTCTTCGTTCTCCAGCTCCTCTGCAGTCCGGTACAGAGATTTGGGGACCAGTCCACCCTCTGGCACTTCGCACTGGAAGAAGAAACACAGCAGTGAAACCTGTGCAAACACAAACCAACCCCACGAAACCCAGACACACCGGCCAGCACTATCCCCCTGCACTCAACTTCTGGAGGTTGCTGAGAAAATGGAAAACACTGGCAGGGTCGTAAAACACTCTGCACTACTGAGCAATATGTTTTTAAAAACCACTTAAATACATGTGTTTTACTCTGCATAAACGGGAACAAGTTGAAGCTGATGTACCACAGAATTCCTACTAAAATGCGTGAGGCACTGCACCCAGTTACTAAAGCTGACTCATATAAGCATTAGGGGTATTTATATTGCCCTGTAAAGGAAAAGTATTACTTTAAGAAAAGAGTTTTGCTCTCAATAGCCACAGGCATTATTTTTATGATAGGGAATTATAGTGAAGATACAGAATCAATGAATAATGTTTTCTGTCTAAAGTCAAATGACTGGTCTATAACACCAGCCAAAAACTAATGAAGAACTTCTTTTGAATTTGCCTGAAACAAGTTGAATTAGAACTTGTACATAACATAAATCTCCTAATTGACCTTGACACAATGACTCCACACTAAAGTTCATAAAATCGAAGTCCTCGTTCTATTAGCCTTGGGAAGCAACTACATAGAAAATAAACATTTCAGTCTTCAGCCTGCAGTACAGCATAAGTGTCAAAGCAGTGATGTCGTGGTGGAAAAATACCAGACTGCCCGCTGGTTAGTAACCTCCGGCCACCAGAGAGCAGGAGGGAACAACCTCCTTTCAACAATCAGCCTCAACAGCAGCTCAGGAGAGAGGTGAAGAAGCCTTAGAAGGCCCAAGTTTTTGGACAGTTCAATTAACCACAAAGACGCTCAGCACCGCAAACACACTACGGAGGTCGGCATGTGACAAACAGGCACAACGCGGTGAGGCAGGTCTCCTTGGGCTCCAGCTCAATTCTTCGTGTCATAATTGGAAGCAGCAACAACACGGGATGGCTAGCTCATATCATGAAAGGAGTTCAGAGGTTTCTACGAACCTGAGCCTGCGGTTTAACCTCATAGGCGCTTGCTAAATTCTGGTCCTATAACCTTTACTGTAACTTACTTGCTCTTTGCATTGTACTGTGATGATGCCTGTAATTTCCTTAAAGTGGAACTGATGAAGTGAAAGCTAAATTCATTTGTTTTCTAAATTTCTCTAACCATTCAGAAAGTCCAAAGTCCCCTGAATGTCCAATTCATTAGCTAAATACCTGAGTCAAACCCAGTGGGTACACATTCCAAACGGGTAACTTTTCATATGAAGGATGACTAGAGAGCCCTTCTGAAAAGGAGCTTCACTCCCTGCTGAGTTCAGCCACCGCCGTGTGCCATGGAACAAGTCACTGGGACTTCTAGAGGCTCTGGCTTCCGTAATGCTCCCAAGACACAACTGTGCACCATGGGCTAGAAGCCTATAAGGACCCCAAGGTTCTGAGCTTCTCTGAGTACAGGATATAGAAGTGGAGGCCTCTGCTTCATTACCCAGCAACTCAGTATATTAAAAACCCCAAACGTATGTTGAGAACCACTTCCCTTCGTTTTTTTACTTTAAAAATGTTATCCAGGCCAGGCATGGTGGCTCATGCCTGTAATCCCGGCACTTTGGAAGGCCGAGGTGGGCGGATTACTTGAGGTCAGGAGTTTGAGACCAGCCTGGCTGACATGGTGAAACCCCATCTCTACTAAAAATAAAACAATTAGCTGTGGGTAGTGGCGCATGCCTGTAATCCCAGTTACTCCAGAGGCTGAGACTGAAGAATCGCTTGAATCTGGGAGGCGGAGGCTGCAGTGAGCTGAGATTGCACCACTGCACTCCAGCCTGTGCAACAGAGCAAGACTCCATCTCAAGAAGAAAAAAAAAAACCAAAAATGTCATCCAGTCTGGGGCAAAATAGTGAGACTCTGCCTCTACAAAAAATTCGCTGGGTATGGTGGTGCACGCCTACAGTCCCAGCTACTTGGGTGGCTGAGGTGGGAGGATCACCTGAGCCCACCAAGTCAGGCTGCTGAGCTGTGATCGCACCACTGCACTCCAGCCTGGGTGACAGAGCCGGACCCTGTCTCCATAAAAAAAAGGACGGGGAGGGGCGGGTGGGAAATTTTGAGAACTGATTCAATTTTTTAACAGTATTTTAGAAAATATGACAGCTCCTCTAAAATTGTTTAAAGATCTGATTCACACAAAGCCGTGTGAATCAAAGCAAGCTGCAATCGTATTTGATTCTACGAATTCTCATTCGTATTTAACAATGAAGAAATGTACAGTATCAACAATTACTTCAATGGTTCTCTTTAGCTTAACCCTGGATCAGAGAAATGGCGGCCAAAAGAAACAAAACAAAAACAAAACATCCAAACAACTGGAAGTTCTGAAAATCATTTGTGCAAATCGACACCGACCTCTCCCACCTGCATAAGGGGCCAAATGTGCAGTTCCTCGCCTCAGGACATACCATGCACTCCCCACTCAGGAAATCTGGAATAATCTCTTTGTCGATGTAATCCAGCAGGCCTCCAGGACCCTGGTAGTCATTTCCTGCATAAATGAGGAACTTCCTTCTGGTGTTGTCATCAATGAACGGACTAACCTGTGAGGAGGAGAAGACCATGCAGTCATATTTCTCTGCTGCCTGAGTGTCCAAGATTAAAATGACAATGTGGTATTCTGAGTGGGAGGGTGGGGGGAAGACATTCAAGTTTATATACTTCTTCTGTAAAGTCTATTTGCATGGCATTAGGACACTCACATTTTGTTTTTCCCCTTTCTTAAACAATTTGAGAAATTTTATATCTTTGCATGTTATTGTTTTTTTTCCTAAGAAGTTAAGACTTTAGGTCACAGACACGTGTATATGAATGCATGTTATCTGCTTTCCAAATGGCTCACAGTTACTGCAAAAAGCATCTCAACCCACCAGCGTCCAGAGCACAGGAAATACCCTGGGCGCCCGCAGGATGAGAAGGCGGCCCAGTGTCTCAGGGTAGTTGGCCTCCACCACCTCGATGATCCGCAGCAGCGCTTTCACACCAGGTCTCCACAAGTGGCGCATGTTCAGCCCTTCCAAGTCCACCAGGCAGGTCCATGAGCTGCAGGTTGTGCAGAGATGTGTTTCATTCAACAGACAGCACACTTAGCAAACTGTGTCTTATTTTCTTCCTTTTTGGTCATTTATAGCTATTTCCAAATACATCATAATCAATTTTTTTAAATTATAGTGCTATGTATAGTGCTATGAACCCTGTTTATATCTACTTGTACAAAACACACAGGATCAGTGTGGTAGGACCAAGGCCTGAAACTGCAATTAAGGCTGACTGATAATGCACGAAAAGCTCTCTCAGATATGCTCAGTGAGCCGGCAAGCAAAGCCACAGTGTGCTGTCCTCGACGTGCTAAACCACCCCCCAACCTGCCATCAACAGGGCACACAGCTGGTATTTTAACACATATTGCATCTGAACTGCAGTGGGCTATGCTTCAACAGAGAGAGAGGCAAGCACTGTCCCAGGAGCTGAGAATACAGCAGTCAGCAAAAGGCCCTCAAAAACCCTGTTCTCATGGAACTTACATCCCAGTGAACCATCTACACCCTTATCAATGTCAACCTCTGAATCACTAAACATTTTCAGAACTCTTTACTGTAACTTAGAGCTTGGTTTAAGAACACAGAGTCATCTGGGTGGGGAGGGGAGGCAAAAACAAGCAAACGATCTGCAGCCCTGGGCTCCTGCGGCCCGCACAGACTAAGCAGACAGGCCAACCCACTCTGGCTGACGTCACAGCAATGCCTGGGGTCAAAAAACACTAACTGTCTGTCCCTCGTCACTGGCATATTACATGTTCACTTCTTGTCTACCTTTTAGAGCACCTTGGAAAATAATAAGTAGATTTTAATTCCAAAAATCAACTAGAAATATTTAATTCGTTTTCTCAGTAAGTTGAAAGGAAAAACAAAATCCCACATCTACCTGATAGGCCGACCAAAGACTTTTGTATTCTCTTCGCATCGCCTTAGCCCTTCTTCATTTATGGAGAGAACCTACATACAAAAGGGCATGAAAATTTACCATGATTAGTTTAAGGCTAAAACTACCGCGTCCAGCTATGGAAGAGGGACACTAACAGCGTATTACAGATAAGCATGTAAATCAAAAAAGTCACCTATGGAGATTTTCTTACACATTCACATGCGCTAAACACATCACCACCAACAAATAAATTCTACTTTTGAAAGAGAATAAACACTGTCATGTGTGGCAAAGGTAACGGCTATCCAAAGTGAAGCACAGAGGTATCCCCAGATGAGCAGGGGCCTGGCTCTGGGGCTCTGTCTTCAGAACAAGTGCATGGGAACAGGAGATGAATGTCTGTGAGTGTGAGAACACTCTGATACCACATGTGCCCGCCAAGAGAAAAGGCAGCCTGAGAACAGATGTAAGGCATGGCTCAAGCGATCCTTTGCTTTAGGTTAATAAACCCCTCCCCTGTAGATAAAGTCCATCCCTATCTTTATGTGTGAACGTGTGCATGTGGGGATATATAAACACACATAGCGGTGGGGGCAGACTAACACAATACACAAGGGAATGCCAACAGTGAGCCAGGCTCAGTGGTGGTGCTTGTAGTCCCAGCTACTCAGGAGGCCGAGGTGGGAGGACTGCTTGAGGACAGCAGTTTGAAGCTGCAGTGAGTCGTGATGACACCCACGAATAGACACTGTACACTGTACCCCAGCCTCAGCAACAGAGTAAGACGATGTCTCTTTAAAAAAAAAAAAAAAAAAAAAAAAAAAGCTGGCTGGGCAGGGTGGCTCAAGCCTGTAATTCCAGCACTTCGGGAGGCCAAGGCGGGAGGATCACCTGAGATCAGGAGTTCGAGACCAGCCTGACCAACATGGTGAAACCCCGTCTCTAGTAAAAATATGAAAAAATTAGCTGGGCATGGTGGCGGGTGCCTGAAATCCCAGCTACTCAGGAGGTTGAGGCAGGAGAATCACTCGAACCTGGGAGGTGGAGGTTGCAGTGAGCCAAGATCACACCATTGCACTCCAGCCTGGGTAACAAGAGTGAAACTCCGTCTCAAAAAACATAATAAAAAATAAAGCCAAAAATGCGTATTTCAGGATAATGGGGCTATAAATACGTCTTTTAAGTTTCTGTTTGTTTTCAAATTGAAGGACCATCTTCTTCTCTGGGAGGGGGAAGCACAGCTGCCAATGGCGGCAGCAGTGGAGCGGGGCCTGGCTGGAGTCAGCGAGATGATGGGTCAGCAGGCATTCAGGAGGGTCTGGAGAAAGACGCCAAGAGCTCGCGTTAACGAAGGGCCAGTGGAAAGAATGCTATCAAGAGGTCTGCTGTGAGTGGCGTCCCAAGAGAGGGCAATTCCACATGGGAGTGAATGAAAAGACTCAAACTGCTGCTACACAGGCATCTCGGGGGAGACCCTGACTGCCTCACTGACGCTTCCACTGTGAGAAACACTTTTATAACTTCTGTGTCTCCTTTTGAAATTTTAAGACGATATTAATATATTTTCAGTCCTAACTACATAAGCAATTCATGTTTGTTCTAACAGGCTGGTTAACACCCCAATCCTACTGGCAGAGAAAAAAAGTGACGCCACAGTGGCACCTGGAGTCTCGCAGCCGCGCACTTACGTATCTCAGCAGGGCTTCCTCCCCGAGCGCTCTCACCAAGCCTTTGGTGTCCATCTGCCCCAGCCTGAGCACGTAGAGGGGCCGCCCATCTGCAGAGGAGGGGAAGGAATGAGTTGTCAGCACCATCCCAGTTGAAACTGAGGATACAACTCTAAGACCCTTAACAGGAATATGTGTTCGCCTGTGTTCTAGGGGCGCTTAAAAGTCTTTCTGATTCTTAGAAGTGGCAACTGATTTGTGTGATAGGGGGTGTGTGTCCAATATTTACCCCAAAAAGCTGTAAGCGAGAAAAATAAAAACCAACTGACAGGGTAGCTGTGCAGGGTCCTGGAAATAGAAGGCTGTGCCGGGATGAGGGGAATCCGGCTGGGACTCACTCAGCTCGAGCTGCATAAGTGCTGGGCTCAGTCTGAACAACTGCCCATAAGCTGGGCTCACTTTGAACAACTGGGGCTGCCCAAGAGCTCTGATTTTCAACGGCAAGGGAACATCAAACTATCCAGACACTTTTTCTATGACTACAGAGTACTTTTAAAATTTTCTTTCTTAGAAAATCATTTTTTTTCATGTCATAGATTACTAAAAACTGAATGAAAGCTTTTTAAAAGCCAGCTTCCCTCAATTCCCACTCTAAGGACCAAGACAAATGAGAACATTCTAAAAATCCTTAAAACCCCACCAAGCAGCCTGTGTTGGCTCTACTCTGTTTTTTTTTTTTTTTTATTTTTTTATTTTTTTTAGAGAGAGAGTCTCTCCCTGTCACCCAAGCTGGAGTGCAGTGGCACGATCTCAGCTCACTGCAACCTCTGCCTGCAGGTTCAAGCAATTCTCCTGCCTCAGCCTCCCAAGTAGCTGGAACTACAGGCGCACGCTGCCATGCCCGGCTAATTTTTTGTATTTTACTAGAGACAGGGTTTCACCGTGTTGCCCAGGCTGGTCTCAAAATCCTGAGCTCAGGCAATCCGCCTGCCTCCGCCTCCCAAACTTCTAGGATTATAGGCGTGAGCCACTGTGCTGGGCCTCCTTTTTTGTTTTTTATTTGAGACGAAGTCTTGCTCTGTCGCCAGGCTGGAGTGCACTGGCACGATCTCGGCTCACTGCAACCTCCGCCTCCCAGGTTCAAGCGATTCTCCTGCCTCAGCCTCCCGAATAGCTGGGACTACAGGTGTGTGCCACCACGCCCAGCTAATTTTTGTATTTTTAGTAGAGACGGGGTTTCACCATGCTGGCCAGGATGGTCTTGAACTCCTGATCTCAGGTGATCCACCCGCTTCAGCCTCCCAAAGTGCTGGGATTACAGGTGTGAGCCACCGCGCCCAGCCTCCTTTTTTTTTAAGTAGAGACAACAACTCACTGTGTTGCCCAGGCTAGTCTTGAAGTCCTGGGTCCAAGCCATCCTCCTGCCTTGGCCTCCCAAAATGCTGGGATTACGGGCATGAGCCACTGGGCCTGGCCTGACTCTACTTCTTTATAGCCTGGAGGTCTAATGGGTGCCGCCTGAGAGGAGCCTAACTCCTATCATACTGCCCTATCATCATGGGCCATCTACACAAAGGGGAAAAAGAGCTTGGTGGCCATAGTGTATCCCTAGAGTCAGCACTGCCTAGCCTCCTGCCGCACAGTCCCAGAAGGCGCAGCAGGAGGAATACAGACGATTGTGCTCCTGAAAAGGAACCAAGACTTGTCTTCGGTGGTTACCAGAAGACCAGCAGTGTCGTCCCAGCATGGGGCAGAGGGTTAGAGGGTAACATTTATCTTGTATTTGTCACCTAGTGAACTTCATCTCCCAGGAGAGTCTAGCTCTAGACCTGGTCTACTTAAAGCAAAACATTTTTATGTGCTCCAAAATCTTACGGAAAGGCCTATTTACAGAAAGTTTCTCCCAACGTTTAATAAGACACATTTGTTGAGGCCGGGCGCAATGGCTCACGCCTGTAATTCCTGCACTTTTGGAGGCCAAGGTGGGCAGATCACGAGGTCAGGAGTTCGAGACCAGCCTGGCCAATATGGTGAAACCCCATCTCTACTAAAAATACAAAAAGTAGCCGGGCGTGGTGGTGCACACCTGTAGTCCCAACTACTCGGGAGGCTGAGGCGGGAGAATTGCTTGAACCCGGAAGGTGGAGGGTGCAGTAGGCTGAGATCTTGCCACTGGACTCCAGCCTTGGGGACAGAGCGAGACTCTGTCTCAAAAAAAAAAAAAAAAGACACATTTGTCAATGTCTTACTACCAAACTTTTTAACAATACAAAAGATGAAGTCATAATCACAGACAAAGCTGAGCTGCTCGGTTCTGCAAGGACTTGTTCAGAGGGTAAAAGAACCAGTTCTACGGTGCTTCCCTCTCGCCGACGTTTCCAATTCCATCCTGCCCGGCTCTCAAACTTTGGCTCAGGAAAGAGTGTATTTTTGACAGTGCAGGTCTTCCTGCAAGGCAGGGTATGGAAGGCATTTGGGGGAACTGTGTTTTAAGGTTCTCATTTAAACCACTCTTCATTTCAGGTGCATCGCCCCCCTTCATCCAGGCCTTACTTACTCCCAAAGCAGAACTGAAGTGCTCAGGGCTGTGATGTAGAAAACCGGGCTGAACCGTTTTAAGCTATCATAGGGTTTAAGTCATTGAAAAGTCCCTTTATTAACACTGCACTACTGAAAATACTCTGCCAGAGGCACTGCTGTCTTTTTAATAGGTCAAAACAAACTGTACTGCACCGAGCAAGTGAAGTCATTTGCCCAAGGATGACGTGTGTCCATGAGGAAAGAGCAGTCCCAGGCCCTTCCTGGCTGCCCGGGGCGGGACGGGAGTGTGCCCGTGGTGACACGTATCAGTCTGTTCAACTTGGGAAAGGTGCCAAATTCTCAGAGTGAGGAGAAACGATGCACTCAAGGGGGCCCCACTCAACTCCAGGGAAGGAGGCCTTGGAAGATATCTTCAACCACACATCAAGACAACGATGGAAACACAGTTTCAACTCCATCCGGTACCTTTGTCGTGATGATGCCAGCCTCCCGCGTAGTAATCCTGAAGGACCTGAGGAGGGGTCCAGGTTTCAAGAATGTAGTCTACCTGATGCTGCTTTCTCCACGTCAAAGACTGACACATGATCTCTCTGGCTTTGTCAATATTAAAATCCCGTGCACGGAGGAACCGAAGAATATGCTCATCTTTTGGAATCTATTAAGAGAAAAAGACATTTCTAAGCAATGTTAAAAGTTGTGAAGGGAACTTTGGGAGGCTGCGGTGGACGGATCGCTTGAGCTCAGGAGTTCAAGACCAGCCTGGCCAATATGGTGAAATGCCATCTCTACTAAAAATACAAAAATCAGCCAGGCATGGTGGTGCATGCCTGTAATCCCAGCTACTCGGAGGCTGAAGCAGGCGGATCACTTGAACCTGGGAGGTGGAGGCTGCAGCGAGCCGAGATCACATTACTGCCCTAAAAAAAAAGTTGCTAAGGGAATAAGACCCTAAAATTCCCACTTTTCTTTTGGAGACAGGGACTCTTATTCTGCCACCCAGGCTGGAGTGTTGTGGCATGATCTCAGCTCACTGCAGCCCCCAACTACTGGGCTTAGGCAATCCTCCCACCTCAGCCTCCTGAGCAGCTGGAACCACAGGCACACGCCACCACGCCCAGCTCATTTTTGTATTTGTAGAGATGTGGTTTCCCCATGTTGCCCAGGCTGGTCTCAAACGCCTGAGCTCAAGCAATCCTCCTGCCTTGGCCTCCCAAAGTGTTGGGATTATAGGCATGAGCCACCATGTCTGGCCTGAAACTCCCACTTCTAATCAACAGTGAGCTGCACTATTATACTATTAAAAATGAGGTGGTACCAGAAACATCTCCCTTACTACTCTAGAGAAAATCAGCATTATCAGTTTGAATAATCTTTATAGTATTTCATTTTCGTTTCCGCAAAGTAGAGCAAAGGCATAAATAATTCCCTAAACATCAAATGCTTCAACTCTATGAACGGATCTATGAATGACTATGATCCTTGCACTTTTCTGTATACATACTGCATTTAAATAAAAAGTTAGAATAAAGAGAGAGCAGGACACCTGGCTTCTGAATGGAAACCTTCGTAGTGCCAGAGACAAAAGAGAATTAAACATGGATGATGTTGAGAAAGGCAAGATTTTTGTTCCAAAGGGTGCCGCCCAGTGCCACACCATGGAAAAGGGAAGCAAGCACAAGACTGGGCCACATCTCCACCGTCTCTCCGGGCAGACGACAGGTCAGGCTGCTGGATTCTCTTATACACAGATGCCAATAAGAACAAAAGCATCACCTGGAGTGAGGACACACTGATGGGGTATTTGGAGAATCCCTGGAACAAAAATGGTCTTCACTGGCGGGGTGTGGTGGCTCAGGCCTGTAATCCCAGCACTTTGGGAGGCCAAGGCAGGTGGATTGCTTGAGGTCAGGAGTTCAAGACCAGACTGAGCAGCATGGAGAAACCCTGTCTCTACCAAAAATACAAAATTAGTCGGGCGTGGTGGTGCACGCCTGTAGTCCCAGCTACTTGGGAGGCTGATGCAGGAGAATCACTTGAACCTGGAGGCAGAGGGTGCAGTGAGCCAAGATCGCGCCACTGCACTTCAGCCTGGGCAACAAGAGCGAAACTCCATCTCAAAAAAAAAAAAAAAAAGAAAGAAGACGGCAAGGGCAGACTTGAAAGTTTATCTCAAAAAACCTTCTAATGAGTAATAATTGGTCACTGTCTTATTACAAAACAGAAATGTCATGACTTTTTAATGCATATCATAATTTAACAGATCTCATGGCCGGGCGCGGTGGCTCACGCCTGTAATCCCAGCACTCTGGGAGGCCGAGGCGGGTGGATCATGAGGTCAGGAGATCGAGACCATCCTGGCTAACACAGTGAAACCCCATCTCTACTAAAAATACAAAAATTATCTGGGCGTGGTGGCGGGTGCCTGAGTCCCAGCTACTGGGGAGGCTGAAGCAGAAGAATGGCGTGAACCCAGGAGGCGGATCTTGCAGTGAGCCGAGATCGCGCCACTGCACTCCAGCCTGGGCGACAGGGCGAGACTCCGTCTCAAAAAAAAAAAAAAAAGAGATCTCATACACCAGAATTCAGATCATGAACCATCATCAGAATAGTTTGGTTGGGCAATCCTGATTTAACTAAGGCTGGCTTGTGGTTAAAGGACTATGTTCGGTTTTCTGAATTTTAATAATTCTGATTCAGTAACGCTACACTGCTTTCCCCTTCTAAAGATGTGACTGGACTTCGCTAGTAATGTTCAACTTTCACAAAGATCGTAAATGCCATCTTAAAGCCTATTGGAGATTGGTTTTATATTTGGGTTTACATAACTGGCCATATGACTCTATTTAAATACTGAGGAAATCCCTTCACTGTCTCAGAACCAAGCAAGACTCACCTGTATTTTGTATTTATTTGCCTCTTAAAGGCAAAGGCTGAAGATAAGGCAGCAATATCTACTTTATATTTTTGGCCTTAACTATGCCAATCTAATTAGAATTTCCTGTATCTAAAATGGTTCCCTTTATTTATTAAAAGGCATTTTAGTGTAGTTTATGTGTAATATCAAATAAGGAATATTTAACACTTCTCACATTTTATAGACAATCTATAAGGTCAGATGCTTTTAAAAGTCAGTATGACAAGAAATAGTAGCAAGTTAAACTTTACTTTTGAATTCTTTACTACTTAAGTCAGACTAAGTTATAATTTAGCATTGTCTTTAAAAAGTCATTCGAGGTTGGGCCCAGTGGCTCACGCCTGTAATCCCAGCCCTTTGGGAGGCTAAGGCAGGCGGATCACTTGAGGTCAGGAGTTTGAGACCAGCCTGGCCAACATGGTGGAACCCTGTTCTCTACTAAAAATACAAAAATTAGCCAGCAATGGTGGCAGAGCTAACCCCAGCTCTCAGGAGGCTGAGGCAGGAGAATAGCCTGAACCTGGGAGACAGAGATTGTAGTGACCCAAGACTGCACCAGCCTGGGTGACGGAGCAAGACTCTGTATACATATATAAAAAAAAAAAAATTCAAAAACATAAAACTGTAGAACTACCATGTGTCTACGTGACTGGCAATGGTGCTTTTGCCAACTCATTAGAAAGATTAAAGTAGAGAAGATATACACAAAGTTAAAAATTATGAGTGATCATAAGACTTAAGATAATTAAAAACAAAAACTACAGATTAAAGAAAAAGAATACAAAAAAAGCATGTTGGGTTTTCATGATGTGGCAGTATTGCTGACTAACACGCAGGAATCTTCTCCAGGTTCCATTACTGTCAATCAACAGGTTGGCCTCCCTGAATAAAGAACAAGGCCAAGGCCGTGTTCCGAGTGTCACGTGGACCAAGTGTCTTCCTCCGTGGCCATGTGTTTACCAACTCAAGAGGCTGGTCCGTCAGAACAAGAAGGGGGTGGGAACATGAGCTATTCATGACCCCAACTCCTGCGAAATAACTCAAAAGCATGTGGCCTACTGACGTGGCATCATCTTCACTCAGAAAGGACCACAGTTACGTGGAAGTGGTTAAGAATGTAGGTTCTGGAACAAAATGGCCTGGGTTCAAATCCTGACCCCACCACTCGCTGGCTGTGAGACCTCAGGCAGGTTACTTCACTGCTCTGTGCCTCAGTTTCCTCACGTGTAAAACCAGTGAGAAAAACAGCAGCAGAGAGAGCTGCCGGAAGGATGGAATAAAGACCTGAAAACAGTGTCTAATACATGGTAAGAAGACAACAAACGGTGGCCATCATCACTGCAGTGGTTTTCTTGATGACTGGTATTCAACAGCACTCAGTTATTTGGTTTCTAGTAAGCAGGCTGACAGAATTAGAGATCAGGCCAAATACATGCAATGCCTAGTTTCCCTTTACTAAATAATGCCAATAACTCGCTAGACACATACCAGGCTCTGCTCACTACATAAGGCTTACCATAAAAATTTACACCTTTATGAGGCTAAAATTTCACCAAAAACCTGAAAATTAAAGCTCAAACATTTCTAATCTCTGATAAATCTCTGAACTCTTTTTACACCTTCTGAAAATTTGAATGTGTGAATACTTGGAACACATGTTGCTTTGTGACGTGACACTGTTTGTAGCCAGACCTTGCTCTGTAAAGTCTAGAAAAATGCAGTTAGTCATGCATTATCACTTGCTATAAACGACTTAGATTCCACAGAGACATAAATTCAATGACTTCTAAACTGGAAGAAACATTCCCAGCCGTGGAAGTTGGGAATATCACTCTTGGTGACTATGACAGAAAGAGATTCCATGATTTCACGTAGCTCTGGCCCTGCACACTGGGTGTGGTGCTGACACTCACTTTGCCCTTGTGGGTCTCCTGGAGCCACTGGCGAAGTCTAATGAGGCAGCTCTCCTGCAGCGGAGTCAAATCGCCCAGGTATCTCTTGATGTAGTCGGCATCTAGTTTGTCTGGAATGTAAGTGACATTTATTTACAACAAAGAACACTGGAGCTTTAGGCTCCCAAAGTCTTTGTGCTCAGTGGAGTTAACGTGTGGTCCTAGAGTCCTAGAGGCACATGAAACCGCAGAGATGGCAGATGTAAACCAGATTCCTTAGAGGACTTGAGGGATAGGCTCTGAGATCAAATCACTGACTAAACCACAGGTACACTTTCTGACTCAATTATCTTTCCCTGATTACCACTGAGTTACCTCTATTGCCAAATCACAATACTATTCATGACTATAATAGATATTAATGACTGTTTTAATTCCAAGAGGAACATAACACAAAAAGGACTTGCAAGATATAAAATTTATGGAAAAAAAAAAGCCAAGCAAATCTAAATCTATTTTGAATGGAGCTACTGTGTTGGAGAATGTAAGAAATCTGGTGGCTCACGCCTGTAATCCCAGCTACTCAGGAGGCTGAGGTGGCCAGATCACCTGAGATCAGGAGTTCAAGACAAGCCTGGCCAACATGGTGAAACCCCGTCTCTACTAGGAATATAAAAATTAGTCAGGCGTGGCGGTGCAGGCTTATAATCCCAGCTACTCAAGAGGCTTAGGCAGGAGAATCACTTGAACCCAGGAGACGAAGGCTGCACTGAGCCGAGATTGTGCCACTACACTGCAGCCTGGGCGACAGAGACTTTTTTATCTCAAAAATAAAAAAATAAAAAAATTAGTCAGGCGTGGTGGCACATGCCTGTGGTCCCAGCTACTCGGGAGGCTGAGGCAGGAAAATCACTTGAACCCGGGAGACGGAGGTTGCAGTGAGCCAAGATGGCACCACTGCACTCCAGCCTGGGCAACAGAGCAATACTCTATCTCAAAACAAACAAACAAACAAACAAAAAAAAACACCTTCCTTAGGCCAGGTGTGGTGGCTCACACCTATAATCCCAGCACTTTGGGAGGCCGAGGCAGAAGGATTGCTTGAGCCCAGGAGTTCAAGACCATCCTGGGCAACACAGTGAGACCCCATTTCTTAAACAAACAAACAAACACCTTCTGGTATCCATAAAAGAATAAAAATAACTTGATATAATCCTTCCTATTAACAAAAAATCTAATAAAAGGTAAAATGAATGTATTACATAAGCGAGAGGACAAGGGCCAGAAACGAGAGACGGGTCTTTCCTTTCTGAGTTATCTAATGTTCCAAGGAAGCGGGAACAGGCAGAGCAAACAGAGAGAAAACGGCAACGCCGACTTCCCTAGCCTTGCTCTCGGGATGAAGCCCCTGCCAGACCCACCGTCAGGGGTGCCCACCACGGGCTCAGGTGCGCTGGGGCTGCTGAGGGCATCACCACTCAGCCCCTCCTTGAGGGCAGCTTCTGGGATGACGACGGCCATGGACGCTGCTTGTTTCTTGGAGGATGATGAAGATGTCTCTGAAGAGGTCGTGATGGAAGGCGGACTCCAACGGGGCACAAAGGTTATGCCTTCTTCTTCTAATTGGCGAAGGTAGTATTCGATGATTTCCTTTCCCTTTAAAACAAAACCAATTTAAAGGTGAGTATATATTCAACATTCAAATTACTCATCTCTCCCAAGATTTTTCTTTTTTTCTAGCCAACGGAAGATGGTGAGCCTCACAATCTTTTTTTTTTTTTGAGACAGGGTCTCGCTTTGTGGCCCAGGCTAAAGCACAGTGGCATGATCACAGCTCACTGTACCCTTGACCTCCTGGACTCAAGCCATCCTACCTCAGCCTCCCCAGTAGCTGGGACTACAGGTATATGCCACCTCATCCGGCTAATTTTTGTATTCTTTGTAAATACGGGGTTTCGCAATGTTGTCCAGGCTGGTCTCGAACTCTTGGGCTCGAGCAATCTGTCCACCTCAGCCTCCCAAAGTGCTGGGATTACAGGCATGAGCCAGTGCGCCCAGTCCCTCACAAGCTTTTAAAACACCAATAAAACTGAATTGCTACAAAATTAATAGAAAAAAAGAAAAGGCCAAATGCTTCTGTGTTTTTGTTTATTTTACTTGTTATTTTCCAAGGTTTAGGAAATGGTATCTAATGAGATGGAATTTTTATATGACTATTTTAAAATGCTGATTTAGGGTACTTGTACTCAATATATGATTTCTGTCTCAATTTCAATTCTTTCCAACACAGTACCCTGAAAATGAGCCTTCAAAAACCACTCCATAATCCCACACGGATAGATTTCAAAACCACAATTCCCTAACAACTGATGAACAACAGCACAAAAACGAGAAAGGAAGGTCTTCTGTGGAAGAACTGACAATCCAAGGGGGGCAGCCTGCTCGGCAAGCACCTCCCCAGGCCCCCAGGCCTCCTCCCAATCCTGCAGCAAGGCCTGGGGGCTGTGTGCCAGCTGCTGCTGCCTCTCCCCAACTTCTAACTCTCTCAGCAACTCCAGGCAGACAGTGCCATTGCTAGAGCTACAGGCACCTCCTTCCTCCATCAGCAACCAGCACAACCTCAACCCCTATACCTAAAGATGAGGCAGGGGGTAGGGATCATAGCATCTTCCACCCAAGAAATGCTGCAAATCCCTTGCTAAGCCATCCCCAGCCTTCCAAAAAGATGGTCATCTCAGAGACTCCTGCCCACCCTCTGCCACAAAATCCCAAGATACACTCACTTTTTTAATGTTGCTGGTATATTGTTTCATTGCAATTTTTTCCACTGTACTTTCAAAACCAAAGAAAGATTTAATATCTAAACTTGCAGACTGTTCAAAACAGGTCCAATCTTCATTTTCAGGGTGAACCTGCAGATAAAGAGAAAGCACTCTCACTGACTGAATTGACAACAGAATATCATCTGCCTGCTCCTCAGTTTAACCAGTAACCAGAAAAAAACACTTACGTTACTAACAATGCTACTACCATAAAGACAGCAGATGGAAAAAATGCCAAAATCATGTTCAAAATCAGGATCAAAAGCACATTCTAAATCATGAAGAGATCCAAATAATTGTTCAAAAACATTTCAAAGATGACTATAAAAGGAGAGCTTCATTTTCATTCTTGCTTCATTCATTCATTCAACATACTCACTGAACAGTCTTCTCCATCATGAACAAAGAGGTATTGGCCTTGGAAGCTTTCAACAGAGTCTAACAGAGGAGACAATCAGCCAGAAACACAGTATGCAAGGAAATTAAAGATAAGTAAGTGCTATGGAAAAAAGAAAACTTGGAGCACAGGCTAAAAGAACCAGGGATGGGGGTCAGGCATGATGGTTCACACCTGCAATCCCGACACTTTGGGAGGCCAAGGTGGGAGGATCACTTGAGTCCAGGAGTTTGAGACCAGCCTGGGCAACAGAGCAAGACCTCATCCCTACAAAAAAATTTAAAAACTAGCCAGGCACGGTGGCATGTGCCTATAGTCCCAGCTACTTGGGAGGCTGGGGCAGGAGGATCACTTGAGCCTGGGAGGTGGAGGCTGCAGTGAACTGATTGTTCCACTGCACTCCAGCCTGAGCGACAGGGCAAGATCCCATCCCTGAAGAAAAAAAAAAAAGCCTGGGGGTTGGGGAGTCAGGCTGCAGAATTAAATGGGTGGCTGGGGCTGGCCAAGAAGGGGTGACCTGAGCCGAGATGGGAGGAGGTGAGACTAGAGACGTAGGGAAGAATAGCACGGCACAGCGAGCACCTTGGAGCCAAAGCCCCTGGGGGAGGCCCACTGCATGACAGCAAGGACAGGAAAGGCGTAACCAGGAGAGAACTCAGGCCCTTGCAAGTCACCATAAAGACTATGGGCTCTTCCTCTGGGCGAACTGTGGAAACACTCCAGGGTTTTGAGCCCATAGAAGTGACTTAATCTGACATACTTTAAATAGATCACTTTGAATTCAGTGTTAAGGATACACTGCAGGGGAGAAGGGCAGAAATACAGCAATCTGTCAGGAGAGTATTCTAAAAATCTGATAAAAGAAGTTCTTGAAACAGGGTGGTAAGCAGTGAAGATACTGAGACAGACAAACACTCTCGGCACTATTCTTAAAGGCACACATCTTAGTCCTTCATTAGATATTTCTAACATATTACAGTAAGACCAGAAAAGAAGTGGCATATGAATGTAATATTTAAGGCCAGGCGTGGTGGCTCACGCCTGTAATCCCAGCATTTTGGGAGGACGAGGCAGACGGATCATGAGGTCAGGAGTTGGAGACCAGCCTGGCCAACATGGTGAAACCCTGTCTCTACTAAAAATACAAAAATTAGCCGGGCGTGGTGGCGAGTGCCTGTAATCCCAGCTACTTGGGAGGCTGGGGAATGAGAATAACTTGAACCTGGGAGGCAGAGGTTGCAGTGAGCTGAGACTGTGCCACTGCATTTCAGCCTTGGTGACAAGAGTGAGACTCCATCTCAAAAAAAAAAAAAATTAGGCCAAGGGGTGGATCACGTGAGGTCAGGAGTTCCAGACCAGCCAGGCCAACACGGTGAAACCCCATCTTTACTAAAAATACAAAAATCAGCCTGGCGTGGTGGCGCTTGCCTGTAATCCGAACTACTAGGGAGGCTGAGGCAGGAGAATCACTTGAACTCGGGAAGCAGAGGTTGCAGTGAGCCGAGATTGCACCACTGCACTCCGGCCTGGGCGACAGAGGGAGACTGTGTCTCAAAAAAGAAAAAAAAAACAAAACCAAATCAAGGCATCACTTGGCTGCCTTAACTGCCACGACAACATAATACACTCTGCAGGAGACCACACCTGCTACCCTTCCTCCTACACATGAGAAATGAGTGACAACATCTAATGAAGAACTGCCCTCTAAGACAAAAAGATGCACTGTTTAAAATGGTGATCAAACAATCCTCAGAAGCCATATGTCGGCAGAACATCTTCCGCCGAGTGACAGATTACTCACGGTGTAGCAGCAATGCTCATTAATGATGACCCGATTGGAAAACGTTTCATTATAAGCCTCAATGTGCAAAGTACGTTCCCGAGAATTCAGTGAGTTTTTCTGGACAAAATAAACATAATCAACTCCTGCAATCTTCAAAAAAAAAAGAAAGAGAAATGGGTTTATTAATAACAACCAATAGCACAGAAGCTATAGTATAAGTTCATGTTGTCTCTGGGGGCTGCCCTCCAGGACGCCCTCTCCCTCCAGGACGCCCTCTCCCTCCAGGATGCCCTCTCCCTCCAGGACGCCCTCTCCCACCAGGACGCCCTCTCCCACCAGGACGCCCTTTCCCTCCAAGACGTCCTTTCCGACCTTTACCTTCTTCAGCAGTCTGGGTGCATCTACATCCAGCTTGCAGCGCCTTTCAATGACATGAATAGCCCCATCTTCGCTCTTGAATTCATTCACAGTGTCACTGCCCACGAACATCGGAATCAAAGGACATGTAGGGAACCTCCTTTCATAGGCCTATAAATTTAAAAACCAAGAAAGCAGAAGTGAGCAAAGACACAACCTGATGTCCTGCCGCTGACTGTGTTCTCCCTGGAACAGCACCTCTCGGTGCACGGCAACAGGCAGCGCCACAACTGTCTTCACATCTGAAGCTTTCATTAAAGAAGAAAAAGACACTCCATGTCCATGGATCGGAAGATTCAACCTAGTAAAGATCTCAATTCTCCCCATAAGTAACATCATTCCTAACAAAACCCCAGCAAGACTTTGTGGTAATTATAGACAAGATTGTTTTAAAATTTATATGGAAAGACAAAGGAACTAGAACAACTAAAACGATTTTGAAAAAGATGAATAAACTGGGAAGAATCAGTCACCCCGGTATTAAGGCTTACTCTATAACTACAGTAATCAAGACCATCTAGTATTAGGAGAGGGGTAACTGACATACAGATCTATGGGACAAAATACAGAACCCAGAAATAGACTCAAACAAATACACCCAACTGATTTATTTTTTAGTATCTGCACCTGTCAGGGAACACCGACTGATTTTCAACAGAGATGTAAAAGCAATGAGGGAAAGAAAGCACGCCAGTCTTTTCAACATGTTACTGGAGCAATTACACATCCATAGGCTGAAACAATAATAACAATGAATCTTGATCTAAACCTCACACCTTGTATAAAAATTAACTCAAAGATCAGCGACTTAAATGTAAAACACAAAACTAAAACTTTTAGGGAAAAAAAATAGAAAATCTTTGGGATCCTGGGCTAGGCAAAGAATTCTTAGATGTGACAACAAAATCACAATCCACAGGAGAAAAAATATATAAAATGAACTTCCTCAAAGTTAAAAACATTTGCTCAGCGAAAGACCCTGTTAAGGCCGGGCGCGGTGGCTCACGCTTGTAATCTCAGCACTTTGGGAGTCTGAGGTGGGCAGATCATGAGGTCAGGAGATTGAGACCATCCAGGCTAACACGGTGAAACCCCGTCTCTACTAAAGATACAAAAAATTAGCCGGGCGTGGTGGCGGGCGCCTGTAGTTCCAGCTACTCAGGAGGCTGAGGCAGGAGAATGGCGTGAACCCAGAAAGCGGAGCTTGCAGTGAGCCGAGATCGCGCCACTGCACTCCAGCCTGGGCGACAGAGTGAGATTCCATCTCAAAACAAAACAAAACAAAACCCCTGTTAAGAGAATGAAAAAACAAACTACAAAATGGGAGGAGGGATTTACAAACCATGTATCTGACAAAGGACTAGTGCCTAGAATACATAAAAAATTCTTAAAACTCAACATAAATACAGTGAGCCAGGAGAACACTGGTTTGGACTGAGCTCCTGCACCAGGCCCAGCAGACCAAACCAAAATGGAGTCCCTCTTGGTAACCTCCATACCACCAAGCCAAAAGTAAGTTGTTTATCTGACTTTGCAAGAAGTCAGGAGAAAGAGAACAGCAAATCCCCCAAATGGGCCAGTTTGGGCCAGCGTGGTAAGGAAGTCCCCTCTGCGTTAACCTTTACAAGGGAAGTCACTCTGAAACCACCCATCTGCTCTCTGTTCTCTGTGTCTGTTTCCCTCACCCCTTTTCTGTCTACAAAGCCAGCTTCCCCTGCTCAGCTCATGAGAACACTCATTCTATTTCACAGAATTCTGTTTTATAGAATGAGGTGTTGCCTGATTCTGGAATCAAAAAAGCCAATTAAGATCCATACACTAAATTTTTTTGTAATTTTGTCTTTTGACACACAATTGAAATTTAAAAATGGTTAAGATGGTAAATTTCATGTGCTTTTACCATGATTAAAAAAAAAAAACAACTCAAGAGTTTTAAAAAGTCCAATTAGAAAATGTGCAAGAGACAGGAAGTGATATCTCACCTGAGAGGACACACAGATGGCAAATAAGCACACGAGAGATGTTCATTAGAGAAAAGGGCCATTAGGGAAATGCAAATTAAAATCACAAAGGAGTATCACTATACAACTATCAGAATGGCTAAAATAAAACACAGTGCTGGTTGGGATGTGGAAGAACTGAATCCCTTCCACATCATTGGCAGGAATGTAAAATGGTGCAACCACTCCAGAAAACAGGTATCTTCTTAAAACCTAAACATGCAACGGTATACAACCCAACAAATGCACTCCTGGGCATTTATCCCAGAGCAATGAGAGCTTATGTTCGCACAAAACCCCATATACAAACATTCATAGCAGCGTTACTCATAATAGAAACTGGAAACAACTCCGAGATGTCCTTCCTGAGTGAGGCTAAATGGACTGCGCTGCAGCCACACCACGGAACACTACTCAGCAAAAAAAAAGAATGAACTATTGATCCAGGTGAGGAACTGGATGAATCGTGGGAGAATTATGCTAAGCTAAAAAAAAAAAAAAGCCTCAGCAGTTACATACGGTATGATTCCCTGTCCATAACACTCTTGAAAAGACAAAACTAGAGAAACCGAAAACAGAAGAGTGGTTGCCGGGGCTAAGGAAGGGGTGGGGACAGGAGCGAAGCAGGTGTGGCTGTAAAAGGGCCATGAGAGAGATGCCTGGGAAGCACTCTGCGTCTCGACTATGCGCACGGCAGCATCCTGACTGTGCTGGTGCACACAGTTCTGCAAGACGTTATCACTGGGGGAAGATGAGTAAAGAACACATGAGATCTTTCAAGATTATTCCTTGTGAATAATTAAATTATTCAATATTATTCTTTGTAAATAATTTAATTTACTCTGTAGCAATCCACAAAGATTACCAAACTAAAGATGTTGCAGAATTCATATTAAAACCTAAGCGATCCAGAGGCCCAGGCGTGCAGATCACTTGAGCCCAGGAGTTTGAGACCAGCCTAGGCAACATAGCATAACCCCATCTCTACAAAAAATATAAAAATTAGCCAGGTGTGGTGGTACATGCCTGTAGTTCTAGCTACTCAGGAGGCTGACATGGGAGGACCACCTGAGCCCAGGAGGTGCAGGCTGCAGTGACCTGTGATTGCACCACTGCACTCCAGCCTGGGTAACAGAGTAAGAGTAAGACCCTGTCTCCAAAAAAAAAAAAAAAAAATTCCAGTAGCCCATGGTGCATGTGAACTGGAAGTCATAGGATATAGGGTAATAAGAATAAGGCCGGGTGCAGTGGCTCACGTCTGTAATCCCAGCACTTAGGGAGGCCAAGGCAGGCAGATCATTTGATGCCAGGAGTTTGAGACCATCCTGACCAACATGTCGAAACCCCATTTCTACCAAAAATACAAAAATTAGCTGGGCACGGTGGCATACACCTGTAATCCCAGCTACTTGGGAGGCTGAGGTGGGAAAATCACTAGAACCTGGGAGGCAGAGGCCGCAGTGTGCCAAAATGGTGCCACCACACTCCAAACTGGGCGGCAGAGAGAGACTCCGTCTCAGAAAAAAGGGGTGTGGGGGGGGGGCATAGGGTAGTAAGAATCTAGGCTGTAAGAAGGAACCTGAAAAAGGAAACCCAGTGCCTGCCCCTGTGGTCGGCCCCATTATAAAGGAAGGTACTGCAGGATGACTCTTGCTTGACTGATAGATGTCACCCCTCTGTAAGGTTGTATGGGTTGAGCATCCCTTCTCCAAAATGCCTGGGACCAGAAGTGCTTCTGATTTCAGAATTTTTTCGGATCTTGGGAATAGCTCTATTATACTTACTGGTTGAGCATCTCAAATCCACAGATCTGAAATCCAAAATGCTCCAATGAGCATTTCCTTTGAGCATCATATCAGTGCTCAAAAAGTTTTTGATCTGGAGCATTTCAGACTTTGAACTTCCAAATTTGAGATGCTCAACCTGTACTAAAAATGAGGCGAGGTTAGAACTGTGAATTCCCATCTTAAATTAATCACAACCAAAAACAGAGTTAAGGAAGAAACCTTTGGTGTTAAAAATATTAATGAAAATGGCACAAATGGCTTTGATTTTACTTCTGACAAGGTACAAGTAGCTTCAGACCATTATTATACTAAAAACACTCCCTTTCTGGCAGCAATTCCCTGATGTTTACCTTCAACAGGACTGCCCTTCTGAACAGAAGTAATACACAGATCACAAATACTGCCATCAAGATCCCAGAAGGACTAGAGAATCACAGGAATTCCTCCGCCTGGGTTTTTACTACAATTCCTTCAAAGTCACCCTCAGTTTTCTTGCCTGTATCTCACTTTCTCTCCACAACGTTACAAGGTTAAATCGATGTGAAAAGCACATGCTACACTCCAGCTGCCTACGCACAAGGGACCATGGTAGTCAGTACAGGAGGGAGGGAAGGGAGTCAATGACATCCATGAGGGTCAGAAGGATAAGCAGGTGCCAGGAGGCAGAAGGGGGAGAACACGCTCTGCGTGGAGAGGCAGCGTGGGGAAAGCCTTTGAGAGAGAGGAGGCATGCAGGCTGGGCCTCAAAGCGTGCCAGGGTCTGTTCACAGCCAGCGAGGCGGAGAGCGTTTCCAGGAAAGAACTCAGGAGTGCGACTGCAAGGCAACCTCAGGTGGCGGCAGGACCCACAGCCCCCAGGGGAGGGAAGTGGTGAGAGGTGAGGCCAGGGGTCACTGTGGTGCATGACGATGTGGCATAGACCATGCCTTGCCGGGTGCAGACAGAAGGCCCTGGCCTTCCTCTCCAGGAGCTGGGATGGAGGGAGCACGAACAGGTGGCCAGAGTCACATTTTCAGAAAATTAATAAGAGACTCATGCGCAGGATGGTCTGGAAAGGATGCAAAACCCACATGTGGTAGCCAATTATATTTGCTTCTTAAATGTTCTTACTTTGGAAGTTAAAAATATATTCTTTATATTTATCTGCTCCCCTCTTCTACTCAAACATGTTCTGAATCCCATTACTGCCAGAATCTTGAAAAATCACTCAGTATCTGTCTCTTCATACACTTTATGTAAACAACACTTAAGCAGTTTAATCACCTGCTCAGATCCCACCACAGATAAGTCCCATTCAAAGCCCTAAGAATTTATTAAGTACCGAACACGAACAATTCCTAGGAAAACAGGTTGGCTACCATTTGTTCTATACGGACACTGAAAACCATCTAAACTGACTTCCACTGCACTCTAATTAAAAAAACAAAAACAAAAAAAACTGGCTTTGTACATTCCAGTACTGTGACGTACCAAGAAATTGAGACTTACAAAGGTTTCAAACAAAATGAATCTTTTTAAGTGACATATAGGGCAGAGTAAGCACTTACTAAGAGGTAGCCTTAGCTAGAACTAGGCCATTTTCAAAATACACACACCATCCTTCCAATTCCTGAAACAAGAGTGGTCAGCATAAGGTGTCACCCACGCAGCCTCACCTTGAATTTCAACCACACTAAAAACGTTCCCTTCCCTGTAAAATTCTCCATCCACGTAGACTCATATTTGCACAGACGTTCACTTTACCTTGGCATGCCCAACCAGATGGCATTTAAGGTATCCAGGCTAAGGAGCAGCTAACTCAGAAGCTGCACTGACCTCTCCAGAGCTCTGTCAGCGTCAGGGGCAGTTAGCAAGCGCCTCCCTTACTCCCTCCACATTCTCTTCCAAGCCTGTCACTCTGCCACCAAATGCACTGCTAGGCTGCAGGGCAGAGACTTTTTATCCTCAGGAGAACGAGGACTTCAATGCCTAAAACAAAGTCCTTGTCCAAAAAACATGTTTTGAAGCATACAATACAATCTTACTCAATAAAAAGATAAGTCCTGCCTTTTGTTTCTGCACTCTCTTACCCTGACCCGTCTTTCAGAGATATGTTAAGGTCAGTAGATTCTGCATACTGTCAGCATACACAATTCTAACTGTGGAGGGTTCTGGAAATGAAAAGACTGCAAAAAGTAGATGTAACTTTCATCTCTGGGATGGCTTAGGTACCAGAACCTGAGTTTTTCAGCATGAGCTACAAGCCACGCGAGTTTCTACAAAGTATGTAAGCAGGCCCTGAAAAACAGAAGCATTCTAATTTGATTAAAAACATCAATCTATGTACTAGCTCCTAGCTCTTTCCATTGGAAGGGGTGAAAAGCAATGACATCTCAGTTCATGATGAGCAAACCTGGCAACCAGATCTTGATTTCCAAATACCAGTCCCTATTACAAAGGAATCCGTGCGGTTGATTACAAGTCTGGAGCAAGGGAAGGTCAAGGCGAGGCAGAAACGTTTCTCACCAGGAGGCAAGGGAGTGCTCAGATGGGCATATGCCCAAGGGACAGAGGAACCAGCCTGAAGGGGCTCCACTCACCAAGTCTGGGATAATTTGAACACCAGAAAGAAAAAAGGGTGGCAAAGCATTATAAACCACATAGTGATACTCAACAGGGGAGAAAATTTTTCAGGAAAAAAAAAATCTAATCAACACAGAAGGATTGCCAATTAGGAAATCACCATTTTCTAGCCACCAATGCACAATAACTGATTCAGACAAGGATCATCAATGAATGCTAACGTAAGGCATTCAGAAGAGACAGGGCCTCAAATTATCATCCTGCAGGTTACAGATAAATTTAACAAAGGAACAAAGGTGGGTACCTTTACAATGGAAAGATCTCATGGGCACCACCTTCACCAAATGACTGAACTGAGCCCCAGCAACAGGACAGCCACAGAGCCTGGCGTGATGCAGCGGAAGCAGACACAAACACCACAGGCTTCTGCGGCCCTCAGGACAAAGATGGCTGACCCTTAGCTAATCATGGGGAAATAAGGCCGGGCATGGTGGCTCACCCCTGTAATCCCAGCACTTTGGGAGGTCAAGGCAAGCGAATCACCTGAGGTCAGGAGTTCGAGACCCGCCTGGCCAACATGGTGAAACTATGTTTCTACTAAAAATACAAAAATTAGCCGGGCGTGGTGGCGCATGCCTATAATCCCAGCTACTCGGGAGGAAATCATCAGACAAACCCAAATTATGGAACAGTCTACACAACCACCCTAGACGCTTAAACGAAAAAAAAAATGTCAGAGTCTTGAAAGATAAACAGAAGCAGCAAGGAACTGTCTAGAATAAAGGCATCTAAAGAGAGAACAACCAAATGCAATGCTGCATTAGCTCTTGGATTGGAATAAAAATAGCTATCGAAACATCTGGGGAACAACCAAGGAAATGCAACCATGCGTTTCATATTGAATAACACTTTTTTATTTTTTATTTGTATTTTTCTGAGACAGGGTCTCACTCTGGTCACCCAGGCTGGAGTGCAGTGGCACAGTCTTGGCTCACTGCATCCTCCGCCTCCTGGCTCAAGCGATACTCCCACTTCAGCCTCCCAAGTAGCTGGGACCACAGGTGCACGATTCTTTGCCTGTGATAATAATCACAGCTAGACAGAAGAATATCTATTCTTAGGCAATACATGTTTTAGTATGTAGGGGTAAAGTGTCATGACATAAAGCAACTTACTTTCAAATGTTTCTACAAAATGTATGTGCACATGTGTTTGTGAAAGAGACAGAGAAAGCAAATGTGCTAATTTACCTAGCGGACATGCATACAGGTGTTCACAGTACTTTTCTACCAACTTTTTAAAAAATGAGCATTACTCATAATAAAAAGTTTGGAAAGCCATTAATAGTTTGAAAAAGGTAGCTTTAGGGGAGAAAGTCCACATGTAAAATAAAACCTGCTTTTATGACAGAGTCAGAGGCTACACAGATTGGTACAAACCAAGAAATCAACCTACAGTTTTTATTGTCTTTTGCAATAACTCATTAAATACAACACTGCCACGTTTTAGATGTGAAAACGTGTACAAATTTTAGGTCTGCCCGAAGCTCTGGTCGAGGTGGTGGCAGGCCTGGTGCGCAGCACAGCGGGACGGGGCCTTCTCCTGGGGCCTCAGCACTGGCTCCAGCTCCTTGGGGCTAGGAGGAGCAGCGGCCTGGGGAGCTTATGCTTTTCAAGCAAAGCCAGCAACCTGGACTTTTCTGGAAAGCTTCTCTATTTTTAAAACCCCGTTTGAGCCACAGAGCCCACATCAGCAGGCCTTCACGTTTTATCTCTGCACTAAAAGAATGTGGGAAGAACCCCTTTTTCAACTCTCCCAGGTTCAAATCACTGCGCCGGAAGAGCAGCAGCAATTTCCAGGTATCCACAGTGTCATCCAGCCATTTCCTAATCACGCCCAACATTTACCAAACACACAGTCAAGAAAGGCTGGACGAAATGAACTCTCCCAGAAGTAAGTTCCTCAGAGAGGGAGAAAGGTTCTTTGATGTATCCTTTTTAAAGGAAAAATTATTTCTGTAAGACAAATAACTACTGTAATCATTTGCTCACTCATTTTTACACAGCAATTGTTTCAGTAATAAAAACAAAACTAGGGCCTCATCAACCTGACCCTGAGAGGAAGCTCCTCCCGGGTAACTGCTTCCTCCCACCTTCCTACACCCACTCTTCCTCTTTCAAAAGGGATTTCTGAGCCTGCAATTTGGAAGGCTGGCAACAGCACTTTCAGCTTTTAACCAACCTTTGAATGCAATTTTGACATATTAAAAGCTAGTACTGTGCTAAAGAAAGCCATATTTTTGTGACGACATTTCAACTTGAAAATTAATGAGCTGAATGCTGCACTCCACCAGAAAAACCCATTCAAAACAAACTCAACCTAAAGAGCCTACCTTTAACATGAGCTATGTTCATACCCAGTTTAGCCAACACACCAAGCCAGCTGTTTTCCATGCAACCACTGGGATATTCTACAGCATCAGACACGACCCTCAAACTCATTTATACACAGATCTGGTTTTACCCTGGAAAGAACCAGTAAGTAAGACAACTAACTACGGCCTCAGTCTCTCTACAAGCTGCCAGTGCTCAAAGAAACAAGTATTCAACATATCAAGAAAATGTGTCCAACTTTGTAGGCTGCATTAAAAAAAAAAAGAAAGAAAACGTGGCAAACTGACCAAAGTCCCTCAGAGTTCTAATTCTATAATTCACACACTATCAAAGTAACAGCTCTTTACAGAGGGCCTACCACATGCAGGCCCTATACTAAAAATTCTAAGGAATATACAAGTGGAAGGCACAGGAACATGGCTTATTTAGAGAGGCAAGACAGAAAAACTCATAACTAGCTGGGTGGGGTGGCTCACGCCTGTAACCCCAGCACTTTGGGAGGCTGAGGTGGGTAGACTACCTCACCCGAGGTTAGGAGTTTGAGACCAGCCTGGCCAACATGGTGAGACCCCATCTCTACTAAAAATACAAAATTAGCTGGGCATGGTGGTGCATGACTGTAATCCCAACTACTCAGGAGGCAAGGCTGGAGAATCACTTGAATCCGGGAGGCGGAGGATGCAGTGAGCTGAGATTGTGCCATTGCACTCCAGCCTGCACAACAAGAGCGAAACTCTGTCTCAAAAACAAAAACAAATGTATAACTATATACAGCAATAGAAAAGAAGACTGAGAAAGAAGGTGATTAATACCAACTGGACTGTATTAACAAAAAGAAATCTGCTTAAGCTATTCAGGGGGAAACCACTTCAGGTTGGATGGTTACAGAGGGCTTTGCTGGGGTGGTGATGTCTGCAGAGGGCTCTAAAGAGAAACCCAGAGAGAGAAGAACATTCCTGGCAGGGAGAGCATCAGCAAGAGGGAGCAAGACATGGGCCAACTCCAGAGAAGCCTCTCAGACCTACTTATAGAACATCAGTTTCCTCAGACGCTGGCTCAGACACAAGCGGTCATTCCATGAACAGCTTCAAGCACCGCGGTCTGCTGCTGAAACTCCAAGCAAATAAACATCGAAGCTACTTCTAGACCGTAAGAGTGACAAGGACACAGGAAGACTACTTGTAATCACAATTCAGTCCTCTGTAGGCTCCTGTACCCCACCTCGTTTCCTCATCAGAAGGCTACCAAGAGAAACAACTTCTGTTTAGTTCACTGGTAAACCGAGGTTTCAAATTGCATGCTATTTGTGAATATGTGTTCATACCTAATAAGGTATTTATAAAAACTAAAATTCATAAAAACTTGAGCCCTTTCAAAGAAAAGTCAGGATCCCAGCAGTTACGGCATACCCGTCCACTTGTCCAAATACTGACAGCCCAGAGCAACCACAGCTAGGATCAAAGGCCGCTTCTGGCAAACTCACAATGGTACATGGCATGCACATTAACTAGGGAAAGAAGTGCCACACCTCAACCAAAGTCAGCTGCCTCGGGTACCAGTCTTCAGTGAGATAAACGCATCAAGTCACAACAGCAGACTGGTAATCTGCGCTTAGATCAAACCAGAAAATAAGGCTGAGGTGGGAGGATCGCGGGAGCCTAGGAGATGGAGGCTACAGTGAGCCATGATCACGCCACTGCACTCCCAACGGGGTGAAAGAGCCAGACCTTATCTCAAACAAAAACAAGAAAATACAATGACAATACTAAAATTAAAAACAAGCCGGGTGCAGTGGCTCACTCCTATAATCCCAGCACTTTGGGAGGCCAAGGCGGGCAGATCACCTGAGGTCAGGAGTTAAGAGACCAGCCTGGCCAACGTCTCTACTAAAAACAGAAAAATCAGCTGGGCATGGTGGCAGGTGCCTGTAGTCCCAGCTACTCGAGAGGTTGAGGCAGGAGAATCGCTTGAAACCAGGAGGCAGGGGTTGCAGTGAACCAAGATCACGCCACTGCACTCCAGCCTGGGTGACTGTGTGAGAATCCCTCTCAAAAAAATAACATCATAAAGTAACATAACATAACATAACATAACATAACATAACATAACATAACATAACATAACAAAACAAAACATAACATCAAAATAAAACAAAACAAAACAAAACAAAATAAAAACCTAAAAACAAATACGTAGGCCAGGCGCGGCGGCTCATGCCTGTAATCCCAGCACTTTGGGAGGCTGAGGCGGGCGGGTCACAAGGTCAAGAGATCAAGACCATCCCGGCTAACACAGTGAAACCCCGTCTCTACTAAAAATACAAAAAAAAATTAGCCGGGCGTGGTGGCGGGCGCCTGTAGTCCCAGCTACTCGGGAAGCTGAGGCAGGAGAATGGCATGAACCTGGGAGGTGGAGCTTGCAGTGAGCCGAGATCGCGCCACTGCACTCCAGCCTGGGCGACAGAGTGAGACTCCATCTCAAAAAAAAAGAAAAAAAGTAAAAATTTGACATAATCCAAGACATTTCTGAGATCAAACACATATAAAGCTTAAATTATGAACTTCATCTTAGAAGACCTCAAACTCCATGGTTCTGATGATACACTTTCTCCAAAGCTAACATTTAGCACGGAAAAGTAAGTTCATCCTAAAGTGCTATAAAATCAAAGGAAAAAGTATCATGATAGATGCGAAGTAACCCAACAAAAAAGGTTGGGTTTCTTTTCTAGGGCCTTCTCATTAAGGTATGATTATGATGAGTATCGTGGAAGGCATTAATTATAGCTGAAAGAACAGACAGTAAACATGTTGCTCACATGCCACGCACCAAAACATTTGCACTTCCAAGTATTTTAGCATTTTTGACCAGGAATAGGTTCTTTTTACCACCCCTCTCTCAATGCCTGCCTTCACAGTTTACCACGCAATGGTATAAAGCAGCTATGTTTACTTTTGATCAAGGAGCCATTTCAACACACATCATACCACACAACAGACAGGGAATGGGCCAACACCGGGAGGGCTGTGAGATATTCTGCATCAACCCATCGGAGCTTCTTCCATTCGTACACCCACTCCTTTGCTCCAAGAGTTCCAGACATGATATATATTCTTGCTAGAGGACAGGAGAAAGAAACTTCAAAATCTCTTCCAAATTCCACGTTTTCTCTTAGGAAACAGCATGGCTCTTCAAGGTATCCGTGCCACCTGGGGTGTTAAGCCTGTGACAAGGAAAGGTCACTACATCCAGCGACCATCTGTGTGTTCCACCCTCCAGCCTATGCTGAACTTCACCTGGACTACCTTCGTTTAACACACAGAGAGTCCCCAGCTCCTACCGGTCCGTGCGCTGCTGAGAACGTGGCCACGCTGCCGGCGTGCCAGCATTACTGCCTGAGCTCCACCTCCTGTCACATCAGTGGCAGCATCAGACTCTCACAGGAGTGAGAGCCCTATTGTGAACTGCACACACAAGGGATTGAGGCTGCACGCTCTGTAAGCTGCATGCTCCGTAAGAGAATCCAATGCCTGATGATCTGAGGTGGAAGAGTTTCGTCCCGAAACCATCCCCCTTCACCCCACAATCCGTGGAACAACTGTCTTCCACAAAACCAGTCACTGGTGCCAAAAAGGCTGGGGACCACTGCTTTAACAGAGACCTTCACATGACTTTATTAGCAGGCAACAGTGACACAATTCTAAAGGACCTTGAAAAAATTACCCACAAAATTAAAAACTTCACACGTAAAAAGTTTTAATTCCACAGAGAGGTCACTCATCTGATTTATCCACATTATATTTTAAAATAATGTCAAAAAACACACAGTAGTAGGTTTGTTTCCTGACCTCTTAAAATAACTCAAGTTAGTGACACCCACACTGTGTTTGACTCTATTCTGGAAGGCCGTGTTCTTGCAGCTCTGAGTGGCAGGTGGGATGGGAGTGCTATGAACCAAAATTACTGACGACGGTCTCCTCCTCAAGAGCAAGAGAAGCTGCTACTAAATACAGCTCCATCCGCTTTAAGATTTTCTGCCATAAATTTCCCTAAACCTTTGGGTCCTAGAAACAAGTGCTAGTGCATGAACACTGCACTCAAAAAAAAAAGGGGGGGGGGAGGGGAAGAAAGGGAAAAAGCCACGAGTACAAAGGGGCAGGCAAGCAAATCTTAGCAAAGAACTAGGGCATTACCCACCAAACCTAATTTGACAGCTCTGTGACACCCCCAACTCTGTCCCCCAATGACAGTGGCTATGATTTTATACTCTTCATAGGACAGCCATGTGTCCTGTCAAAATTGTTCCTGGTCCATACAAAAGAACTAGGTATATGTCAGTTATTTCACAGTATCCAGCAGAGGATTACAGCTTCTAAGTTTTGAACCACTGCTATAAGCACAAAACAAGAATAAAAACAAAAAATTATGCTCAAAAGAAAAATAATCATCTGCTAAAACACTAGCATGTCTACATTTGGCTAAAGCAAGACTACTATTCAGATCTAGCATTAGATATAATGTTTTAAGAGGGGGTCAGTTTCAGATTGTTCTAGTTAAAGACAAACACTATTCCCTCTCTCCTTGCTGAAACTAACATACATGCAACTAACCATAGCTAAAACTGGTTTAACAAGGTCTTCTGGAATATTTTCTCTTAAAGTACTTTTAATGTATTCTTCTTCAAGAATTTCCAGCCAAGACTACCTGGAAACTTTTGTTAACACTATTTAATAGGCTGACATAGAGTTACTGAGCTTTCAAATGAAATTCAAAGTATAATCTAGTATGCCTGATCAATTGTATCTTTTGCATTTAAATTTAAATTAGAAAAATAAGGCCCATCATTATTCTACTGTCTGTTACATTTCTGAACGATCTCAATACGGACATCTCAGACATCAGCCCGGGGGCTCTATGTTTTAAATTTGCTCACTGTCCTGAACATAATCATCTCAGACATTCCTGACCAGCTCATCTGGGTACATTTGTCCTTCAGCACTGTCACATGTGTTCCTTGATGTCTCAGTAACTTTCATGGTGCCTCAAGACCAAAAAAATTGATGATTTATTAAGTTACTATGTCCAAACAATTTAAAAAGCATTTATGTCCTAATAACTTAGTAACCATTTGAAAAAATAATAAACTTAAGTTGAAGAAAAAATGTCTTTGCTTCATTCTTAATCAGAAGGATTTCTAAGGATGTGTAAAGTTGCATCGTCAAAATCCAAAGACATGTACAACACAGAGTGAACCTAAACTACAGATTCTAGTTAAAAATAACATAATTGGCCAGGTGCAGGGGCTCACGCCTGTAATCCCAGCACTTTGGGAGGTCAAGGTGGGCGGATCACCTGAGGTTGGGAGTTCAAGAACACTCTGAACAACATGGAGACACCCCGTCTCTACTAAAAATACAACAACTAGCCGGGCATGGTGGTAGGCACCTGTAATCCCAGCTACTCAGAAGGCTGAGGCAGGAGAATCACTTGAACCTGGGAGGTGGAGGATGCAGTGAGCCAAGACTCTGCCATTGCACTCCAGCCTGGACAACAGAGCGAGACTCTGTCTCAAAAACAAACGAACAAACAAAAAACCATAATTATTGTGTAAGAGACATCCAGTGGGGAAAAAATAATGTTGTCAATATTAGTTCATCAATTTTAACAAACATACTGATAGAGGCAGGAGGCAGACAAATGCCTAGGCAGACAGGAGCAGGTCCCCAGTGAAATCCAACCTTCAATCTGGAGAGAGTCCTGGGTAAATCCTCACACGGGACTGAGAACCCACCTTCTCATTTGGCACAGTTTCCTCTGATTGATCCGTCTTTCACCTATTTTACATATACCTATCCTTTCCTAATTGGTTTACTTTTTTTTTTTCAAGACTGAGTTTCGCTCTTATTGCCCAAGCTGGAGTGTAATAGCATGATCTCGGCTCGCTGCAACCTCTGCCTGCTGGGTTTGAGTGATTCTCCTGCCTCAGCCTCCTGAGTAGCTGGGATTACAGGTGTGCAGCACCACGCTCAGCTAATTTTTGCCTTTTTAGTAGAGACAGGGTTTCACCATGTTGGTCAGGCTGGTCTCAAACTCCTGACCTCAGGTGATCCACCTACCCTGGCCTCCCAAAGTGCTGGGATTACAGGCATGAGCCACCATGTCCAGTCTCCTAATTGGTTTTCTACACTATCATGCCCACCTTTGAGTGGTGTCTTCACTTTAACCTTTTTTGCATACTCACAAACCAATCAGCACACACTCCCTATTCTGAGCCCATAAAAAGCCCTGGGCTCAGCTACACGGAGGCCGGAAATTAAAGAAAAATAAAATTTAAAAGAAAGAGAAATAAGTTTTCCTGTATTAGGCTGATTTGTCCCAGAGGCAGCAACAGGCACAGCCGAGACCCAGGAAAAGTCTTGATAATATTATCTAATGTGCTCTGGAGACTTTCCCAGCACTCCCTCAACACAGGGAGAAGAAAAAACAAATTTTTCTTTGTTTTATAGAATGAGTTTATAGATTCCTGTTCTCTGTAACTAGTGACTTCAAGTATTGTTTTATCTAAGAAATACAATGAAGGTCATGAAAAGCCTGAGTAGGCCGGAACTACAGCTGCCCGGGCACCACAGTGAAGGTTATAGGATAAGTCCATGCCTAGGCAAACACAGATAACGGACATCTGGGTTGCATAGCAACAGTTATGTGCAATCCTGAGTTATGAACCTGTAACGATTTAATTAACTGTCTTTGTCCCACCTCTGTATCCCTGCTTTCACGCCACTATAAGCTTGCTTTAGCTAGCCCACCCCCTTCTGTGAAGTGTGTATAAAAGTCAAGTGCTGTCTTTGTTCTGAGCCCAACCTTTGGGTGTGAATCTGCTGGGCCTGAGTGCACTCAATAAAAGATTCTCCTGTTTTAACCCGAGATCTCTCTCTCGTCCTCCTGAATCCTGCAACAATACTAGCGCCAGAGATGATGAATTCCTCTTCAAAGGGTTTAACTGTGTAACGTCCTTGTTCTTTGTTCAGAAGCCCAACCTCCTTATACTCTCTTGTTTCTGGCCTGCAAACAACCCTCCTGCTCTTGTTGTGCCCTGACATGCTCACACAAGTCCAGACATACCTTGTACTGTAACAGACAGACTGCTCCTATCCCCTCTTTCTCTTACAAATCATGCGTTTATCCTATTCAAAAAAGTTTTAAGTCTTAGCCAACTGGGATCAGTTTAGATTGTACAGTCCAATCCTAGCCAACAGGGGAAGGACACCGACAGGAACTGCGTTAGGGATAAAAACCCCTTCCCTCCTTTGTTCAGTGTGCTCTTGCAGTCGTAACAGATGCAGGCGGCACCCTTCTGCAAAAGTAAATTGCCTTGCTGAGAAATCCTTTGTCTCAGTGCTAGTTTTTCTCTTGAGCACAGCTTACTTGTTCCCAACAATCTGGGGGCCCATCCAGGATTCCCATTCTCCTCTGGGGAAGGGTCTCCAGTCCTCACTCGTGAGGAGACAGGTCCCACTGCCTCGTTGTGGTGGCCTCAAGGGTTAGGGATCGAGACCCACCTGGTGTGACGAATAAACCCGGACGCTTAGCAACGCGGGAGAAAAAGGCCTACAAATACCACAGTGACCAGGTAACTCTGTGCAGAGACAAAGGTTAAGAAAAAACACAATGGCAGTGCAGTATTTCCTTGGTGGTCAGGACATCCTGGAGGTTGAAAGTGTGTGAATGAGACGCACAATTGAGTGTGGAGTCCGGATCTGTGGTTCCGTGGTCACCTCATACAGCTTAGGACAGCTTGCCTGTCTTGCCTGTCGGGGGATCATACCGACCCACCAACGCTAAGGGGGACCTGAAAATTCCCACAAAGGAAGCAGCCAGAGAAGGATTAAGCAGAAGCAAAAGAATGCAAGAAATCTCAAGTAAGGGGGGTTGGGCCTCTAAAGAAAGAGTGCAAGAGGCCAGGCGCAGTGGCTCATGCCTGTAATCCCAGCACTTTGGGAGGCTGAGGTAGGCAGATCACAAGGTCAGGAGTTCAAGACCAGCCTGGCCAACATGGTGCAACCCCATCTCTACCAAGGAAATAAATAAATAAATAAAATACAAAAAATTAGCCAGGTGTGGTGGTGTGTGCCTGTAGTCCCAGCTACTTGGGAGGCTGAGGCAGAAGAATCGCTTGAACCCAGGAGGCAGAGGCTGCAGTGAGCGGAGATCGTGCCATTGCACTCCTGCCTGGGCAACAGAGCAAGACTCCACCTTAAAAAAAAAAAAAGAAAAAAAGAAAGGGTGCAAGAAATCTCTAGTAAGAGAGGTTGAGCCTCACAAACTCAAAAAAACACCTTCTCCAGGATGCGAAATACCCCAAGCAAGACAATAGAATTTCCCGGGACAGCCCCTTAGGTCTCCTGCTAAAATACTGGAAAGATAATGAAAGGACTAAAAATAAGAAAAAGCAACAAATGATAAAATACTGTTGTTTTATTTGGACTAAGGAAACTATCCTCAAACCATCAGTTTTCTGGCTACAGTTTGGGTCAAATGAGGATTGGATTTGTCAACTTTTAATAGAGTATGTGAATAACAAGAGTCCTGTCCCTCAGGAGGAGATACGCTATGCCCTGTGCTGACGGCAGGGGCCTGTCCACCTCTACCCCCTCAAAGCCAGTAAGAATAAGCCAGAAACTACTTACCCTATAGAAACTAAGGCCCCCACCCCTAAGCAACCCACATGGGATCCTTTAGACCATCTGCCTCAGCCAGATACCTCTCACCTCCCTCCCCCTCAGGCAGCCGCCCTGGACCCTTCCCCCGACTCACGTTGTGCCCCCTCTTTATAATCCTAACTCCTGGAATCATTCCCAGCCTCAGGGCCCTCCCCCAGGAAGACTTCGGTGCGAGACAGAACAATGTAAAAAGGATATTCAAAACTTCCCTTTCCCCACCACTTCTAAAGAGTTAGCTCCAACTCTCTTCCCCTTAAGGGAAGTGCCCCTCAGAGGAGGCTAAATGCTCCATTAACTAGCTCAGAGGTCCGAAACCTACAAAGGGAGCTCAAACCACTCTTAAGTGACCCTTATATAGTGGCTGACCAGATTAATCAATTTCTCAGACCCCAGATATATACTTGGGCTGAGCTAATGTCTATCCTAGGTATTCGCTTTTTAGGAGAAGACAGGAGCATGATTCGCAGGGCTGCTATGACAATTTGGGAACGTGAGCATCCCCCAGGTCAGAACGTCCCAGCAGCTGAGCAAAAACTTGCGGCCACAGATCCTCAATGGGATAGTAACAACGCAGCCTACTGGAGGAATATGCAAGACCTTGGAGAACTGATAATTAAAGGAACTCAAAAATCTGTATTCCGCATCCAAAACATTCCCAAAGCTTTCTATATACAACAAGGGAAGGATGAAGGACCTACAGAGTTCTTAGAAAGGCTCAAGGAGCAAGCGAGGATATATGCAGGTCTAGGTTTAGAAGACCCTCTTGGGCAGGGGATGTTAAAGCTCCATTTTGTTACCAATAGTTGGCCAGACATCACAAAACACGTTATAGAAAATAGAGAACTGGAAAGATAAATCTATAGAGCAGCTTTTGAGAGACGCTCAAAAGGTATATGTACGAAAAGACGAGGAAAAGAAAAGCAAAAACAAAAAGCAAGGATCATGCTGTCCGCCCCACAACAGAACACTCAGGGGCCAAAACCTATAAAGAACTTAAGCCCCCACTTTCCAGGCCATATAAAGGCTATAAAACAGCACAGCCAAAGAACCCAAAAGTAGAGAGGGAAAAGGGCAAAACAAATGCTTCAAGTGTGGAAAAATAGGCCACTTTAAAAAGGAATGTCCCAGATGGGAAAAAGAGAAAGAAGTCATTCTACTCATGACCTTGGAGGAAGAATACGGCGGTCAAGGGCTCCACTCTTTTTTTTACCTCAAGTCCCACCAAGAGCCCTTGATAAATTTAGAGGTGGGACCCAAACCTGAGCTTATCACCTTTTTCATTGATTCAGGAGCTGCTCGCTCCTCAGTTTGTTATCTTCCCCCTGGTGTAACTTGTTCACAGGAAAAACTTTTTATTTCGGGAGTAAAAGAAGAGGGGTTTAAAGCAAAAATCTTAGAAGAAACAGAAATTAAATATAAGGACCGCTCAGTAAATATTAAACTTCTGTTAATCCCGGAGGCAGGAACAAACCTATTTAGGAAGAGATTTAATGCTAAAATTAAACCCAGACCTCTATGTTAACCAAGAAAAATTCCTCCCCTCCCTAAATTTGCTCACTACCCTAGATAAAGGATACATCCATCCAGATGTATGGTCAAAAGAAGGAAATCGAGGCAAGTAATAAAAGAAAAAAGGCATAACGGGTACTCAGTAGTAAACGGAGATATCCTCACAGAAATAAAATCGGGAAGATTACCTAATAACGGGTCTGCACCTGCTCTGCGCAAACATGTGAGCTGTTTGCATTAAATCAAGCCTTAAAATTTCTGCAAAACCAGGAAGGAACTATTTATACAGACTCCAAGTATGCTTTTGGAGTGGTCCACACCTTGGAAAAATTTGAACAGAGCAAGGCCTCATTAACAGTAACTTAGTCCACAGGGACATAATAATTCAAGTATTAGAAAATCTATAGTTGCCAGAACAAATAGCTGTTGTTCACGTCCCAGGTATCAAAGAAATCTTTCCTTTAGAAGCTGAGGGAATAATCTTGCTGACCAAATAGCCAAGCAAGCTGCCTCTTCCCCAACGGGAACCCATTTTCCATTTAACTCCTTGTCTCCCTCCCCCAGCCACAGTCCCCGTCTTTTCCCATAACAAACAAGAAAAGTTAAATGAAATAGGAGCCAAAGAAAGCTCAGAAGAAAAACGAATATTACCAGATGAGAGGGAAATGTTGCCTAAACCTCTCATAAGAGGGATGTTGTCTCAACTCCATCAAGGAACTCACTGGGGTCCCCAGGCTATGTGTGATGCCGCTCTCGGAGTTTATGGGTGTATAGAAATCTATACCCTTGCTAGGTAAATTGTGGATAGTTGTATAATATGCAAAAAAAACTAATAAATCAACAAATAAGATGCAAGCCCTTGGGGGAAAAAACTCAGGGTTAACGCCATTCCAAAAAATTCAAATTCATTACACTGAAATGCCCCCAGTAGGCCATGTTAACTATTTATTAATAATAGTAGATCATCTCACCCACTGGGTAGAGGCCATCCCTTTCCCAAACACAACAGCTAAACATGTAGTTAAAACCTTATTAAAACAAATTATACCTAGGTTTGGAATTATAGAAAACACTGATTCAGACAATAGAACCCAATTCACTGCCCTCGTTATTAAAGGGCTCACTCAAGCACTAGGAATAAAATGGGAATATCATACACCAAGGCATCCACCCTCATCAGGAAAAGTAGAAAGAATGAACCAAACTTTAAAAAATCATTTAACCCAACTAATTTTAAAAACCCAGCTACCTCGGACAAAATGCCTTCCTATTGCCCTGTTCAGAGTCCAAACAGCCCCGCAAAAGGACACTGGCCTCTCTCCTTATGAAATGCTTTATGGACTGCCTTACTTAAACTCTAATACTGACATTCCCACTTTTGAAACAAAGGATGAATTTCTCAAAAACTATGTATCAGGTCTGTCTTCCACCCTTTCCTCTCTTAGGACTCAAGGCCTTTTAGCACAAACTGCACCCCTTGAATTTGCAGGCCATCATCACCAGCCCAGAGATTACGTCCTCGTCAGAAGTTGGAAAGAAGAAAAGCTCAAACCTACTTGGGAAGAACCTTATTTAGTACTTCTAAAAACTGAAACGGCAGTCAGGACCACCAAAAACGGTTGCACTCATCACACCCAAGTCAAAAGAGCACCATCCTCTCCAGAGTCATGGACTGCCGTTCCAGGACCCACCCCAACCAGAGTCACGTTAAAAAAGAAAGTTTAATCTGTCTCTTCCTTCTTAGCTTCCTTTCCCCAGCTACCACACATCTTATTATTAATATAACCAGATCTAGCTCCCCTCAAACCATTACTTTTAATGCTTGTCTTGTTATGCCCTGTGGGGATCTCCAAAGCCAAAGACAGCTGGCCTCTTCAGAAAAGTACCTTTGCCCTTCCAGGATAAATAAAACTGCCTACAGAACTGACTTTTGCATGGACTGAGGCCGATCCTATAACTGGTAGTTCTGTGATACTTAGGGAGATGTAATCTATACCACCAAGTGTCAAGGCTGGACCTCCTCAATAGGTTGTACCTATCTAAAGCCTTACATTCACTTTACCAAAGGTACAACCCCCTCCACCTGTCAACTCCAACAGTGTAACCCTGTGCAAATCTCTATTAATGTCCCCACCTCTACCGACACCAAGCCTACCCTAGGTCACTTCTATGGCCCAGGAGCTAATATTCCTGGAAAGGACCCCAAAGGATCCTTTGAAATGCACTTCATTACTCCTCAACCCCCTTCACCTTCTTCTCCTTCTAAACCCTCTTCCAATCAAACAGCTGTTCTTTCCATACCCCATGACGAAACTATAGTAGGCACTGTAAAGGTTAAAGATTTAAAACAAACTTTAGTGCTTAGAACAGGATACCAAGATGCGAATGCCTGGCTGGAATGGATTAAATATTCTGCTCGCACATTAAACAAAATTGACTGTTAGGCTTGTGCGGCAGGCAGGCCAGAGGCCCAGATAGTCCCCTTCCCACTTGGATGGTCTTCTGACTGACCGGGCATAAGCTGCATGGTAAGTCTCTTTCAAAATCTCACAGCCTGGGAGAGAGCATGCAAGACTCTCTCATTGCTATTCCCCCAAGTTAAAGACCCCGCAGGTCAGCCCCCGAGGGCCATCTGGCCTCCAGCTTCTGATTTAATTTTACCTCGTGTCTTCTCTCATGGCAAGGGGAAAGATTAACGTCCCTCGGAGACCTAACAGGGTGTAGTCAAACCAAGCCTTCCCAAGAGCTTACCAGTCAAGCTGCCTTTTGTCTATTCTCAAGCAAATGTATGGTGGTACTGCGGTAAACTATTAGGCACTCTGCTGAGAAACTGGAGCGGCACGTGAGCCCTAGTCCAACTGGCCCTTTCACTCTGGCATTCCGTCAACATAACAGGACAGAGGATCACAAAAAAAAAAAAAAAAAAAAAAAAAAAAAAGATGCTCCTCACGGGTCTTTTGACCCTCACATTTATGTAGCTGCTACTGGGGTCCCACAAGAGGTACCAGATAAATTTAAACCCCGAAACCAAATAGCTGCAGGATTCAGATTCAAATCTGCACTGTTCTGGTGGTCAACTATAAACAAAAATGTAGACTGGATAAATTACATTTACTATAATCAACAGCGGTTTGTCAATTATGCAGACGATGCCATTAAAGGGATAGCTGAACAATTAGGCCCACCAGCCAAATGCCCTGGGAAAATAGAAGAGCCCTTAACATAATGTTAGCAAAAAAAGGCAAAGTCTGTGTCAAGACCAGAGTCCAATGCTGTACTTTCAGCCCTAACAACACAGCTCCCAATGGAACAATTATGAAGGCTTTACAAGGCCTTACCTCCATATCAGATAAGTTAGCCAAAAATTCCAGAATAAATGACCCCATCACAAGTCTCATGGAAAAGTGGTTTGGTGAATGGAAAGGGATTATGACTTCAATATTAACCTCTCTTGCAATTGTTACAGGTGTACTCATATGTAGGATGCTGCATCATACCCTGTATCCATGGGTTAATGCAAGGACTTATAGAAACAGCTCTCACAAAACCTCCCCTACCTCTCCTCCTCTATACTCAAATAGGCTCTTGTTCCTAGGTGATCGAGAAGAACAGCAGAGCCAAATCATGTTAAAAAAATGTGAAGAGGAAGAATTATCAAAAGACAAAGGGGGAAATTGCCAGAGATGATGAATTCCTCTTCAAAGGGTTTAACTGTGTAACGTTCTTGCTCTTTGTTCAGAAGCCCAACCTCCTTATACTCCCTTGTTTCTAGCCTCCGAACAACCCTCCCACGCTTGTGGCCCGACATGCCCCGTACCGTAATGGACAGACCACTCCTACCCCCTCCTTCTCTTACAAATCACGCATTTACCTATTAGAAAAAGTTTAAGTCTTAGCCAACTGGCATCAGTTTAGATTGTATGGTCCAACCCTAGCCAACAGGGGAAGGACACAGGGACAGGAACTGCATTAGGGATAAAAACCCCTTCCCTCCTTTGCTCGGTGTACTCTTGCGGTTGTAACAGGCAGCACCTTTCTGCAGAAGTAAATTGCCTTGCTGAGAAATAATTTGTCTCAATACTGGTTTTTCTCTTCAGCACCGCTTACTTGTTCCCAACACAAAGAACTCTCTTGCCTTTGGGTAGAGGGAGTAACCCTGTGTACCCTCCCCACTAAAAACTGCTTCATCACTCAATAAAACTTCCCGCCTTGCTCACTCTTTGAGTGTCCGTGTGTCTACTTCCTCCTGGTCATGAGACAAGAACCCAGACCTAGCTGAGCTAAGCAAAAAATCCTGCATCAGTATCACACAAGATGTTAATAATAGGGAAATTTGTAAGGTGGAAGGAGAAGGTATATGGTAATTCTCTGTACTAGCTGCTCAATTTTCTATAAACCTGTAATTGCTCTAAAAAATAAACTCCATTAAACATGAAAAAAAGAAACAAAAGCAATCAAGTAACCCATTGGCCAAAGGTAAAAACCTATTGTGCTCATGGTATAAGAAAACTGGCCAGGCGCAGTGGCTCATGTCTGTAATTCTAGCATTTCGAGAGGCCAAGGTGGGTGGATCACTTGAGGCCAAGAGTTTGAGACCAGCCTGGCCAACATGGCAAAACCCTTTCTCTGCTAAAAATACAAAAATTAGCTGGGTGTAGTACTGCGTGCTTGTAATCCCAGCTACTCAGGTGGCTGAGGCAGGAGAATTGCTTCAACAATGAATTGGGAGGTGGAGACTGCAGTAATCACACCACTGCCCTCTGGCCTGGGAAACTGTCTCAAAAAAAAAAAAAAAAAAAGGAAAAAGAAAAGAAAACAGAAAGACAAACAAGCTTCTTTTAAGAACCTAGAAAAATTTCTAACATTACTTATTCAACATTCACTCCCTTCTCCAACAGGCACAGGGCTGAGGACACATGAACACAAGACAAGGGTCCTACCCATGAAGAGCTTTCATCTGGGGAGAAACACATCAGAGGGATGATCAAACCAACATGTATATATGGAGAGCCTAGTACGCATGCACCCTAATCAGCTTCCCAAAGATTACTGCATTTAATAGGTACAATCTTTATTTATTTTTGTTTTTTTCTTGTTTTTTGTTTTTGAGACTGAGTCTTGCTCTGTCACCCAGGCTGGAGTGCAATGGCACGATCTTCACTCACTGCAACCTCCACCTCCCAGGTTCAAGCCATTCTCCTGCCTCAGCCTCTGAAGTAGCTGGGACTACAGGTGTGCGCCACCCAGCCTGGCTAATTTTTTATTTTTAGTAGAGACAGGTGTTTACCATGTTGGCAAGGCTGGTCTTGAACTCCTGACCTCAAGTGATCCACCTGCCTCAGCCTCCCAAAGTGCTGGGATTACAGCCATAAGCCACTGCACCCGGCCCTTAATAGGTCTCATCTTTCCATGACATAAGTGTTTCTCCCATTTTAAAATGAGAAAACAGAGGCTGAGAGAATTTGAACCCAGGATATGAACCCAGGTCTGCCCCACTCCAGTTACCATTCTATTTCAGAGCACAGGCTTTAGAAGAGGCAGATCTGGCTTCAAATCCCAGTTCCACCATTAAAAGTGGTCCTTGGGGAGGCTATTTAATTTCATTAAGCTTCAATTTCTTCATCATCTTCAACTTGCAGCATTGTTGAAAGATTAAATAAGAAAACATAAAATGTTTGGCAGGCCCTGACACAGAATAAGTAGGGGGCCAAGCATGATGGCTCAGGCCTGTAATCCCAGCAATTTGAGAGGCCAAGGTGGGAGGATCACTTGAGCCCAGGAGTTCGACAGCAGCCTGGGCAACATAGCAAGATCTCATCTCAAAAACAAAGAATAAGTACAATACTCAATAAGTGTGGCTACTGTTCTGTGCAACACATGAACCTCTCAAGGAGGAAGACACTATTGGCAATGAAGTAAAGCCGCTGTCAGGCCCACAGTCCAGGAACCAGCTGAGCTATGCACAAGATGAGGAGGGGGACCTTCTGAATGCAAACAGTTTAAAACACTAAACATTTTCATTTGACATTTATCTTTTCTACTAAACTTTGGAAATGCACCAAATAAAATCCATGTGTTCACCAAACTAAAATAATTATCTCACTCATGACCCTAAAATTACAAGATGTAAATCTCATGAGACTTTGCTAGGAACCAGTTATTTTAAGTAAATAATTAGCCGACTAAAAAAAGGAACTAGGTATAAATAGGAGCATATTAGGTCTCCTGCCTTCTACAGAGAAAAGAAAAGGCCAAAGGAAGATAATGGCAAAAAAAATGATCATACTTCAGTTCAGGCACTGGGAATAAAACACTCCCCTTATCATATAAATTGTGAAAGGAAAATCAATCTTGGGGCCCCAAAATCACTCAGCTAAAAGGAAAAGTCAAACTGGGAGGCAAATCTGCCTCCCATTCCACTCAAAGTCACCCCTCTACTCACTGAGAAAAATGCTTCTGGCTGCCTCTCTCACCCACCTGCGACCTGGAGACCCCCTCCCTGCTTCGAGTTGTCCCGCCTTTCTGGACAGCACCAATGTACATCTTACATATACTGACTGATGTCTCCTGTCTCCCTACAATAAGTAAAACCAAGCTGTGCCCTGACCACCTTGAGCACATGTTGTCAGCACCTCCTGAGGCTGTGTCACAGGCACGTCCTCAATCCTGGCAAAATAAACTTTCTAAATTAACTAAGACCTGTCTCAGATATTCGGGGTTCACAGAAGAAGAGGAAATATATGGATTTAGTTATCTAATTCATTGATTAGCTACGTATACTATATTCGGTTGACAGAAGGAGAAAATATGGCCCTGAAGATAAATATCAGTCAAGTGGAAAGGGAACTTTCATAAAATAAATGAAGAAAAAGGGGTACTGAGTAACAGGATGTTCTCTGCAGAGGTTTCCGGTTACAGGTAGCCCTCAATCTGGCTTCTAATGGCATTAACGTTTTCCACAGAATAAGGAAACACGATCTACTTGGAAGAGAAAGAATTCATGTCAGGAAGCGAATTGCTCAGCTCCATTGTGGCCTGAATAAATGTAAACATGAGACTGTTGTTCCCACAGTTCTGGGAGGTCATCTACTATTCTCAGGACAAAAGCCTTCTCTGCCACACAATTATCTGCCAGACTCCACACTGTACCAGTATCTATGGCCTTCAGCTATTTTAAGCTCAGCTTTCCTAGCAACTTCCTCCCACTCCGCATCACCACCACCCTCACCCGCACCCACCCAATTATCATGTCTGCAACTCAGCTATCCAAGTGTCCTTTCCCTCCACTCCTCCAGCACTGTCATTCTAGGACTAAGACACAAACCGGGGAGGCATATGGCAGAGCAAATTAGAGCCTGGGCTCTTGTGTCAATGGACCTTGATTTGAATCCCAGCTGGACAACCTGGAAGCAAAGGCCTCCTGTCCAAGCAAACAGAAGGAAAGCCACCAACAAAGGGGGAGCGCTGGGAAAAAGGGTTACTGCCCAGCAGGGAGACGGATCACACCAGACAGAGCAAAAGGGAAAAGAGGTGGGGGGAAATTGGGAGGTTTTTCAAAAAATTGAGTTTAATTGACCAAATTGGGCAGTCCTCCCTCAAACCAGAATTGGTTCAGAGTGACTCCCAGAGAGGTCTTTTAAAGCAAAGACTGCAAACTGGCCCTGTTGGGAATTATGAAAGCCAAGTGCCTGAGCGCCGTGGGCTGATGGCCTCCAGGTGGGCACAGGCGCTCTGCCTGCTCGGGGGCACGGTACCGGGTCAGCCCACACCGCTGTCAGCAGGCGAGGCAGCCAGGTCAGGGCAATCACTTAGTAACCAATTTCAACCTGTTTCCTCAGTTGTAAAGTGGGATGAAAGAGCCTACCCACAAAGTAAGTGTGGGCAATAAACAAGATATTGCCACACAAGCACTCTCTAAATGTTGTTCTTAGACCTGTTATATGTTCTTTAAGTATTTTGCAAATTGCGGTTCAGTGGCAGGATCCCTGGCTGCCACCCAGGAGCCCAGGCTCCTCTCCAGGCCAAGCAGTATCATCTTCACCCTGGGCTTGTCAAGGTCAAATAAAAATATAAAGCTGAATCCCTAAAACAGTTTCATTTGGGAAAAGAGAATTGCAACTTGGGGCATAGAGAAAGACCAGGTGCTCTTCGGTATGTGCGAAGAAAAAACGGAAGGCTGGGGGTTTTATGAGAAAGAGAAAAGTCATCATCTATGTGGCCCCGCTGCGAGCCGCTCCTTTGATCTTAAAGAAACTTGACAGCATATGAAGACTGAATATCCATGTGAATGCATGACACGAAGAACATGGTGACAGCGTCTGCTCTCTGCAAGTGAACAGGCTCAGAAAAGTCTGAGGGACTCTCTGAATGAACTTAAAAATTCTGCTTGTTAACAACAAGTTTGACTCTGGTAAATGGCCTTCATAGCTAAAGTATAAAACCAAAGAGGAGGGAAGAGGAGGAGAAAAAGAAAGAAAAGAAAGAAAGGTGACATACTGTTTTGAAAACTCATTGGTACTAGTGAAGTTTTTGGGAGCTGGCAAGCTCTGACTGAACCAGTCTTAGAGTCACAGTAATTCATTTCAGCAGCAAGGAGTTAACACTGGTCTTAAAGTTACAGCAGGTCACTTTGGCAGCTGGCCTTCAAGATAATCCCGGGGCAGACGCTCTGTGTCCCAGCTTTTCTTCTCCCCTGGTCCCTCGACTCCAGTTTAGTTGGGTGTGACAGGGTAAGTCCAATTCGTATCATCGATTTTCACAGACTCTATACTCGCTGAGAGCAGAACTCAAGGGGCTCAGTTGCCACTGCAAGCTCCAGACCAAGCACAGCGGCAGGAGCTACGTCAATCCCCTCCAGGAAGTAACAAGAGTCCAGGAGGCAGAAGCTGCTGGAGAATTGTGTCCTATTGGCCGATGGCATACCGAACTCCCCTGTCTCCCTGGTACGTGGCCAATATTCTCAAACTAAATAGCTTTAAGTGTTTTAAGCTTTTAAAGGTAAAAACATGATATAGTTTTAGGTGAGGATCTTAACATCACCTACAAAGCACTCCAAAATGTCCTTCATGAAAAAGAAAACATGACTATGAGAATCCACAACACATTTTTTTTTTTTGAGACAGAGTTTCGCTCTTGTTGCCCTGGCTGGAGTGCAATGGTACCATCTCGGCTCACCGACACCTCCACCTCCCCGGTTCAAGCGATTCTCCTGCCTCAACCTCCCGAGTAGCTGCGATTACAGGCACGTACCACCACGCCAGTTCATTTTGTATTTTTAGTAGAGACGGGTTTCTCCATGTTGGTCATGCTGCTCTCGAACTCCCGACCTCAGGTGATCCACCTGCCTCGGCCTCCCAAAGTGCTGGGATTACAGGTGTGAGCCACCGCACCTGGTCCACAACACATTTTTTTAACCTTTCCACCATGTGGTAATAATGCAGTCAAAATATACATCATGTTACTTTGCACAGATCTAAATTACACCCAGAAGAAATTGAAGACACTGTCATTCCTATTTTCCATTCTCATCTCAGCCTTACCAGTCAATATCAACTTCAATTAAAATGGCTGTCAAATCAGTACTAATTTGATTCCTTGCACTGAAGGGTTGCCCATATTTAAAAATACTTGAGCCACAATAAGGAGCCAATGGGGCGAAGCTACCATCTGTGGGATTATGACTGAACGCCTTTAAGTCAGAATCCCACCCAGGCAGACGGATACAGCAGTGCCCGTGGGGCCTCGGTTGGCCTCCAATGGCCTCAGAGAGCCGGTCCCTCCCCCGCCGAGCGCCAGGACTGGGGTCCGGTGCAGAAAGCCCCTCGTCCTGGGAAAGGCAGTCGCCCCCTTGCCCGTTGGGCCACCCATGTTCGTGGGGAACCTGGCTCTAAACCATTCATAGACGACCTGCAGAATTCTGGGTCGGGGATTTGTATGTAGCAGAGCACCTCCCTCACTGCGATCTATTGAAAGTCAGCCCTCAACACAAGGGTTTGTTTAAAAAAAAAAAAAGAAGAAGAAGAAAGAAGAAAAGAAGAGAAAGAAAGAGAGAAAGAGAGGAAGGAAGGAAGGGAGGGGAGGGGAGGGGAGGGAAGGGAAACAAACAAAAATTAAAATATAGTACTTGAGCCAACCAGGCACTCATGTTAAACACAAACAGGAAAATACAAGGATGTTTATTCCCCTCCCTTCCTTAACCTCTGGTTGTTTAAAAAAAAAAAAAAAAAAAAAAAAGAACCAATTTAAGGACCCAGCTGATTTGGATTCATGAAAGTAAAGCAAAATCTCTATGGCAAAGAAATCCTTCATGAAGCCTGAGTCATGTACAAACCCTCCTTTTAAAAGAGAAACGTGTCCTTGAACCTTTAATGTTGACCAGTTACTTTTTCCCCCTTGCAGAACTCAGTCTATTGACCAGTTATTTTTATTTTTTAATTAACTTTTTTTTTGAGATAGAGTATCATTTTATTGCCCAGGCTGGAGTGCAGTGGCACAATCTCAGCTCACTGCAACCTCCATCCCACCCCCATCCCCGCGGCTCAAGTGATTCTCTCGCCTCAGCCGCCCCAGGAGCTGGGATTACAGGTGGGTGCCACCATGCCCAGCTGATTTTTGTATTTTTAGTACAGACAGGGTTTCACCATGTTGGCCAGACTGGCCTCAAACTCCTGACCCCCAGTTATCTGCCTGCCTTGGCCTCCCAAAGGACTGGGATTATAGGCGTGAGCCACCTTGACTGGCCAGTTATTTTTATTATAACGTTACTTAAATAGGTGCAAACAAACTAGTTTCTAAAACAAAAAAGCTCATACAATTATAAAATGTAAACAACATACATTTCATGGGGAAAATGACAATTTGTTGAAGACCAATTTCCCCTTCAAAATGAATATGGAACTGAACAGGAGGGGCACAGCTTCTTTCAAACTGGACAGAAGCTGTCTGATGACTCACTACTCCCATCGTTTTACTCTATTTAAATCTTTATTTGTACAGCTCCCCATCTGCAAAGTAAGCACCCCAGTCTATAGTTCGCTCAAACACATCACTTACATAGTAATTTCATCCCTATTCTTTTTGTATTTACTTTCAGCCATTAAAACAGTATTATTTGTTGTCCACAAAAAATAAAAGCTAACCATGTGCTGATAGTGCTCAGCTGTAAGCATGCTATACAGATGATCTCAACGCATCCATGTAGTTTTTCGATTATCAAAATAAAAGTACAAAGACAACCAATCCCTGTTAGAGAATTATAAAGACACTAGTTAGAAAAAAATGGAGGTATACACATCTTTAAATACAAATCTTTATACTTAAGATACCTGGTCTCCGTCAATAAATCTTGAATGTCAAATACTTTGCATGCCACAATCACTTAAGCCCTAGGCAAACAAGAATGTCTACAGGGCTACGAAAGGTTTTATTTCTCTTTGCTTTTCATGTGTTTAAAGCAATCACATGATGCTGAAAGCATCCAAAGGAAACCAAAACATGCATGATATTCAAAAACCATTCCTAATCTGAAAAATTTTTGGTCTAATAAAGAGCAAACTGAGTACAAATCTCTCTCTAACAACAAAATAGCAGTGTGCATATTCCCCTTCAGATCCGCCTGGACTTGGCAGAGTACGGTTTTACTTTCCAGAGTGTAAAAGAGAAATTTGTGGACTTCAGAAAAGCATTTGGTGTTCTAGGGAACTGCAGCTGTCAGCTTTTAAAGATGCCATGTGTTTGCCCACATAAAGGAATGCAATGAGCTATGGAAATATTATCTGGTTTCATGAACCAGAATAATAACTCCACAGAGTCAGTAGGCTGCCAATAGGAGTGCTTTAATCCATCAGGAAAATACTGATCACTCACTGTTTATTAAATATCTACTGTGCAGGTTGTACTTCATAGACCTTGAAGCACTTAAAATTTAAATCACACTCTGAAGAACAAAGAAAAGAAAATCAGGAGTAACACTATGACTTGAACACTTAACAGGGGGTAGGGTCATCTACAGAATTCTCTATCTTCTCTACCACCTCCATTCCCTTAGCACAGGAGTTCACCCTTTTATTTAAGTGGGTCACCACTCAGCTCATCATTCCACACCAGCTTTTACATGCTATTCTTTCTTTGTTAAAAAATTAACAACAATGGCAATCATGAGCTGTAAATTAAAGCTGTATTTTCAACAGATGGAATAAAATAGTGGTGGTTGAATTCCTCAAGGAACTTGTCTTTTGGATCTGGAATCTATCAAATATAAAAGACAAGGGCCGGGAGCGGTGGTTCACACCTGTAATCCCAGCACTTTGGGAGGCCGAGGCAGGCAGATCATGAGGTCAGGAGTTTGAGACCAGTGTGGCCAATATGGTGAAACCCCATCCCTACTAAAAATACAAAAATTAGCTAGGCTTGGTGGTGGGCACCTGTAGTCCCAGCTACTTGGGAGGCTGAGAGAGAAGAATCGCTTGAACCTGGGAGACAGAGGTTGCAGTGAGCTGAGATCGCACCACTGCACTCCAGCCTGGGCAACAGAGCGAGACTCTGTCTCAAAAAAAAAAAAAAAAGAAGAAGAAGAAAAGAGGCCGGGTGTGGTGGCTCATGCCTGTAACCCCAGCACTTTGGGAGGCCCAGACAGGCCCATCGCCTGAGGTCAGAAGTTCGAGACCAGCCTGGCCAAGAGGGCGAACCCCCATCTCTACTAAAAATGCAAAAATTAGCCAGGTGGTGGTGGCTCACACCTGTAATCCCAGCTACTTGGGAGGCTGAGGCAGGAGAATTGCTTGACCCAGGAGGTGGAGGCTGCAGTGAGCCAAAATTGTGCCCCTGCACTCCAGCCTGGGTGACAGAGTGAAAGTTTATTTCAGAAACAACAAAACAAAAAAAATACTACAGTTGGGTGGATCACACGAAGCCAGGCGTCCTAGACCAGCCTGGCCAACATGGTGAAACCCTGTTTTTATTAAAATTACAAAAATTAGCCGGGCGTGGTGGTGCACATTTGTAATCCCAGCTACTTGGGAGGCACGAGAATTGCTTGAGCCCCAGAGGTGGAGGTTGCAGTGAGTCGAGATCGTGCCACTGCACTCCAGCCTAGGCAACAGAGTGAGACTGTCTCAAAAAAAAAAAAAAAAAAAAAAAAAAAAAAAAAGGAAAGAAAGCTATAAAATGTAATTGAAACTTTAAAAATGTATAGTACAGACAACAGCCAAAAGGTAGAAACAACCCAACGTCCATCGGTAAGTCAATGGATGAGCAGAATGTGGCAGATACAATTGAGTACAATTCAATTCAGAATGTGGCATATACAATTGAGTACAATTCACCCCTGAAGAGGAAGGGAATTCTGCACATGCTACAACATGGATGAACCTTGAAGACATTAGGCTAAGTGAAAAAACCCAGTTACACAAAAGGTCAAGTACTACCCAAAAACTAAAGCTACAACATGGGTGAACCTTGAAGACATTAGGCTAAGTGAAAAAACCCAGTTACACAAAAGGTCAAGTAACTACCAAGTTACGCAAAAGGTCAAGTGTCATTCTACCCATAAGAGGTACCGAGAGTAGTCAAATTTATAGGGACAGAAAGAATGGTGGCTGCCAGGGGCTGGGGAAAGGAAGAATGGGGAATGAGTGTTTCATGGGGACAGAGCTTCGATTTGGGGAGATGAGAAAGTTCTGGAGATGGATGGTGGTGGTGGCTGCACAACGATGTGAATTTAGTTAGTGCCACTGAACTCTGCACTTAAAAGTGGTTACAGGCCGGGCACGATGGCTCACGCCTGTAATCCCAGCACTTTGGAAGGCCAAGGTGGGTGGATCATGAGGTCAGGAGTTCGAGACCAGTCTGGCCAATATGGTGAAACCCCATCTCTACTAAAAATACAAAAATAGAAGTTATGGCCAGGCACGGTGGCTCATGCCCAGCCCACATGCTTGTTAATATAACGTGGACATCACTAAATAAACTCAAGAACAGCAATTTGGAGAAGTACATAAAGCAAACAGTCTCCTTCTAGTGTATGTTAAATCCGTCACATGAAAACATGATGTAATAAGAGCCTATTTATACAGCCTGTTGAAAAAAACCATTCGTTTGAAAAACTTTTAAATAAAAGTTATGGCCAGGCATGGTGGCTCATGCCTGTAATCCCAATACTTTGGGAGGCCAAGGCAGACGCATCACGAGGTCAGGAGTTTGGGACCAGCCTGACCAACATGGTGAAACCCCGTCTCTACTAAAAATACAAAAATTAGCCGGGGATGGTGGCGCATGCCTGTAATCCCAGCTACTCAGGAGGCTGAGGCAGAAGAATCGCTTGAACCTGGGAGGTGGAGGCTGCAGTGAGCCGAGATCATGCCACTGCACTCCAGCCTGGGCAACGCAGCGAGGCCCCATCTCAAAAAAAAAAAAAAAGTTATAATAGAAACCACCCTCCTTTCTTCCTATCCCATGTACTACAAATTCAAATGATGCAAATCCACACCAGGGGTTCTCCAGCTTGAGCAGGCGTTAAGAATCACCTGGAAGCCTTGTGAAGCCACAGACTGCGGGACTCACCTCCAGAAATTCTGACTCAGTGAAGAATTAGGATTTGGAACTCTTCGAATTTACATTATAAACCAACTTTGTGTGAGAAAATTCAAATGAAGATAATACGTGTTTGGAGAAGAGCTTTCTAAATATTAATGCCATAAATCCTGCAACATACCAATGACCACTTAAATCAATTTACTTCTTAAAATATGTACCCTGTAGCTTTTAGTTCTGGGCCTTGATTTTTAATACATACACAAGCATTAAACTAGGAAAAAGAAAAGAAACACACACATTTTGTGATTAGGCCTACCTCATGCTATGGAATAACTTATTTATTAAGAAAACAAGAATTATGTAATAACTCTTGGGTTTTAAATTTGGAGAAATCTTAAAGTCAGATTACCATTCCACCAGAGTCAAGAATTTTACTTAAAATAAATTTATGTTCTGTAGGAGAACCAAAGAAATAGGATTTTGTATATACTTTGTATTCATCACTACAGGAGAAAAGCCACTCAAAACACTAAGTGACACATAAACCAGGACACGCTTTTCAGGCAACTAGAGGGATTATAAGCTTCAGTTCACTGAACTATTTTACTCACAAAACATGATTTGCATCAGATTCTTTTGAACCATAAATAGTAAATACAGCCGACCAAACGACTATGTTCCAATGTAACCTTTTGTCAAAATTTTCATTATGTCATGGGATTAGAGTAAAAAAAAAACAAAAAACAAAATTTCACTGACAGAGAAGAAGTGATGCAAGAAACGAAAGCATACACTGCAAGACCCTCTACTCTTCATAGACATCTTTTTTTTTTTTTTTTAAGACGGAGTCTCGCTCTGCTGCCCAGTCTGGAGTGCAGTGGTGTGATCCCAGCTCACTGCAACCTCAGCCTCCTGGGTTCAAGCAATTCTCGTGCCTCAGCCTCCCCAGTAGCTAGGATTACAGATGTACGCCACCACGCCCAGCTAATTTTTGTATTTTTAATAGAGATGGGGTTTCACTATGTTGGCCAGGCTGGTCTCAAACTCCTGACCTCAAGTGATCCGCCTGCCTCAGCTTCCCAAAGTGCTGGGATTACAAGTGTGAGCCACCGTGCCTGGCCGAGAAATCTATTTTTGAGGGCATGAGGATTTGATTCTCACCCTGGGAACACTGGCAGTTGCAGGGAAGGTGACAGAGAGAGGCAGAGAGACCAGTGGAGTGTCAGGACCCTACAGCGGCTGCCAGTGCACAGAGAGGAACCTCCACCAGGAGCAACTGCATGCAGCCAGCTAGAGTCAGCCAGGTGAGAAAGCAGGAAAGGTATTCCAGGCAAGTATGTGGTCAAGGCACCAAGATCATGACAAAAAATGGTATACCTAGGAAACAGCAAGAAATTCGACATAATTAGACTGTGCAGTGGGTGTGGAGGCCTCGCCATGGAGAGGAGGCTGCAGGACAGGCAGAAGGCCAATGACAAAGGATTCTGGGAGCCAAGCTTAAGCTGGGAACCTCATCTTAAAGATGAGGTACGTGGACTGGGCGAAGTGGCTCACGCCTGTAATCCCAGCTGAGGCTGAGGCAGGAGAGAGGCGGAGGCTGCAGTGAGCCGAGATGGCACCACTGCATTCTAGCCTGGGCAACAGAGCGAGATTCTGTCTCAAAAAAATTAAATAAATAAATAAATAAAGATGAGGTGCAGGCACTTCATCATTTGAAACTTGCAGGCAGCACAGTCAAGTTTACAATGTACCGATCTCTCTGGCAGCAGCCCCAAGGACGAGCAGAAGAGTGAGGGGTAGACTCAGGGTCCAGAGGCTGTTGTAAGGAGGAGTGGTCTGGGGCTAAGCCACCAAGGCTACAGAAGAGCAAAGTGAGCGCCCATCCAGGAGACATCTCTGCCAGCTCCCATCTGGGCACCAGCAAGACTGAGGGGTGAGGAAGGAAGGCTGCCAGGGATGCCTGGATTTCTGCTCTGAGGGTAAGGTACCTGCGGGGCCACACATCTAAAGCAGCAGCTCAGGGGAAAGGGAGAGCTTCTGAGTGGTGTTTTATTGGTTTGGTTTTTACTGGGGTGGGTGTGTGGGTGTGGGTGTGTGTTTGTTTCTGTTGGGGTGTGTGTTTTTTGCGCAGGCAAGAGGAGATGAACTCTGTTTCAGAGGCATTAAATCTGCCTGGGACAGTGAAATGGAGATGTCTGCCAGACACCTGGCTTGGAGTTTGGAAGCTCCTGGGGGGCATCTCGGGTGAAGACAAAGCTTTGAGATCTTTAGTTTATAAAGTGACAGGTGAAGCCACAGGTTTAAATGGGGCTGCCCAGGAAGTGCTGCCCAGTAAGAGAGCCAGATAGCTATGCCTAAAATAGCATTAACTGCTCATTAAAACACCTATTATTGCCAGAAAATGCAAAATATACAACTGGGGGTCCCCAAACAGCAAAATCAGAGGAAAAGGAACAAACAATCCATCCGCACCTTAATAAGGCAAGAAAGTGGAATAAAGAAAGTCCAGATCAGAAGGGGAAGGCCGGACCCCTAAAAGGAAAAGAAGTAAGGACGCAGCCATCTACTGAAATACACAAGACATTTACAAACTGGACGCTTATCAGTACCTCGGATATTCTACTGATACACATGGCAGTACAGATCACTGAAAAACAGGGCAGATGTCTGAATGGAAAATGGATCCAGTACATATAAAGATACACATAGCAATTATTTCATATATTGATACATAATTATAGAGACAGACTTTTCTTAAAAAAAAACCAAAAAAAAACAAAAAAAACCAGAAGGGGCCAGTAGAGTCCTCCCTCGGTATCTGGAGGGGACTGGTTCCAGGATGTCCCTCCAATCCCAAAACCTGTGGATGCCCCAGTCCCTGATATAAAAATGGAGTGGCATTTACATTTTATATTTAACCTACACACATCCTCTCATATACACAGACACACATCTTTTAGATACAGGGCCTCGCTCTGTTCACACAGGCCAGAGTGGCACTGCAGCCTCAAACTCCTAGGCTCAAACAATCCTGTCTCAAGTCTCCTGAGTAGCTGAGACTACGGGCATGCGCCACCACACCCAGCTAATTTTTTTTCAGTTTATCATAGAGACAGAGTCTCGCTAAGTTGCCCAGGCTAGTCTCAAACTACTGGCCTCAAGTGATTCTCCCGCCTTGGCCTCCCAAAGCACTGGGATTACAGATGTGAGCCACCACACCCAGCCCTCCCGTACACTTTAAATTCTCTCTACATTACTTATAATACCAAATACAATGTAAATGCTATGTAAATAGTTGTTGCATGCGTTTTATTTGTATTACAGTTTATTGTTGTATTATTTTTGTTGTTTTTCCTGAACATTTCTGATCCACGGTTGGTTGTATCTGTGGGTGCAGAACACAAGGATACAGAGGGCTGCTGTCCTCTTACATCAACTTGTACCATGCAAGAAAATTACAACGCAATATATGCTTCTTGTTACAACATGCAAAATAATTCCACTAGAACTATATAAAAGTGTCTGCTTCACTAGCGTACAGGTCAAAAATCAAGAGAGATGGATCAATTATAACATCTGCCAACCAAAATCCTCTCTACAGTGAACTTCTCTGGGGAAGCTTCCCCAGGCAGCCCAACAGCCCTATCCAGAGCTCTAATAAAAGAGACAACAGAAGAGGGCAAGGACTGACTGCCCAGCACAACTGGACACCTCAGACCACAAACACCACCCACCTCCTCAGCCCCAGGCCAGACTCCTGCCAAGTGCCTGCTGCATGCACTACATAGAAACGCTGCCAATAAATTAATCCCTCTCACCTGCTTTCAGTACAAAATGAGGACCCATTCAGTGTTAAAAAGTAACTACAAAAATAAATAAATAAGGAGTAACCATAAATAGAATGGCCTAGTTTAATTTGGGAAAAAAATATTTTGCATCTTATTTGCAACTCAAAATTATATAGAACAATCCTAGGAAGAAAAGGGGAGCAGCTGGTTTTAACTATTAGTTTCCATCTCTGCCAGCAAATGTTTAAACAGAACTGCTAGCCAGGCTCAGTGGTTCACGCCTGTAATCCCAGCACTTTGGGAGGCCAAGGAGGGTGGATCACTTGAGGTCAGGAGTTTGAGACCAGCCTGGCCAACGTGGTGAAACCCCATCTGTACTAAAAATACAAAAATTAGCCGGGCGTGGTGGCGCATGCCTGTAGTCCCGGCTACTCAGAGGCTGAGGCAGGAGAATCGCTGGAACCCGGGAGGCGGAGGTTGCAGTGAGCCAAGATTGCGCCACTGCACTCCAGCCTGGGTGACGAGTGAAACTCTGCCTCAAAAAAATAATAATAATAAATAAATAAAGAGAACTGCTAAAGGGTGGCTGCATTGATTGAATTTAGGTCCACACCTTCTCCTTACAGCCTATTTGCTGTAAGGAACAATTAAATCAGCAAAAGGTTAAGGTAACTGAACAGGACAAATGACCCAGTTTCTCTAACAAATCAATGGCATGAAAGGAAACAAAAGGAAAGGGAGAATGTTAGAGAATAAAGGAGACCCAAGAAACATAATAACCAAATACAAATGGCTTTATTTGAAGCAGGATCCAAGCAACTTATGAAAGACATTTTTTAGACAAGTGAGAAAACATGAACGTGAACTGTGTATTAGATGATCATCAGGCATCACTAGTACTTTTGTTAGGTGGGATAACAACATGGCGGCTGTGTTTAAAAAGGAGAAAGGCTCTCTGCACAGTGGCCCCATCATAGTCAGTGAGGTTTACCCGAGACGTGATTATTGCTCATTGAAAACTTCCCAATACCACAAGATAACTTGCAATAGAGCTGGCACCGGCCATTTCCATTTTTTTTTTTTTTTTTTTGAGACGGAGTCTCGCTCTGTCACCCAGGCTGGAGTGCAGTGGCATGACCTCGGCTCTCTACAACCTCTGCCTCCTGGGTTCAAGCGATTCTCCTGCCTCAGCCTCCTAAGTAGCTGGGATTACAGCTGCCTGCCACCACGCCCGGCTGATTTTTGTATTTTTAGTAGAAACAAGGTTTCACCATGTTGGCTAGGCTGGTCTCAAACTCCTGACCTCAAATGATCCACCCGCCTCAGCCTCCCAAAGGGCTGGGATTACAGGCATGAGCCACCGTGCCCAGCCAGCACTGACCATTTCTGACAGTCTCTATGGAGACTGAATATTTTGGTTTAAAAAAAAGTCTGCCTTAGTAATCTTAAGCAACAGGAATATAATTTCAAATTTAAAAAAAGAAAAATTAGCTGGCATGGTGGTGTGAGCCTGTAGTCCCAGCTACTCAGCAGGCTGAGGCAGGGCTCCTTGAGCCCAGGAGTTCGAGGCTGCAGTGAGCTATAATCGTGCCACTACACTCCAGCCTAGGTGACAAAGCAAAACCCTATCTCAAAAAAATAAAAATAATATAAGCAAAAGGTTAGAGATGTACACTGAAGTATTTGTCAACAAATTAACAAGATACCTGAAATCTGCTTTAATACACCAGGAAAGAAAAAAGTGGGTACAACTGATAAAAATATTGGCAAGAGTTTGTTTTGTTTTTTAGAGACAGGGTCTTACCACGTTGCCCAGGCTGGTCTCAAACTCCTGGCCTCAAGCCATCCTCCCCACTTGGCCTCCCAAAGTGCTGGGATTACGGGCATAAGCCACTGTGTCAGGCCCGGCAAGATGCTGGTAACATTGAAACTGGGTGATGGGTAAATGGCATTTATTATATGATTCTCTCTACCTGTGTATGCTTGAAATTTTCCATAAAACAAGGTTTTGGGGTTTGTTTGTTTTTATAAAAACCAGGTAAATCAGAGAGGCGAGAAGCTGAATCTGATACATCTTATTTCTGCTTGAAATATTTTCCTACTGCACCACAACTGCCTTCACTCTAGCGCATTAAAGACACTTGGATACAGCTCAGGAAAAGCATGGGGAAAAACCAACTGGAATGCATAATGCTGAGACGGAACACAAGGGAGAAGGTCTGGCTCTGTACAAAGGAGCACGTGATGAAAGCTCACTCTAATTGTCCATTTTCAAAACCAACTAAATCTGACTAATTACACCACCCCAGCTTTGATGAAATGCAATAGGACTCACGCGATGGCATTCACAACTTTACAAACGAGGGCAGCACAGTCTCCCACTGATTGACCAGGTCCTTTTATATGTCATAGGAGAAAATGGAACATTTCCCTCCACTTCCAGACTTGAACAAAGTTGGGTTTTAAGTCACCTACCCCAAAAAGTAGATTGCTTATTCGTTTGGGTAAAAACAAATTCTACTGCACATTAGGCTGCTGGAAGATCTAAGAATACCTTGATGAATGAAAAGATGTATTTCAATATCACACCTAACCATCAGAAACTAAAAAAACCAGAATCAGAAATACAAAAAGGCCCAAGGATGAAATCCAGGATGAGAGAAAGAAGACATGCTCTGAGAAGATGAACGATGGACTGAAAATATTTCCTGTAACTAAAACAATGCTGAAAATCTGACGTGCACAGGACCTCAGTCAGAGGAAGAAAAAGTTAGAGAAAAGGGGACAGGCAGCTCAGAGAATATTCAGGCAAGGTACGGGTGGGCGGATGGATGGTTTCTGAACGCAGCTAGCTGCCACAAAGATGGAGAAAGGGCAAAGCAGGACCTGTGCCCCCTGCCCAACCAACCAGAGGAACGACATGGGCACAGCTGCCCAACATGGGCACAGCTGCCCGTCAGAAAGTGTTCTCCCTCGGGCATTTCGCACTCCACGGAGGCCCTGATTAAGGAAGAGCAGTGTCTCCTCACCCTGAAGTAAGATATATGAGTCGCGAGTCCATCCTGGGATCCCTCACGTCTCCCTGTTTTGTATATGAAATTGGAATGGATGAAAGAGCTTCAATATAAATGCCTATTTGATCTAACAGAGATGCACATTCATAGTCATTTACTCACTTATAAACTGATTCAGTTCCCCTGGTATTTGGAGGTGAGAAGGGGCAGGGTATCTGGAAGGGAGAGGGGGAGACTGTGGCATCACCAGGTCGCCCTTGCCTACCCTCACCCCTGCTGTCTGTTTCACTCCAGCACCTCCTCACAGCAGTCTTACACTAGTCACTGGCCTAGCAGGTTACAAAGCTGGTCTGTGGCAGGCACAGGTTTGTACCTGGCCTCAAAGCAAATCTCTTTCTCTTCCTTCCTCCGGTCTTAATGGGAAGACATGAGACACCTGAGAGGAAAGGGGGAAAAAACCCCAAATGCCAGAGTACAAAACAAAATAAAGCAAGAGGAGCAGGAGAGCGAAACAAATTCTTTTGTACTCGGGCCATTTAATCGACAACTGTGGTTACTCTGAGAGCACTGCCTGTGGGTCAGCCCTGCTCCGCAAGGAGCAGTATTTAAAAACAAAAACAAAAACAAAACCTATACACTGGTAAGCAGGTTTTTTGGTTATTCAACCTGGAAAAGCACACCACTTAAACTGCCAGGAGAGTGTTTACCAACAAGGTTTTGCAACGTTTACGAAAATTAAAAAAAAAAAAAAAAAACACAAATCAGCCAACTTTATCACAAAAGGGCTTTGCTCCCAGGTGACCCACTGGTTAACTGAAAGACCATAGCATGTTACTTCTGTTCCATGTAGAAAACATAAATCTCTTGTCTGAAAACAGAATTAGAGATGCATTTTATTTCCTTATTTATTTTTGAAACAGGGTCTTGCTCTGTAACCCAGGCTGGAGTACAGTGGTGTGATCATAGCTCACTGCAGCCTTGAACTCCTGGGCTCAAAGGATCCTCTCTCTTCAGCCTCCTGAGAAGCTAGGACTATAGGCACACACCACCATGACCATTTATTTTAATTTTATTTTTTTATAGAGACAGGATCTTGCTATGTTGCCCAAGTTGGTCTCGAACTCCTGGAACCTCAAGAAATCCTCCCAACTCACCCTCCCAAGTTCTCAAGTAACTGCACTACAGACAGGCGCCATCATGCCCTGGAGATACAGTTTGGATCTGAATTTCCACCATTCACCAAGTCCTCATCCTCACAGTTCGTGTGAACAAGTCACACACATCTGCATGCCCACAGACTATGTCCTTAGCACCCGCGCTTGGGAGAACAAGACAAATAACTGTCAAGGTCACTGCCCTGGAAGGACACACAAAATAGTATGAGAGCAACACTCAAGAGGCTTTGTGAATAAAGAAACTCCCATTGCAAGTGAAAGTACCTAACACCAACTCCAACATTAAGAATGTGTCCCGGGGAAGGGAGAGAAACATGAATGGCATCTTCAGAGGCATCGGGGACGTGTGGAAGGACAAGATGGGTAAGATCTGGAGAGACAGATGGGGAATGGCAAACATCTGAGGCAAAGAAGTCTGAAAAGAAAAAAGAAAAGAGGGGGCAGGAAACAGCACTGTGTGTCCGGGCCAACGGGAACAAGACAGAAACAAATGTTCAAGTTCAAGCTGGGAAGTGTGCATAATTATGAAATAAGGTTAAACGGACCAGGCAGAACACAGCCACAAATGGCCTTGCCGAAAAAAGCACAGGAGCTGAGACGTGCGAGGACGGATAACAGGAAAGCCTTCAACACAGGACACACACAATGGAAAGTGTGTGGCAGGGGAGCACAAAGTGACCTAAGGGATGAAAGATGTGAGTGCGCAAAGGAACAAGGGACCCCTGGTCTTTCCCTGCAAAGGGAGGGGCTTACGCTGCAACGATGGCAGTGCTGGGACAGACAGGGACAGAACCAGGTGCCTTGGTTCCTGAAGGCACAGTCTAAAGGGTGTGTCTGCTGAAGGGACAGAGACACTGAAGGGGTTCCTGGAGAAAGCCAGCACTCCTAGGGCACAGTGAAACTGGGATGAGGGCGAGGAAAGGAGAGAGCAAAGAATGAGGTGACCACATCTGCTGTGTAATGGAAATAAGCCCAGACAGAAACGGCACTGGACAGGGTGGCAACTCCTGGGATGCACAGGAGCTAATGGAGCCTCTTCTATCGTGTGTTCCCACTGGTCACAATGAGGACAGCTGTCCTCAGCAGAAGAAAGACCAGAGTCCAAGCCACTATCTCGCCTGCGGCTGTCACCACAAAAATCGGGTTCAGAAGGTGGCCTCTCATGTTCTTCCCTCTCTCCCACAACTCTCCTTAAGGGCTCCTGACCTTGACCTCTCCCACCCTGCCCTCCTACACTAGGTGGCCTCCCGCCTCCTTCATTTTCCCTTTGAAGCCTTTATTAAGGAACCATTAACATGCAGGGGGAGGGGGAGATGCACTTGACAATGTTTAACTTTTAAAGTTTGTGCTTTATCTTAGAAATTTCAAAAAGAAACACTTCAACTCAAGCACCCTAGAATTATACATCCCATTCTAAGTTCCTAATCTGTGGGATCATATCACTATGCTCCCGTGAGATCTTAAACCCTTTAAGGCACAATCAATCAGTGTCCTTCACTGATTAATTTCTCCTCCCCGCAAGCCAGGAAGAGCAGCCCTTTGGTTAAAACTGATCAAACTGTACACCTGACATGTGACCACTTCATTGTATGTAAATTATAACTCAATTTAAAAAATGAGTCCCCCACACCTTTGTCAAAACACAGGACATCTGCAACCATCCCCCCAGAAGGTTCCCTGGTGCGCCTTCCTTGTCAGGTGTGAGGCTTTCGTTTGTGTGTGGCCAAGAAGTTTTGATTTCTCTTTCATAAAATGTTTCAGGTACACATCCCTGGGTAGAAGGAAGAAGCATAGTATGAGAAAAGAACACTAAACTCGAGAATCAGATCTCGGCACTACCTGTGTAAGTTTCACCACCTCGGAGTCTCAGATTCCCCGCCCTCCAAGGGAGGGTTGAGCTAGGTGATTGCTCCAACTCGCTGAAAGCTCTGACATTCTGTTTCTGGGCTGATATCTAACAAAACAACACCATGCAAATGCCTACTGAAAAACCTCCACTTCAATTTTGCTTATGTAAATACCACTCAAGCGAGTTAATGAGAACTTTAACATGTTTTTTTTTTAATGGTACTGACCTCAAAACAAATGGTAAATTTTCATTAAATCAAGTGAGATGCAATTAACATATCTGACCTGACTGTGTACCTATTTATACTAGGCACTTTTTACCTGAACAATTTTCCGGCAATACTAAATTACAAGTAAACTCTTGGTTAAAACAAACAAACAAAGGCATTAAGTTGAGTGAGGCGTTTTCTCCCACTCTCTCACCTCACAGGACTCACATAAACCAGGACTCGACCCACCTCCCGTGACTGCGTGCCGGGCACTGCCGGCCACTCCTGCCGCCACCGTGCGTTCTAGTGAGGCACATTCGCTTTCTGACGTGCTCACAAGTCCGCCGGCGGAAGCTACGGTTCCGTTCTCACCTTAACTGCATATATACCTCTTTCCTCACTCTGAATGCTGAACTGAAAAGGGCATTTTCAGGTTAACTCATTTTACTGTTAGTTTTCCTCAATGACAAAAAAAATTAAGCAAATACTGAGGATTTTATACCATAAAACTACAGTAAGAAATGGGGGCAAAGGACACCACACAAACATCACTCACAGTCTACTTTTGGAAGGAAAAAGGTAACATATTTCATTTTCGGATTTAAAAATGTTTTCTTTATACTACAGGGTGGAAGAATATACGTGCGTGTGTGTGCGTCTGTGTGTTTGTTTGTTTGTTTTTCTAACAATTCAAAAGAAAATTTCCTGAAGCTGGTGAGGCAAAAAAAAAAGTTTCTAACTAGTAAGTTTTAAATCATAAAAAAAAGAAAAAAAAGGAGAAGAAAGAAAGAAAAAGAAGGGAAATTAACCACTACCTCAGAACAATAGTTTTAAAATGGTTTAATTGTAAAAACTTGGTGGCAGCTCAGAATTTGAATTTCGAGTTCTTCTGTAAAGTCCTGCATGAACTGGCAAGGTAAACGTCACAATTTTGAAAATAGTGAAGTAAGGGAAATAAGGAAGTCTGAACGTTAAACAATCCAAACACCTCCTCTTTTATTAAATCTAACGTTTGGCAAAGAAACCAGCCTTTGCCTCAAACTATCAGGGTTGCATGAACTTTTTAAGCCACACTCAAGTGTTTTGGAGAACATCCCCCACCCTGCCCAACTCTCTGCCCTGTGTCCACCCCGGGCCGTGGGCAGCCACTCTACTTTACCTGGCGATGCCCACTGCCTACCACCCCCACTGCCTCCTCCCCAGCTCCACCAGCCCAGCTCACTGAACAAGGGTCAGGCCTCCCACCTAAGGCAAACAATCCACAGGCTAGCCAATATCCTCAAACCCAGGACCAGGGCAGGGGTCGGGGTGGGGAATGAACTAGATCAAGTTTCTCTCAAGGATGTGAACTATGAAATGTGACAGGAATTGGTCACTTAGAAACTGAAAGAATGCAACAAGAAATGCCACAGAGTTGAACTGGGGCCAGAGGGCTTTCAGACAGCTAAGCACGTCCTCGAGCTGAAGCCACATGGAAAACTAGGAGTGAGCAAAGCAGCCAGCTGGTGGCGGGGTAGAAGGCTCCAGCACATGGAGCCAGGCACAGTCCCACAGGGCAAAATCCTAGAGAAAAACTGTGGCTGAGGCCCCCAGAGCAGCCAGGAACCTCCCTCCACTACCAGGCTCTGGAGCTCAGCCCATCCCAGCTCGAATTCCCGGATTCCTGTGTGATTCCTATCACACTATACATGTTCCCACTCACCAAACTCCTTCCCAAGCTGGCTGGAGTGGGTCTTTGCCTCATACAACCAAAAGCCAAAACAGCACAGATAACATGCAAATGGCAAACATGGTAAGTCAACAACATAAAATACTGTTAACAGCCCTAGCTACACATATTTAAGATGTGTAACTACATCTTAACACACGTAACTTCTTAACACACAGACATCTTAACACACAGAGCTTCTTACCCACACACACAAACCAAAACCTCACACCTGAAAGGGAAGGCGCACCACAGAACCTTCACCAGGGGGATGGATTCAAATGTCCTGTGTTTTCACAAAGGTGTGAGGGATTCTTTTGTTAAAACTAATCAAACTGTACACCTGACACGTGACCATTTCACTGTATGTAAATTATATCTCAAGTACAGTGGCTCACACCTGTAATCCCAGCACTTTGGAAGGCCAAGGCAGGAGGATCACCTGAGGGCAGAAGTTCAAGACCAGCCTGGCCAACATGGAGAAACCCCATCTCTACTAAAAAACAAAACAAAACAAATATATATGTGTATATATACACACACACACACACACACACACACACACACACACATACATACACACACACACACACAAATTAGCCAGGTGCGGGGGCAGGCACCTGTAATCGCAGCTATTCGGGAGGCTGATGCAGAATCGCTTGAACTCAGGAGGCAGAGGCTGCAGTAAGCCAAGATCGCGTCACTGCACTCCAGCCTGGACGAGAGCAAAACTCCGTCTCAAAAAATAAAAATAAAAATAGACCAGGAGAGGTGGCTCACGCCTGTAATCCCAGCACTCTGGGAGACCAAGGCGGGTGGATCACCTGAGGTCAGGAGTTCGAGACCAGCCTGGCCAACATAGAGAAACCCCATCTCTACTAAAAATACAAAAATTAGCGGGCATGGTAGTGCAGGTCTGTAATCCCAGCTATTTGGGAGGCTGAGGCAGAAGAATCGCTTGAACCCAGGAGATGGAGGTTGCAGTGAGCTGAGATCGCGCCACTACAATCCAGCCTGAGTGACAGAGTGAGACGCTGTCTCAAAAAAATAAATAAAATAAATTTTAAAACAAACCCTGTCATGTAAATTCTTCCCGTAAGAGGACTTCTTGTTTTTCAAAACTATTGATCTATATAAATCCCACAAACATACGCTGAGCAGAAGCAGCCAGCTGCTAAAACACCTGCGTTTCTATTTATAGAAGGAACAGAAACAGGTAACAGTCCTCTGTGTATTAGGAGTCAAAACAGTGGCTCACTTGAACCAGGGGAGACTTCTTCCTGGGTTGCCATGTTCTGGTTCCTGACCTTGGTGCCAGTATCCCAGGTGTGCTGAGTGTGACACACGTTTTCATCAGGTGTGTGCTCATGAAAGACACATTCTCCTGTCTGTATTATATTTTCTGGTATGTATGTTATATCTTAATAATAACACAAAAGAGAAAGGAAAAGAAGAAATACCCTACGGTAATCTAAAAATGACTGGAAAAGGTTTGCTTTGCATCTAGTAAAATGCTTATTTTCAGCCAAATTCTTCAGGTAAATAACGGAAAAACTCATTCAACAGAGTCATTTGAATCGTGAGTAAAACTCCATCGCACAGTGCTCAGTTCTAACACCACCTAAAGTGAATTCACCCATAGGCAGAGCACTCTTCCACACGAGCAGCAAAGACCACACTCCATGTCCCTTTGCTACTCTAACGAAGGAAAAAAAGAGCACAACCCCGAGGAAGAAGTGCTTAGAATCCCACTTCTGTGTGTTCAAAGGGAGAATTAACTTCAATTCATACATTACCCTGAGGTGCATTTTTTTTAATAAGCAGATTTTTATTTTCAGAGGCTTGTATTTTAAAAACATTTTACACACTCTAGATACGGTTCATAAGCATAAAAACAGAGTAAGTTCAAGTGATGCCATGGAGACGAACAATAAATCTATAGATCATCAAATTCTAACACTGTACTTTATAAATAAGAAGCCAAAGAGTAAATTGAAATGTCAAGTACTTACAGCCATAATTAATTCAAAGGGGTATTTGTACACCCTCACTGGGGACTGGTATTTCTGCACCATGATTGCAATACAACAGCAACCCTCTCACACCTGCAAAACATAAATATATGTGATAAGTAACCACAATGCAGAAACAAATTATTAGTAAGTCTGCACTGACACATCATACCACACTCTAACGACAGAAAGAGACCACAATAGGTCATAATTCTATGCACACAAAAATGAAAAGATGATATTTAAATACATGAGGGCAGGGGGAGGTAATTAAACAATAAGAAAAAGCAGACAAAGCCCCAATGCAATGAGGCAAACAGTACTGGTGTGAGAGGGGTCCAATCCTCTCATTGGCTTACTGGGACTCTGCATTCATTACATGACCTGACCTGAGTCCTTTCCAGCAATGAACTGTTATGATTCTATTATTCTAATAACCAATATAATTAATGCTTGGATCATTTTCTCTTAAACAACTTCTACTAGAAGCCAAATAAAAATGATCTCGTGTTAAGATATTAGCTCTGGGAAAACAAAAATAAAACTGGAAAAAAATACTACTGTATCTCAAACTATGGAATACTCCTCAAAAGCTAGCTTCAAAGGAAACGTGTCAATTCCTATTTTCTAACTGTGTACACTACAGCTTTGGCGACCTGTCTTCGAGTGGCAGAGATGCCAAGTATTCTGGCTAAACAGGCTCCACTGAAATCTCTAGCCTCAGATAGCTAATATCCGTAAGTAATCGGTTAAATGTTCACACCTAATTCACAGTCAAGGAGCCCTCCTTATGGGTGCATAATCATTCTCTAGCGCCAGCCTACACGGATTGCTCTAAAAACACACCTGGACTTGCCAGTCCTCTGTCTCCCCTATTTAAAGTGAGAAAGAAAAATCGAATGAGCCTACCTGTCTTGTTGAGGATAATCATTAAGAATGGTACTTTATGCTGAACATGGTGAGAGGATATTCAAACATACAAAACTGAATATCCTCAAGGAGCCCGAAGTCTAGCTGTTAAAAAAAAAAGAGAGAGACAAATTACCAAGATGTATTTTATTTCAGAAACTTCCAAGATTCCTTTTTTTTTTTTTTTTTTTTTGAGACAGGGTGTCTCTCTGTTGCCCAAGGTGGAACACAGTGGCACAATCTCCACTCACTGCAGCCTCCACCTTCTAAGCTCAAGTGATCCTCCTGCCTCAGCCTCCCAAGTAGCTGGGACCACAGGCACGCACCACCATATATATTTTTTGTAGAAGGTTTCCCCATGTTGCCCAGGCTGGTCTCAAACTCCTGGGCTCAAGGGATCTGCCCACTTCAGCCTCCCAAAGTGCTAGGATTATAGTCATGAGTCACGGCGCCTGGTATAGAATTCCCATCTATAGTACTAAGGTTTAAACAGGTTTGGAACTTTCTCTGGTATGTCTGGCATACCTCTCAGAGGAGAGGTCATGGTGGAAAACATCGCCATCTGACAGTGTGAAAACGGCTAAGGAATGACTCTGGGTGACCACGAGTAAGCCATTTGACTTCCCTAGGACTCAGTTTCATCTCTGTAAAATGAGGTTTTCGGGGAGATGATCTTGAAAGACTTCCACCTCTAAAACCATGAGAATGAGAGCCAAACTCCCAAGTTCTCCAAACTCAACTTGAAGCTTTTCTAATATTCATCTTGATTATGCGACTGACACATCCTGATGTGCTGGGACCACGTTCTTTTTCTTTTGCAAACCTTACAGTGTTGGTGCACAGTGGGAATCCAATCATCTTTTAAAAATTTAATTGGGAATATTAATTTTAGGGTACTCTCCCAGATATGAGGACGATAACCGGGTACAAACAAGAGTTGGGGGAAGAAGCAAAAAAGCGTAATGCTCGTTTAAGAAACGGTAACATCCATTCAGGATTCCACCGCCTGGCAGAACTGGCTACACTCACTTAAGAACCTGCTAATTCACGAGCTTGTGAACCACAGCCAGGTCTCAGCTGCCGATGCTCTGGTCCAGATAAACGCCCTACGCGGGCATCCGGAGTGACAACGACCAAGTGGCATCCAGGAGCCGGACGGCCTCCATTGCATGACAATCGCTGTTTAAACAGGAGCCAAAGGCCAGACCCACTGAACGCATCCCGAGCAGGCTCGAGGGGCGGCCGGCGCCCGGGGCTGCTCAGCAGGGGTCCCGCGCGGCTGAGCCCCACGGGGCCAAAGCCCCGACCGACGGGAGAGAGGGGCGGGCACTGGCTCCGGACCCGAAACTCCGCTCTCAGCAAAAAGCGGCTCCCGGGAACTGGAAGCCTGGCGAGGTGGGGGTGGGGGCGGGGGAGGGGGGCGAGGGGCGGCGAGGGGCGAGCAGGGGGGCGGAGGGCGAGCAGGGGGGCGGGGGCACGGCCCGTTTCGGGTGCCGGGCCGATGGCAGCCGGGGCTGGGGAGGGACAGGCTCAGCAAGCGGGCGGCCGGGAGTTCCGGGGGGCCCGCCCGAGAGGCGCCGGACTCCACGGAGACCGGGACCGGGGCGAGGGCGCACTCGGACCCGCCGCGACGACGCGCCTACCTCTTGTCAGAAAGGCCGGGCCTGGGACACGGGGTGGCGAGGGGCGCTCATACCGGCGGCTCCGCGGGGCAGTCTCGGTTCCACTGCTCCGCGACCGTAGCTCGACCGCCGGTTCCGGGGAGGGGGCCGGGGAGGCGGGAGGGGGAAGGGGCGCGGCGACGGCACTTGTGGTTGTTACGGGTGACGGGGTGGGCGGGGCCGGGCGCCGGGAGGGGCGCGCGTGCGCGGCCGCGGCCGAGGGAGCGGGGGCGGGAGCGGGCGATGGTTGCTAAGAAAGGGGAGGGGGGAGGACACCCGGGGCCCGAACTGCGCAGGCGCGAGCTCCGACCCGCGAGCGTGGGAGGAGCTCGGAGAAGGCGCCGGCCCCGTCGCACTGCTGGATGTGCCCGAGGTCCTCGTGGCCCCTCCCAGTTTTGCGTCACTTGTTGGGGGCGGGGCCGGGCTGGGCTTCGCGAGTAGCGGGCGGAGGCGGAGTGAAGCCCCAAGGGGCTGCCGGCGTGCAGGGGAGGGGTTCGGCTGAGCGGGAAAAGGGAAGTTTGCGGGAGGTCAAAACCACCGGGGCCCTCCCGTATGGCTGCTGCTCTGAGGCCTGCCTCTGGTCGCCCTGGCGGCTGCCCCCGTGCTTCCTCATTTCTTGTTGACTGTTCAGGAGCACCAGGCTGCTCGCGCCAGTGCCCCGACCGCATTCTCGCCGAGTAATGGGGAGGAGGCGGACGCCGGTGCTGCGCGGCCCAGGGCTCGGGAGGGCCCGGGTGAGCCCGGGTGGAGCCCAGCGGCATCCTTGTCAACACATCCAGACGGCTCTAGTGTCGGGCCGCGGGCTTGAAACTGAGACGCGCGCCCAGGGCCTGCCCCTCGGAAACGAGGGTGCCAAGGTGGGGCTGCTAAGTAGCTCCCGAATTTCAGCAGGAGAGCACCGTCCAGCCCCAATTTTCAATCCGGTACCACTGAGACATTTTGGGGTCCTTAAGAGGAGCTCATGACTAGAAAGGGGCACCTCGCATGCCCACCCACACAGCAAAGCTGGTTTTATAACCAACATGCAATTTCACTGTCAAAGTCACTGTTGTTCCGTTCACATTAGTCACCCTGAGTGGCTGTACATTTCATGCTGCCATTGGACAGAACGTTTTTGGACCTGTTTAGGAATTTCCATCAAAGCCAGTTTACCAGACACACAAGCAAATCATTCATGGCCTCATCACCCCTTGTGTTCCACGTCAAACCATCATCTTCCAGCTGGGTCACCTACATTATTCACTACATTCAGTCTGACTGGCTTTTGCTTGTTTGTAGAAATCACATCCACCGGCCGGGCGCGGTGGCTCACGCCTGTAATCTCAGCACTTTGGGAGGCCGAGGTGGGCGGATCACGAGGTCAGGAGATCGAGACCATCCTGGCTAACACGGTGAAATCCCTGTCTCTACTAAAAATACAACAGATTAGCCGGGCGTGGTGGCGGGCGCCTGTAGTCCCAGCTACTTGGGAGTCTGAGGCAGGAGAATGGCGTGAACCCTGGAGGCAGAGCTTGCAGTGAGCCGAGATCGCGCCACTGCACCCCAGCCTGGTCGACAGAGCGAGACTCCGTCCCAAAAAAAAAAAAAAAAATCACATCCACCTTCAAAAGACGCTTTAACGCCGTTGCGGTGGCTCACGCCTGTAATCCCAACAGTCTGGGAGACCTAGGTGGGTGGATCACCTGAGGTCAGGAGTTTGAGACCATCCTGGTCAACACGGTGAGACCTCGTCTCCACTAAAAATACAAAAAGTAGCCGGGTGTGGTGCCAGATGCCTGTAATCCCAGCTACTTGGGAGGCTGAGGCAGGAGAATCACTTGAACCTGGGCAGAGGTTGCAGTGAGGCAAGATCACGCCACCTGCCCTGCACTCCAGCCTGGGCTGGACTCCAGCAAGACTCCGTGTCAAAAAAAAAAAAAAAAAAAAAAATTCACCTGACCTGCTGAACTTCTAGATGCAACCACCAGTTTACAGGAAATACAGAATAGAGGAACATGCTAAATGACACCATGAAAAACAATTGGCAAAGTACAGACTGTGGGAAACGGTACAAGACAAATATATTCTTTATCAAATTCCAAAGGAAAAAAAGAGGGGAATGGTCAATCTATAGATTAAAAGAGATTGGGAAATTTGTTGAGCCATACATTCATTTATGATTTGCAAGCTTTTATATGTATATTATACTTCAGTTAAACATTTTGAAGAAAAAACAGACTTGAGACATCAACCAATCACAAAAAACTTTATTTCCATTTTTTTTTTCTTGAAACAGTCTCACTCTGTTCCCCAGGCTTGAGGGCAGTGGCATAATCATAGCCGTCTGCAGCATCATCACCTGGCCTCAAGTGAACCTCCCACCTCAGCCTTCTGAGTAGCTGTGACTACAGGCATGTGCCACCACGCCTGGCTACTTTTTGCTATTTTTTTCCTTAGGTTTTTTTTGTTTTTTTGTTTGTTTGTTTGTTTTGAGATGGAGTCTTACTCTGTTGCCCAGGCTGGAGTGCAGTGGCACGATCTTGGCTCACTGCAACCTCCACCTCCTGGGTTCAAGTGATTCTCCTGCCCTCCTGCCTCAGCCTCCCGAGTAGCTGGGATTACAGGCGAGTGCCCAGCTAATTTTTTTATTTTTAGTAGAGACGGGCTTTCACCATGTTGGTCAGGCCGGTCTCAAACTCCTGACCTTGTGATCTGCCTGCCTCAGCCTCCCAGAGTGGTGGTATTACAGGAGTGAACCACAGCACCCTGCCCACCAACCTCCTACTTGCCTGGGGACTAGATTGCCTTTGTAGGACTAACATTAGCCACAAATTAGAAATTATGGTTTAGGAGTCATGCAGCTGGAGGCTACAAGATTCTGACCCTCCCTAAACTGCTCCTAAGATCAGTGCTTGAGACATTTTGCAGATCCTCCCCTTGATGGCTCAGCTGGCACCACCCAGATCAACAAACAGGCTCATCTGATCTTGTGGCCCCCGCCCAGGAACTGACTCAGCACAAGAAGACAGCTCCGACTCCCTATGATTTCCTCCCTGACCAATCAGCACTCCTGGCTCACTGGCCTCCCCCGACCCACCAAGTTGTCTTTAAAAACTCTGCTCCCTGAATGTTCAGGGAGACTGATTTGAGTAATAATAAAACTCCAATCTCCTGCACAGCCAGCTCTGTGTGAATGACTCTATTGCAATCCTCCTGTCCTGATGAATCAGCTCTCTCTAGGCAGCAGGGAAGGTGAACCCCTTGGGTGGTTATACTGTTATCCAGAGAAGGGGGTTATATGTAAAGATAAGCAATCTTTTGTTACAATAAATGCTTTTTCAGGAATTTGTTGAGGCAAACAGTGAAAGCACGTATTGGTTTACAGTCTAATATTCCTGAACAAGAATCTCCTGGATCAAATAGTAAGTCATGTTGACACAGAGATCTTAGGTCTCAGTCCTGATGGCTAAGCTGTGTGGATGCAGGTGGTCTTATTCCTCATGATCAGGAATGTAGGCCCTGAGATAGTCTGAACTCAAATCTCATGTTGAATTGTAATCCACAGTGTTGGAGGTCTGGCCTGGTGGGAGGCGTTTGGGTCATCAGATCCCTCATGAATGGCTTGGGCCATCCCCTTGGCCATAAGTGAGCTCTCTCTAAGTTCACATGAGATCTTCTCACTTAAAAATGGGTGGCACCTCCCCCTACTCTCTGGAGCTTCTGCCTGCTTTCACCATGTGACCTGCCTGTTCCCCCTTCTCTCCTTCCACCAAGACTAAAAGCTCCCTGAGGCTTCACCAGAAGCTAAGCAGATGCCAGCGCCATGCTTCCTGAACAGCCTGTGGAACCTCTTAAGCACTATTTGAACATATAATGATACTAAGAAATTACTGCTTTCTTGTGGCTGAGCGTGGTGGCTCACGCTTGTAATCCCAGCACTTTGGGAGGCCAAGGCAGGTGGATCCCCTGAGGTTGGGAGTTTAAGACCAACCTGACCAATATGGAGAAACCCCGTCTCTACTAAAAATACAAAATTAACCAGGCATGGTGGCACATGCCTATAATCCCAGCTACTCTGGAGGCTGAGGCAGGAGAATTGCTTGAACCTGGGAGGCAGAGGTTGCGGTGAGCCGAGACCGCACCATTGCACTCCAGCCTGGGCAACAAGAGCGAAACTCTGTCTCAAAAAAAAAAAAAAAGAAAGAAAAAGAAATTATTGCTTTCTCTTAAGAATGCCAATTAAACTTTTTTTCTTTATAAATTACCCAGTCTCAAGTATTTCTTTATAGCAATTCGAGAATGGCCTAACACGGGCCCCTTCTGTGTTGCTACTTTGCCATTACCACAGTGTGTCTTCCCCCTCCAGCCAGCAAGTCGGAGGAAAGGGTGAAGAAGAGCAAACCTGCTCCCCGAACGACGCTTCCTTGGAAATGATATGCATGTACAAACACGTGCACACACATGCGTGCACACCCATAAGCAAACATACATACTTCCCATTGGCCAGAACTTAATCACATGGGCACACCCAAGAGCAAAGAAGGCTGGGAAATGTAGCCTGTGCCAAGTGACCACACACCCAGCTACAAACGGTGAGTTCTGTTGCTAAGAAAGAAGCAAAGGATGTATAATATTGGTGGCGACTAACAATCTCTCTCATCAAGGATACAATCAAACTATTAAAATGTAGTGGTAATGTGTGTTTGAAAAATTTCAAAAGAAAGAAGGAGGAAGGAAAGAGAAAGAAAGAAAAAAGAAAGAGAAAGGAAGGAAGGGAGGGAAGGGGAGAGGGAGGGCAGGGCAGGGTGAGGATGAGAGAAAGAAAGGAAGAGAGAGAGAAAAAGAGAGAAAGAAAGAAAGGAAAGAGGAAGGAAGGAAAGAGAAAAGAAAGAAAAGAAAAAGAAAGAAAGCAAAAGAGAAAGAAAGAAAGAGAAGGGGCCAGGCGCAGTGGCTCACGCCTGTAATCTCAACACTTTGGGAGGCCGAGGCGGGCAGGTCACAAGGTCAGGAGATCGAAACCATCCTGGCTAACACATGAAACCCGTCTCTACTAAAAATACAAAAAAAAAAATTAGCCGGGCGTGGTGGCTGGTGCCTATAGTCCCAGCTACTCAGGAGGCTGAGGCAGGAGAATGGCATGAACCCGGGAGATGGAGCTTGCAGTGAGCCAAGATAGTGCCACTGCACTCCAGCCTGGGTGACAGAGCGAAACTCTGTTTCAAAAAAATAGAAAAGAAAGAGAAGGAAGGAAGGAAAGAAGGAAAGAGAGAGAGAGAGGCGCCAGATACATAGCTTATGCCTGCAATCTTTGGGAAGCCAAGTTGGAAGGATTGCTTGAGCCCAGGAGTTCCAGACCAGCCTGGACAACATAGCAAGACCCCTATCTCTACAAACAATTTTTAAAAAATTAGCCAGGCATGGTGGTACATGCCTGTAGTCCTTGTTACTCGGGAGGCTGAGGCAGGAGGATCACTTGAACCCAGGAGGTTGAGGGTGCAGTGAGCCCTGATTGTGCCACTGCACTCCAGCCTGAGAGATAGCCTGAGAGACAGAGCAACACTGTCTCGAAAGAAAGGAAGGAAGGAAGACAAAGAAAGAGAGAAAGAAAGAGAGAAAGACAAAGAGAGAAAGAAAGAATTACAGAATAAACTAAGTCTATACACAGTGTGATAAGTGCTAGAAATGAGAAATAGGGACAGTGCTATGGAGCCAGTCTCTGGGGAGTTGAGGAAAGCCTCACAGAACAGAAACAGTTGACTAGGCAGGAACTTATCCAAGGCTGAATGAAGTTACTGGTGGGAGTATGGTATCACTCAGATGCAAAGAAAACCAAGAGCAGAATTCTAAAGAACTCCAACTATTAAGAGTCAGGATGTGAACAAGAACCAGGGAAGGATGCTGATAAGCAGAGAGGTGGAAGGAGAACCAGGAGAGAGAAGTGATGCCCTGCTCCCCAACAGTGTCAAGTGGTATGGGGTCAATAGAGCCAAAAGATGGGTAACAGAACGAGAAATAAGATAGCTCCTGGGCTTCGGTAATAAGAGGGCCACTGGTGTCCTTGCTAGACATGAATTCACCAGGCTTCAGGGACAGAAGACAGGCAGCAGTGGGTTGAGGAGAGAATGGAAACCAGGACAATGAGTGTAAATACTCAAGCCAATGTGACAGGACACAATCTTTTTACAAAAAACAAAAACAGAACATAAGAATTGTTTGCAGCTGGACACGGTGGCTACCGCCTGTCATCCCAGCACTTTACAAGGCTGAAGTGGGAGGATTATTTGAGCTCAGGAGTTCAAGACCAACCTGGGAAACACAGTGAGACCCTGTCTCAACAACAACAAAAAAAGTATTTTATTTTATTTATTTAATTTATTTTTGAGACAGAGTTTTGCTCGGTCACCCAGGCTAGCGTGCAGTGGCACAATCTCGGCTTACTGCAACATCCGCCTCCTGGGTTCAAGCGATTCTCCTGCCCAGCTTCTCAAGTAGCTGGGATTACAGGCATGCGCCACCACACCTGCCTAATTTTTGTATTTTTTGTTTGTTTGTTTTAAGTAGAGATGGGGTTTCACCATGTTGGCCAGGGTGGTCTAGAACTCCTGACCTCAAGTGATCACCCACCTCCACCTCCCAAAGGGCTGGGATTACAGGCATGAGCCACCGCACCCGGCCTCAACAAAAAATTTAAAATTTAGCTGGTCATGGTGGCTCGCATCTATAGTTCCAGCTACTTGGGAGGCTGAGCCAGTAGGATCACTTGAACCCAGGAGGTTGAGGCTGCAGTGAGCCATGATTGCAGCACTGCACTACAGCCTCGGTGCCAGAGAGAGACCATGTCTCCAAAAAAAAAAAAAAAGTGTGTGTGTGTTGCATGTTGTGTTCAAGTGGCACTGTTCCTTTCTCTGTTCTCTGGGCTAATAGTCATCCACAGGCTGAACAGGGTGGAGTCAACACCGGGCAGGGTAAGTGACATCAGGTAACAAACAGTGAAGGCAGGTTGGTGGGACCGCAGCGCTGCAGCAGAGAAAGAGAAGGCTGCTGCCCTTGTCTTGCAGCACTCCTCCTGTTTTCCTCAGACAGGATCCCTTTAAAGTCGAATTACGAGAGTGGGCACTCTGAAACACCGTGACTGTGCCCCTCGCTTCCAGAGCTTTTTTTTTTTTTTTTTTGAGATGGAGTCTCACTCTGTTGCCCAGGCTGGAGTACAGTGGCATGATCTTAGTTCACTGCAACCTCCACCTCCTGGGTTCTAGTGATTCTCCTGCCTCAGCCTCCCGAGTAGCTGGGACTACAGGTGCTTGCCACCACGCCCAGCTAATTTTTGTATTTTTAGTAGAGACGGGGTTTCTCCATCTTGGCCAGGCTGGTCTCGAACTCCTGACCTCATGTGATCCACCCGCCTCGGCCTCCCAAAGTGCTGGGATTACAGGGGTGAGCCACCGTGCCCAGCACAGAGCATCTTTATTAGTGAGTTCTCCTCACCTGTCTGTTGTCGCCTCTCATTTGGTGAATGGAAGCCTTGATGGGTGCCGCGTAAAGGCTACACATACCAGGTGCCCTTGGGACCGAAGCACAGGATTCCCAAGAGTCCATAGCAAGACACTGTGAGTTGCTCAGACAAGCCCCCATTAGGAGCCTGAGTCTGAAGCTGCCGTTCCACTTGGCCGCCTCGAGCTGACCTCAGGACGCAGTGTCAGCAGCCTGGTCACACCTGCATAGGCACCGACAGGTGGGCAGAAGCATCGTGGCAGGACACATTCCCGCCCCCGGCAGGATTAACCTGAGGTAGGGGGGCCGTTGCTGGGTCCTCAGGCCATATCTTCTCCATTGCTCTTAGCAAAATATCAGGAGTCACTGAAATTTCGGCCTCCAGAGCTCAACCTCTTCTCTACCATAACAAAAGCAGCATGGGAACCTGTGGCATAAGAGGACCGCAGCCAGGTGCAGTGGCTCATGCCTGTAATCTCAACACTTTGGGAGGGTGAGGCAGGAGGATCACTTGAGCCCAGGAGTTCCAGAACAGCCTGGAGAACATAGTGAGACCTTGTCTCTACAAAAAGTAAAAATAAAAATTAGCTGGGGGTAGTGGCACTCACCTGTGGTCCCAGCTACTCGGGAGGCTGATCCTCAAGTGGGAGAATCACTTGGGCTCAGGAGTTTGAGGCTGCAGTGAGTCATGATTGCACCACTGCACTCCAGCCTGGGCGAGAGAGTGAGACTCTGTCTCAAAAAAAAAGAAAAAAGAAAAAAAAAAAAGGAGGATTGGGGTATAGTTTAGGGGAGTGTCACTCCAAGAAAGACAGTGGAAGGCAAGTGACAATCTTAAACTAAAATTTCAGCCTCCAGAGCCCAACCCCTTCACTACCATAGCAAAAGAAACAAGAGATAATGCTCAATAATGCCTTTAAACAATGCTGAGAGTCAGGGCCAGCTAATTATCTAGGCTGTGCCAAGAGACCCAGGGGCACTTACTTCGTATTTTCTGGTGGCCTTATACGCCCTGGCATTTGTGCTTCACTTCAGTCAGTTACAGAGACATGTCAGAGCCCATGCTGGGGGGTTGTGTTTAATGCACGCAGACTTGCCCAGGCGCAGTGGCTCACGCCTGTCATCCCAGCACTTTGGGAGGCAGAGGCGGGTGGATCACCTGAGGTCAGGAGTTTGAGACCAGCCTGGCCAAAACATGGTGAAACCCCGTCTCCACTAAAAATGTAAAAATTAGCTGGGTGTGGTGGTGCATGCCTGTAATCGCAGCTACTTGGGAGGCTGAGGCAGGACAATCGCTTGAACCCAGGAGTTGGAGGGTGCAGTGAGATCGTGCCACTGCACTCTAGCCTGGGTGACAGAGCCAGACTCCGGCTCAAAAAAAAAAAAAAAAAAATTCCATGCAGAATAAAGGCCTAATAAAGGAAGAGACCACTTTGGCATTTGGTGGTAAAAGAGTTAAAGACAGCCTTGCAAGGCATGACTGATACTCCTGACATGGGCCATCTGGCAAAGTTTCCAGCCTGGAAAAGTACAGAAAATGTAGGTTACCCTACAGGCACGATTTCCTAATTGAGCCCTGGCAATAATCCAGTGGCCTTGAGCTAACACAGTGCATCATTCCCGACCTGGGAAAACTTCGGGCCAAGAAGCTGGATCTGCAAAAGTTATCATCCAACCTTCAATATTTCCAAAATATTTCATTTCAATCTGGAGAGGCAAACTCCCTATGACTAGTTGGTTTATCTACCTAAGAGTCTTCCTTCCTTCAGGACACCCTTCCTACTACTAGCAGAATTCTCTCCCAAAAATACAGACTCACTCCCTTGTGCAAAAAGTACATTGACTACAGAATTAAATTTAAACTTCAAAGCCTACCATTCAAGATCATCTGTAAATCTCGTCCCCAACTTCATTTGTCCAGAATGATTTTATATTCATCTCCACTCTATTCATTTATTTACTCATTCCTTTGTGGATTCAACAAACATTTATTGAGCACCTTAATTTACTCTGAACACAGTGAGCACTGGGGTATAGAAAGACCCACTACAGCTGGGTGTGGTGGCTCACGCCTGTAATCCCAGCACTTTGGGAGGTCGAGGCGGGTGGATCATCTGAGATCAGGAGTTTGAGACCAGCCTGGCCAACATGGTAAAACTGCATCTCTACTAAAAATACAAAAATTAGTTGGGCATGGTGGTGGGTGCCTGTCATCCCAGCTACTTGGGAGGCTGAGGCTGGGGAATCGCTTGAACCTGGGAGGCAGAGGTTGCAGTGAGCCAAGACCGCGCCATTGCACTCCAGCCTGGGCAACAAAAGCGAAACTCCATCTCAAAAAAAGAGAGATCCACTACAAAAAAGCAGATTTTCCTACAAGGTGCCAGCCTGCTCTATAGGACAGACACCTAGCAGTTGAAACACAGCCTATTCGGTTCCACAACGGCCCAATGTAGCTCCTCCCTGAAGGCTTTTCTGATGCCTCTTTCCATTGGCCCATGCACTTCACAATTCCATCATAAGGCATGTTGGCTAAAACTAGACTGTCCGTAGAAGAATGGGATCTGTGTCTTCTGTTGAACTGTAAGTTGCTTGGGTACCATCGTCACTAATTTTCTCCTATTTTAATAGCACCTGGCATTTTCTAGAACCCTATTAAATATCTGTTGGGTTGAACTAAATGAACTTTTGATGAGGCCTTTATTCTGAGTGCATTTCACACATCTCAGGCTAGGCAGTCTGTAAACCCAGCACTTTGGGAAGTCGAGGCGGGCGGATCCCTTGAGCCCAGGAATTCAAGACCAGCTTGGACAACATGGCAAGACCCTGTCTTTACAAAAATACAAAAATTAGCTGGGCATGATGGCATGTGCCTGCATTCCCAGCTGCTTGGGAGGCTCACTTGACCCCGGGAGAGGGAGGTTGCAGTGAGCCGTGATCATGCTACTGTACTTCAGCCTGGGTGACAGAACGAGAACCTGTCTCAAAAATAAATAAATAGGCTGGGCTCAGTGGCTCACGCCTGTCATCCCAGCACTTTGGGAGGTCGAGGCAGGTGAATCACTTGAGGCCAGGAGTTCGAGAACAGCTTGGCCAACATGGTGAAGTGAAACCCCGTCACTACTAAAAAATACAAAAAAATTAGCTGAGTGTGGTAGCGCACTTGTAATCCCAGATACTCGGGAGGCTGAGGCATGAGAATCACTTGAACTCAGGAGGTGGAGGTTGCAGTGAGCCGAGACAGCGCCACTGCACTCCAGCCTGGGTGACAGAGCGAAACGCTGTCTCAAATAAATAAATAAATAAAAATTAATTAATTAAATAAATAAAAAACACATCCCCCCACCACATGGACTGAGCTGAAGCATCCTTGGGGCTGATGCTTTCACCACCCCTCCACCCCACACTGGCACCTTTAGACAGCACTGTACCTCGTGTCACCAGGCGAGGACATCAAGTCCAGGGAAGCGGCCTGGCTTAGGTGGTGAGTTTCTGTAGCAGAAAGCACAGCCTGCATCTGATGAGATTTAGGGTGACAAAGGAGCGCCACCAAGCCTTTCAGCTTCCCACTCAGAGAAATAAAAATAGCCTACCCAATCATATTTCTTTTTGGCTTGTTTGTTTCACAAAATATAGTCCTCACTTCACCGACTGATGCAGCTGCTTGGCACTCCCTTTCCTTTGCTGGATCAGGACTTAGGTTGGCAAGTCCAGCAATGAATCCCCTGGCTGTGCAGCTGCGGGTCATAAACAGCTGGAGGGAGGCTCGACTTGCTGCTTTTAATTAACCCCCAGGAAGGAATGTCGCGCTAACAGGGTATAGACCAGAGGCCACATCACAAGGCGCGACTGGGTGAAGAATAAACAGTCAAGCAGCCTCAATCCATTTAGTTAAAGCAATAGTCTCAAGGCTAACCATGGAAAAGAAAACCCTCCTCCACCTTCAGCTCTGCGGGCAGAACTGAAGACACACAGGGGTCATCAGAGGCCAGAGCTCTCCCACGTCCTCCTTGATGTGGGTGAAAGAGAAGATCATTCAGACCCCCAAATCTCCTGTTTCACCAGGAGATTCGAACTCAGAGGGTTTCAGTTCAATACCTTATTTGGGATGCATCCCATAACCAGGCACCCTACAGCCCTGCCCGGGAAGGTTCTATATACACAGTGTGACCTCCAGCTGAGAATCACACATGTGCTCACTTCACACTGCAGTGAAAATTCCATCTCTCACCCTTCCCCACGTTGGCAGGACCTGTGGGTCTGATTGAGCCACCTCAGTAGCCTAAAGCAGCTTTTAGGGTTTTCCTCCTCCAAAGGAAAAAAAAACAAAAATACTAATTGGATGCTGATGGAATTTGGTGTCAGAAAATCTCACTGGGTTGTTAAGCTTGGATAAGAAAATGTTGATGAAAACATTTTGTAAATGGTTAGACTCTATGTAAATGCTTCCCACCGCCAGGCATCCTACAGCTTTGCCTCCGGAATGTTCTGTACACATAGATTATTATTATCGTCCCGCCTACCGCTCTAGTTGGTTGCCAGCAACATCGTCTATATTTAGATAAATCCTTCCCCATCTTAAATTTCCCCCAACAGAAAAACAATATGAAAATTGTTCAAAAGACCAACATGAAAATATGATTAAAAGACCAATGCTCATTTGTACGGCTCTTGGCACAGACAGGCTGAAAAAAATACAAAGGAATTTCTTGGCAAACCATTGTCTATAATTATGAGCTACATAAGCTAAATGGACTCCAAGGGGCTAGGGGTGCATGGGGAGATGGTCATCTGGCTTAGTTGGGCACAACAGTCTCTATCACCCCTTCACGTTCAGAAAGCTCACTCTACTTTAAAATGCCCAAGCGTGGCCAGGCGCGGTGAATCACATCTGTAATCCCAGCACTTTGGGAGGCCGAGGCAGGTGGATCACCTGAGGTCATGAGTTCAAGACCAGCCTGGCCAATGAAACCCCATCTCTACTAAAAATACAAAAATTAGCCAGGCCTGGTGGCATGTGCCTGTAATCCCAGCTACTCAGGAGGCTGAGGCAGGAGAATCACTTGAACCCGAGAAGCAGAGGTTGCAGTGAGCCAAGACAGTGCCACTGCACTCCAGACTGGGCGACAGAACGAGACTATGTCTCAGAAAAAAAAAAAAAACATAATAAAATAAAATAAAATAAAATAAAATAAAATAAAATAAAATAAAATAAAATAAAATAAAATAAAATGCTCAAGTGTGAATGCATAACTTGTCCTAAAAGGCACTGCATCTGCCAGCTCTGCACCCCCGCCCACCCCTGTGGCCTCTGGTCAGGCGCCGTGCTGGTGCTAAGAGGTGACCCCCAGCTGCCTACTAGACATTAGCGGGGAGAACTGGTGTGCCCCAGGAAGGAACAACCACGCTGACGCAAAACCAAGAGCCTGTGTGACCTTCCTCCATACCCCCGGGTATACAAGGTACGGCTCTGAACTTTTCACCACACAAGGCTCAGGAAGCACCCATGGTTGACGCACTGTTCCAAGAAATTACCACGAACTGGTGGCTGAGGGCAACAGAAACTCATTCTCTCACTGTTCTGGAGGCCGTAAGCTCTGGAGGTGAAATCAAAGTGTCGGCAGAGCTGTGCTCCCTCCTGCAGCTCTGGGAAGGTCTGTTCTGGCTTCTTCCGGCTGCTGGTTGCCCTGGGTGTTCCTTGGCTTGCGGCCACCTCTCGCTAGTCTCCACTTCCACCTTCTCCCTTGTGTGTCTCAAATCTCTCTCCTTTCTCTTATAAAGCCACCAAAATGAGATCATCGTAGACCCTAAATCCACGATGATCTCATCTCAAGTTCCTTAACTTACTGACATCTGCAAAGACACTGTTTTACAAATGAAATCGCCTTCACAGGTACCAGGGGTTAGGACTTGGACACATCTTTTGGGGACCCACATTCAACCCTCTACAGCTGGTTAGAAAAAAAACCCCTTGGCCAGGCGTGGTGGCTTACGCCTGTAATCCCAGCACTTTGGGAGGCTGAGGCAGGTGGATTACCTGTGGTCGGAAGTTCGAGACCAGCCTGGCCAACATGGTGAAACCCCATTTCTACTAAAAATACAAAAATTAGCCAGGCGTGGTGGTGGGTGCTTATAATCCTGGCTACTTGGGAAGCTGAGGCAGGAGAATTGCTTGAACCCAAGGGGCCGAGGTTGCAGTGAGCTGAGATCGCGCCACTGCACTCCAGCCTGGGTGACAGGGCGAGACTCCATCTCAAAAAAAGAAAAGAAAAGAAAACAGACCCCTTGAAACCATAAAAAGGAATGAGTTCATGTCCTTTGCAGGGACATGGATGAAGCTGGAAGCCATCATCCTCAGAAAACTAACCCAGGAACAGAAAACCATACACCGCATGTTCTCACTCATAAGTGGGAGTTGAACAATGAGAACACATGGACACAGAGAGGGGACCATCACACACTGGGGTCTGTTGGTTGGGGGTGAGGGGTGAGGGGAGGGAACTTAAGAGGACGTGTCAGTAGGTGCAGCAAACCACTATGGCACGTGTACCCCTATATAACAAACCTGCACATTCTGCACATGTATCCCTTTTTTTTAAAAGAAGAAATAAAGAGAAAAAGAAAAAAAATAAATAAAAATTAAAAAAAAGAGAGAGAGAAAAAAAAGAAATCCCTGTTGGAGGGAAGGGAGGCGCCCCTGCTCACTCTCCCGGCAGTGGTATCAGCCTCGTCAAGCCCAGAGCAGTGAAAAAGGTGCCTGCACCCCACAGAGTCAGCCTCCTGGACCCCGAGGGTGCCCACTCCTGCCTGACCCACCCATCACCATTGCCCACAAAGCAAATAATGCCAAGGGAAGGGCAAGGCTGGCTTGCTCATCACGTTGTAGACTCTGGGCTTTGAGAAAGCCAGAGAACAAAGGATGTTGCTGTCCTTGGCAGGGCTGGCCTTGTTCCAAGGTTCCCGTGCACCTGGAGAAGAGCTTGACCTGGCTCACATGGCACACTCGGGCACACAGAGGGCTTCTCTGGGAACCAGCCTCTTAGCAATTCCAGGAGCATGCAAGGAACCGCTATGATTCTGGCAACCTGAGTTTATTATTCCATATCAGGGAGACCGAGGCACAAAGAGTTCTGCGTGTTTAACCCCTACCGATCATTCAGAACTTAGGAGCCAGTTCATGGTTCCTGCCTCCCCATGTGATGCCTAAATTCAGCACCCTATTGAATTCAGTTACAGTTTCCTTGAAGAACGAACACAGTTCCCTCTATTTTCTACCAGTTGTATCAGGCCCAGGCCCTGTGCTAGGCACTTCACAAGCATCACGATGATCTTCATCACAGCCCATTTCGCAGATGGGGACACCAAGATACAGAGAGGATAAGTGACTTTCAGAGCAGAGAATCCAAACCCAACAGTCTGACTCCAGTGTTCACAGAGCTCTTCCTATCGCACTCCCATTCCTTCTTTTTTTTGAGACGGAGTCTCGCTCTGTCACCCAGGATGGAGTGCAGTGGTGCGATCTCAGCTCACTGCAACCTTTACCTCCTGGGTTCCAGCGATTCTCCTGCCTCAGCCTTCCAAGTAGCTGGGATTACAGGCATGCGCCACCATACACAGCTAATTTTTATATTTTTGTAGAGATGGGGTTTTGCCATGTTGGCCAGGATGGTCTCAAACTCCTGACCTCTGGTGATTTGCCTGCCTGGGCCTCCCAAAGTGTTGGGATTACAGGTGTGAGCCACCCCGCCCGGCCCCATTCCTTCTGTTGAACTCACAGTTCTTTGGCTTTTTGTTCTTCCTTCCAGGTCACCAGTTTCAAGATTTGTACATCCTGGTGTCACGGTGAAAAGCCTATTGGTGGCAAGCACATAAGGCACGTGGGATGGCCAGGGGCCTCCAGCACAGGAAGGCCCCGAGTGAAAGCCTAGCAGAGGTAGGTGCCTGTGTGTCCTGGGACATCCTACTGAGCAGGCAAACCACGGACACATTCAGCTCCAAAATATTTCCATATGGTCCCGGTATAGCAGTTGAATTGGTTTGACTCATGCATTCTTTAAATAGCAAGTACAAATAACCTGGATGATTCTTAATGTTCCATTTATTCCTCTATCCGTTTATTGTTCTGTGATTTATAGCATAGCTCCTGAGTGTCATGTGCATGACATAATAGGGGAAAGGAAAAAAAAAAAAACCTGCAACTTCAGAATCTAAGGACTAAGCTAAAATTTTAGAATGCTGAGTGAATCAAAAGGTGTGCATCATTGGTGAAAATAATAAGAAGAGTTTTTTTTTCTTTTTCTTTTCTTTCTTTAAATCCACTTATTCTGTCCGGGCAAGGTGGCTCATGCCTGTAATCCCAGCACTTTGGGAGGCCGAGGCGGGCAGATCATTTGAGGTCAGGAGTTCGAGACCGGCCTGGCCAACATGGCAAAACCCAGTCTCTACTAAAAATAGAAAAATTAGCCGGGCGGGCGCCTGTAGTCCCAGCTGCTTGGGAGGCTGAGGCAGGAGAATCGCTTGAACCCGGGAGGCAGAGGTTGCAGTGAGCCAAGATTGTGCCACTGCACTCCAGCCTGAGCAACAAAGCGAGACTCTACCTCAAAAAATATATAATAATAATAAAAATAATAATAATAATAATAATAATAGTAAATCCACTTATTCTTATGTTCTAGCAGCCAAGGCTGCTAGGGCAATTTGGATCTCAATATAAGATAAAGCTTATTCTCTGATGGAAGACATCAGATCCCCCACCTTAATTTCTGTGTCACTTGCTTTAAACAGTTAAGCGACTGTACGACATGCTGAAAGGGATCAGTGATTTCTCCTGCAGCCAGTTCCAACCTGCTGAAAGGAACACTGAGAAAATATATGGACTCAGTAAACCTGAGCTGCCTCCAATGGCCTCACTCACTCCAACCCTCAACTTTGCAATGCTGGAATGTGAGTCACCTTTAAGATCATTTCATTTATCTTGGCCAAGCCTTTAAATATTTAGGTCTACATCAAATAATGTCTGATAAAAGCTTAGCGCTTTTCACAGCAAAGAACAAAACGTAATTTTGAACCACCACAGCTGAAAAAAGGGATGTTATTAGCCAAGACAGGGGCCCCAGTTCAGCAGCCTACCTCCCGTGACCCAGTGATACACAGCTAAGGAAGTGTGGGGCTTGTGGGACCTGTTTGGTTCCTGACGTTCCCAGAGAACAATATCCTGAAGCAGAAACAAGACGTGGTTTCCGGTTTTTGTTTTTGTTTTGAGACGGAATCTTGCTTTGTCACCCTGGCTGGAATGCAGTGGCATGATCACAGCTCACTGCAGACGCGACCTCCTGGGCGCAAATGATCCTCCCCCCTCAGCCCCCCAAGTAGCTGAGACTATAGGCGCACGCCACCACGCCTGGCTACTTTTCATATTTTTTGTAGAGACAGTGTCTTGCCATGTTGCCAAGGCTGGTCTCGAACTCCTGGGCTCAAGTGATCCACCTGCCTTGGCCTCCCAAAGTGTTAGGATAATAGGTGTGAGCCACCACCCCTGGCCAAGACATGGTTTTTATTTGTGTGCAGGCTGAGATTATCGTCCACAAGGAGCAGAAGCTTTCATAGAGGAACCCATCGACGTGGCTCCTGCCAAAGTCCTCAACAGGGCTTCGAAACACAGCAAGCATAATTTTTTAAATGTTTTTATATCAATGAAAATTTTAAAATTATAAAATAATCTGCCATAGAGGACACACAGACCGTCTACATGGCATCCGTTTCGCTACATCTTCCTTCCCAAGGCCCCAACTTTGTCCAGGTGTCCACCCCACTCCACAAGCCGGGGAAGCTGGCCCCTGCCTGGCCAGCAGGTGGACCTGATTCTAACACATCCCCCCTGCCAGGGACTGACTTAAGAGTGGGCCTGGGTGGCTGGGTGTGGTGGCTCTCGCCTGTAATCCCAACACTTTGGGAGGCCAAGGTGGGCAGATCGCTTGAGCCCAGGAGTTCGAGACCTGGGCAACATGGTGAGACCTCTGTCTCTACAAAAAAAAAACAAAGAAAATAGCCAGATTTGGTGATGTGTGCCTGTGGTCCCAGCTACGTAGGAGGCTGAGGTGGGAGAATCGCTTGAACCCAGAAGGCGGAGGTTGCAGCGAGCCAAGATCTCGCCACCGCACTCCAGCCTGGGCAACACAGTGATGCTCTGTCTCAAAAAAAAAAAAAAAGAGTGGGCCTGGGACCCACTTCAGGGGGTTCTGGAAGGGTTCCCACAGTCTTAAAAAGGAGACACCAGCTGGGCACAGTGGCTCATGCCTGTAATCCCAGCACTTTGGGAGGCCGAGGCAGGTGGATCATGAGGTCAAGAGATCAAGACCATCCTGGCCAACATGGTGAATCCCCATCTCTACTAAAAATACAAAAAATTAGCTGGGCATGGTGGCGAGCACCTGTAGTCCCAGCTACTCGGGAGGCTGAGGCAGAAGGATCGCTTGAAGCAGGGAGGCGGAGGTTTCAGTGAGCCGAGATCGTGCCACTGCACTCCAGCATGGCAATAGAGTGAGACTCCATCTCAAAAAAAAAAAACAAAAACAAAAAAACAAAACAACAAAAAAGGAGACACCAGAAAAGAAAGCCCCTGTTTCTGTGTCTGGATGCTGTGTGATTCTCTGTCTGGATGCTGTGTGATTCTCTGTCTGGATGCTGTGTGATTCTCTGTCTGGATGCTGTGTGATTCTCAGGCTGCTGCAGACATGCGGTACCCATGAGGGGATGCAACCTGTGATGGAGGAGACACGGGGACTGCAGAGAGGAGAGGCAGAAAGAGCATCTCTGCCTTGGGTGGCCTTGGGTGGCGTTGCTGCTCTGGCCAGGCCCAGGCCCTCCTTCTGCCTTGCAGTTGTGTGTTCTTATCAGTGTCCTCATGGCACAACCCAGGGTGAGTCAGGGTTATCTGTTCGTGGCAGCTACAAGCAACGAGAGCACACGGTCATCTTAGAAATATGTCTAATGCAGAAATGCCAAAGGAAGAAAATAGGGTGGGGATGGTGCTTCATGCCTGTAATCCCAACACTTTGGGAGGCAAAGGCAGGAAGATTGCTCCTATGTTACCCAAGAGTTCAAGACCAGCCTGGGCAACAGAGTGAGATCCTGTTTTTACAAAAAATAAAAAAAGTAGCTGGATGTGGTGGTGTACACCTGTAGTCCCAGCTACTCAGGAGGCTGAGGCAGGAGGATCACTTGAGCTCGGAAAGTTGAGGCTACAGTGAGCCAAGATTGTGCCACTGCACTGAGCCTGGGTGACAGAGTGAGACGCTGTCTCAAAAAAAAAAAAAAGAAGATGAAGAAGAAAATAAAAATTAATGATAATCTCACTATCCAATGATAATCACAATTTATGTTTTCTTGCCTGCCCTTCTCTCTTAAACAACTGATTTGGTGTCACTAATTGCAATATATGATGTGATAACAGAAGCAATCCACCTACTGTGTGTAAAAAATTCAAATAGCACAATTGTTGAAGGCAGAAAGCAAATAGCTCCTGGAATCCCATCCCCTGAGTGGTGGACTCGGTAGTTTGTCATCTATTCTGGGAATGTTTGCCCCAGTATATCAATGTTTTCCAGTGTGTGGGCTGCTGCTGACTAATGCATGTTTACACAGCCTTTTAAGCCCAGATGAGCAAACTGTGGTGTTCCTCAGGCTTAGCTGAATGTCTGGGCCCTGAGAGTTGGAAGACAAGAGGAGCAGAAAGAATGGGGAAAGGAGGGTCCACTCTTTTCTGCAGGCAGCGTTGGCCTGGACAAAGTAACAAACTAGGGAGAGCCTAGGCTTTGAGCACAAAGGATTGGAGTCCCAGCTCCTGATTCACCGTTAAAGGCTGTGTGGCATTGGGCAGGCTCCTTAACCATTCTGAGCCCGTTTCCTCATCTGTAAAATGGGAATAATGCCTAACAGAGTGGTGAGGGTTAAAGATAGTGCACATGGGCCGGGTGCGGTGGCTCACGCCTGTAATCCCAGCACTTTGGGAGGCCGAGGTGGGTGGATCACGAGGTCAGGAGATTGAGATCATCCTGGCCAACATGGTGAAACCCTGTCTCTACTGAAAATACAAAAATTAGCCGGGCATGGTGGCACGTGCCTGTAATCCCAGCTACTTGGGAGGCTGAGGCAGGAGAATCGCTTGAACCTGGGAGGCAGAGGTTACAGTGAGCCGAGATAGTGCCACTGCACTCCAGCCTGGGTGACAGAGGAAGACTCTGTCTCAAAAAAAAGATAGTGCACATGATATGGCCTCAATAAATAGTGGCCATTATTCAAAATATTTGCCAACTTCCCGAATCTCTTTCTGCCTCTCCTACCACTTCTCCACATCTCTTTTCCCTGCCCGCTGTTGTCTTTGCTTTGTCGGCAGTAGCCAGGATGTTCTTAGCTGCAGACAACAGGATCCAGCCTAGCCAATTCAAGCCAGAAGGGCTTTAGGAAGAGATAGAGAGAGCTCATGTAACTGGCAGGAGGGCCAGCAATACAGGCACTAGGCAGGCTTCCAGGGACAACCAACTCTCAGGATCACACTGAAGAACCATCTCACCGATGGAGCTGCCACCTCACCCGGATTAGGCAGCTGCCAAGTCAGGATGTTGCTGCCTTGGTTCCTGCCTCCAGAGCCAAGCTCCCTCTGCCACAACCCACGATAACAAAACGATGCTCTGTTCCCTGCCTCTCTCTCACCTAAGTGAGTTCCGAGTCCAAGTCTCCTGTGGGGACATGCAATTAGCTGAATCTCAGTCACACATCGGAGCCCCAGCAGGGCTGACATTTCTGTGTTGGAAAGGTGATGCTTACAATCAGAATATGGAGAGAAGGGGCCGGTCGCAGTGGCTCACGCCTGTAATCCTAACACTTTGGGAGGCCGAGACCGGTGGATCACCTGAGGTCAGGAGCTTGAGACCAGCCTGGACAACAGGGTGAAACCCCACCTCTACTCAAAATACAAAAATTAGCTGGGCGTGGTGGCACGCACCTGTAATCCCAGCTACTTGGGAGGCTGAAGCAGGAGAATCGCTTGAACCTGGGAGGCAGAGGTTACAGTGAGCCGAGATCGTGCCACCGCACTCCAGCCTGGGCGACAGAGCAAGACTTCATTAAAAAAAAAAAAAAGAATGTGGAGAGAAGGATCAGAAACTCCGGGGCAGCCTCAGGTTGTGGATGCATTCCCTAGTTGGGGAGTAGAACACGCAGACACACAGCGACGTTCTAGACCTCTGTCCTCGTCCCTCTGTGATGGCACTGTGGTTGTGACATGCTCCAGGAAATCCCTAGCTGAGCTCCTACGTGAGTGGCAAAACAAGGCGGTTAGAACGCTTCATGCCTAGATGTACATGTCTAATGGGCACTTCATGATTCACTTTTTTTAAATTTATTTTTTATTTCTAAAGATAGGATGTCTCACTATGTTGCTCAGGCTGGTCTTGAACTCCCGAGCTCAAGGGATCTGCTCACCTCAGCCTCCCAAAGTGCTGGGATTTACAGGCGTGCACCACCACACCTGGCCATGATTCACATTTTTAAGACGATGTTTGTCAGTCTAATCTCCAGTCGATGGGCTCTCAGGCAGTATAACAAATGAGCTGAAAATGTTTTCAGTGCAATACGGGAAAGTATTCTTAGGGCAAATCCAGACTGAGGGTCAGGGCAGCCTGGGGAATGTCCCAAAGGTCAGATTCCCGAAGTTGTTCCTGACATTCCAAGCTGCTGCCTTTTCTGTGGCATTGGTTCAGAATGTATTTGCGAAGGTTCTAATTCTTCTCATAGTGACAGCTTTGGCAAGGGTGGGTGGAGCTGGTAGGTTTAAGTGCAGGTGGGTTTATGTAATCCAGGGATTATGTACATAATAGAAGTATGAACTGCTGGAGTGTAAGGGCCGTTTGAGGCAAGCCAGCCTGGGGCCCTCTCCTTATCAGTGAAAATATTAATTGCCTGCAATTAGAGATGATATTTCACATTCACTCAGCATAAATTATTTCATCAAATACATACTCTTTGATCCTGTAGGTGGATAAAATAAATACTGCTTCTCATCCTGCCAGAGAGCTTATTACCTCCTTGACAACAGCCACGTCTGCTCTTTCACAGGGATACCGGCTCCTTGATGGTGCTCCTCCATCTAACTTTGTTTAATTTAACGCCAATGAGGACCAGGTGTGATTTGAAACATCCTTCCAACCCCTGAAAGGTATTCCTTCCTGGGTAGGACAGAGTCTGGAATTCGCCCGTAATCCCTAAGGACAGGTGACCCAGTGATTGTCCAGGCTGTATTTTTTTTTTTTTTTTTTGGGATGGAGTCTCACTCTGTCACCCAGGCTGGAGTGCAGTGGCGCAATCTCGGCTCACTGCAACCTCTGCCCCCCAGATTCAAGCAGTTCTCGTGTCTCAGCCTCCCAAGTAGCTGAGATTAGAGGCGCATGCCCACACTCGGCTAATTTTTGTATTTTTAGTAGAGACAGGGTTTCACTATGTTACCCAAGCTGGTCTCAAACTCCTGAGCTCAGGCAATCCACCCGTCTCGGCCTCCCAAAGTGCTGGGATTACAGACATGAGCCACTGTACCCGGCCTGTACAGGCTGTATTTTTCTTCCTTCATCAATGCATGCAGAGGTTTGTTTTCTGAGATGTTAAGCAAGCTTTTGGGATGCTTCTTGGGAAGTCAGCAAAGCCAGGGCTTCCTTCATCCCGCTGAAGGTGGTGGGATGGTTTCTGGAAAGTACTAGCTATTTCTTTCCCATGCTAAGCCTCTTGGGATCACTTTGCCAGTCAAAGCCTGTGCTCCCTGCATAATCAGAGAGGAATGCTGTAAAGAGGCGATGGTGATTGACAGCAGCTTCTAGGTGCACCGCCTGCATGCACGCCTGCTACGAACATCTGAACAATTACAGGAAGGAGGCTGTCGAAATGCATAATTATAACCTTGACTTAGAAAAAGCATGATCTTCTCTGGTTGGGGCCGAGGCTTTCCTTACGTTAAGCGCATTCCCAGACCAGCAACTGGAGTGCTCCGTACATTGGACGTGGCAGCATCTGGAATATTACATAACAGAAGCATGTCCATTGCCCTTGGAACGTATGAGGCTCGGGGACAGTCCTCCACTCGGTGGAGACTACAAGGTCTCATTAATGAGTCACCTTTGTTCCCTTTTCCATCCTTTATAATTAGGGTGACATACATTCCATTTGGCCCAGGACAGTCTCCATATGTGCCTACTGAACGAAGGTGGTAATTAACAAGGCCTCCTTCACTCTCCGAAGGGACCTGACTGGGAGATAAACTCAGAGATCACTGATTTGTAATCCTCAAGGAGGACGGAGACAACGCCCAGGTGGCCATGGGCACCCTTGAAAGACCGCCTAGGTAAGAAGGCTTCAGGATAAACGATAGGGAAAAGCTGTTCCAGCCCCTTCCACAGTGCGGCCTGCCGCACTCACCCTTAATGGCTCTGAGCACATGCTCCCAGCTACTGGGACACTGGCATGAACAGCATGAGCCAGGTGGGCCTGATGGCCTAGTCAGTATGCCCAGATGGAAAAAATCAAATGATTCCCGCTGTCCAGTTGACCCTGAAGCTGACTGAGATTAGATGAAGCTTTGCTGTTTGGCGTCCAAGCCTTGGGCTCCCAGTCCTAGGTTCGAGAGAACTTCAGTGCCAGCCTTGTGTAGGGGGAGGTGAGGGATCCACCAGGGCAGTCTTGTTTTTAGGGCCTTCTTATCATGCTGGGTCCCATGGAGGCCCACTGCAAAAGGCCAAATCATTCTGTCATTCTGCATAGTCTCCCTTAAAGTGGTGGGAACGAAGAAGGAGGCACAGGAGATAATATTCAGGGAGTCTCAAAGACCAAAAGGTCCCCAAACGAAGCCCCTTTGCCCAACTTCATTGGAATGAAAGACTTTCTTATCCCTCAAGCCTACCAAATATTTCTTCCTGCAGGAGCTGGCCAGGGTCAGTAGGGCTGGGTTTTCTTGAGCAATTCATTGGTGACAGGCCAACTCCATGGGGAAAATTCTCATCTAAGAGTTGATCTGTGAAGTTATGCTAATTCATCAGCCCTGTCTAAAAGCTTCAGGGCAATTGATTAGGCTGTCAAACATTCATTTGGCCTGTGAGAATAGCTTATTATTTCTTTTTAAAATACCAATCTCTTGGAAAGATGTCGATTGGGTTTCTACGTGCACCCCAACGGTGCCTCTGTGTAGAGCTTACTTCAGCTGCATTTTTTTTGTTTTGTTTTGTTCTGCTTTTCTGAGACAGAGTCTCGCTCTGACACCCAGGCTGGAGTGCAGTGGCTCGATCTTGGCTCACTGCAACCTCCACCTCTCGGGTTCAAGCAATTCTCCCTCCTCAGCCTCCCAAGTAGCTGGGACTATAGGCATGTGTCACCATGCCCGGCTAATTTTGTATTTTTAGTAGAGACAGGGTTTTACCATGTTGGCCAGGCTGGTCTCGAACTCCTGACCTCACGTGATCCACCCGCCTCGGCCTCCCAAAATGCTGGGATTACAGGCATGAGCCACTGCGCCCGGCCTTCCATTGCATTTACTGCAGGGAATAGATAAAGACGGAAAACTGTTGGGTAAATGGAACTCAACTAACACCAGAGACAGCCAATTACAGCAAATGAAGAGGATGCTTACCATTTAATTTTGTAAAGATGGGGTGTCCGCCTGGAATCATGGTCCAAAAATCCTCCCACCCATGGCCCCAGCCCCCTCTCACAGCTGCAGTGGTGGATGAGACAGGGGACTTCTACAGTCCCACTTACCCCAGAGCATCCTGCCAGGTAAGCTCCTTACAGACATGAAAGAGGGTTGTGGAAAAGTCCATGAAATTCCAAGTTTGTTCAAACATCCTGTTACTGATAAAAATGTCCCTTCAAATTCCAAATTGGCTTTGTAGCAAATTTATGTCTGTACTACTTCTCAGACTTGTAAAACACAATATGCAAACAATGATGAAAAATATGAGCCTTTCAGTTTTACTCTGCCCCAAGAGCCAGGGGCTGAAAACCAGGTCCGTCACATGGCTCTCTGTTCAGACAGGAGCAGGTGCCTCCTCCCAAGTTCCCACTCCAGAACTTTACTTTGAGCCTCTTCCAACTGGAAGGTCTTTTCTCCCAACCTCTGCCCTCCACAATCCCACACCATCCTTCCCGGTTCATTTCCTCTGTGTGACACCGAGATTTAAGGGTCAGAATTAATTTCTCCTTCTTCTGGGTTCTGGCTCCGGGTTTTACTCACATCATTATTATAGTTCTCACAACAGGCTGCCTTATTTAGGGATTCCTCAGGCACACAAATTTCTTGCAACAGCAAAGACCCCTAAAACGTTTAAATCAATGTGAATTTTTACAGCATTTAAAAATATGTATGTCAGCCGGGTGTGGTGGCTCATCCCTATAATCCCAACACTTTGGGGGACTGAGGCAGGAGGAATGCTTGAGCTCAGGAGTTTGAGACCAACCTGGGCAACATAGTGAGACCCCATCTCTACAAATAAAAATAAAAATTCGCTGAACCTGGTGGTGTGCACCTGTAGTCCCAACTATTTAGGAGGCTGAGGCAGGAGGATCGCCTGAGCCCAGGAGTTGGAGGCTGCGATGAGCAGTAATGGTGCCAATGCACTCCAGCCTGGGTGAGAGTGAGACTCTGTCTCAAAATTTAAAAAAAAAAAAAAAGGAGAGTCAAAACTTTTGTCTTCTTTTCTTTACCAAACAATAAACTGACTTCAAACAGGCCTTGATAAAGAAGATTTTAAATATAGGTCTTCTTGCTTCATCCTGCCAAGTATTCTGAGATACTTGGAAAACAGCTCCCACGACCTCTCTCAGTGCTGATTTTGTTCCTTTTCACTTAGAAAACAGTGATTTGTTTCCTGTGTTTTGAAAGCAAGAGAACATGCTCCTTTGGTTGCAACAACTCACAATGTAATCAGCGCCTAAAATATCCCTTCTCTTGGAGGGGGCAGCATCAGGGAAGAACAGCAGCCACCCAGAATGAAGGCCCTAGACCTCCACCCCTTCACAGCCACAGTCAGGAGCAAGGGTCTGAGCCCCAAAAGGGGCCTGAAACAAGTGGAATTATTGTTGAAAACACCCTTGACCAAACTTTGCCACCAAAGGAAAAGCAGAAGGGCTTGCAGCTTTTTTATTTATTTATTTTTTTGAGATGGAGTTTCGCTCTTATTGCCCAGGCTGGAGTGCAATGGCACGATCTCAGCTCACTACAACCTCTGCCTCCCGGGTTCAAGCAATGCTTCCACCTCAGCCTCCCAAGTAGCTGAGATTACAGGCGCACACCACCACGCCCAGCTAATTTTTGTATTTTTAGTAGAGATGGGGTTTCACCATGTTGGTTAGGCTGGTCTTGAACTCCTGACCTCATGATCCACCCACCTCGGCCTCCCAAAGTGCTGGGATTACAGGCATGAGCCACCGTGCCCGGCCGGGCTTGCAGCTTTAAACAAAATACACAGCTGCAGATGCAGGGGCTGCAAGTTATATAAAACACCCACGTTTGCATTTCCCAGTTTATTTGTGACTGGTACATGGTCAGAGGCAGGCAGCAGCAGGACGGGCAGTTTTCTGGAGTGGTTCAAGTAAATGACTAAAGGCAAAACAAGAAAACAGTTCTCTTCTCAGGAACTGAGAAGAGACCTGTGTTCCTGCTATAGCTGGGAGCCTCCAGAAAATGCTACTGGGACTTAATGGCTTGTTTCAAGTGTGTGCCTGCCTCCTTTTTTTTTTTTTTTTTTTTTTGGAGATGAAGTTTTGCTCTTGTCGCCCAGGCTGGAGTGCAATGGCGCAATCTCGGCTCACTGCAACCTCCACCTCCTGGGTTCAAGCAATTCTCCTGCCTCAGCCTCCCAAGTAGCTGGGACTACAGGCATGCGCCACCATGCCCAGCTAATTTTTGTATTTTTAGTAGAGACGGGGTTTCACCATGTTGGCCAGGCTGGTCTCGAACTCCCGACCTTAGGTGATCTGCCCGCCTTGGCCTCCCAAAGTGCTGGGATTACAGGAGTGAGCTACTGTGCCTGGCCAGTGCCTGCCTTTTTTGTTTGTTTGTTTTGGGATGGAGTCTAGCTCTGTCACCTAGGCTGGAGTGCAGTGGCGCGATCTCGGCTCACTGCAACCTCCGCCTCCCAGGTTCAAGCGATTCTCCTGCCTCAGCCTCCTGAGTGGCTGGGATTTCAGGTGATCGCCACCATGCCCAGCTAATTTTTGTATTTTTGGTAGAGACAGGATTTTCACCATGTTGGTCAGGCTGGTCTCGAACTCCTGACCTCATGATCTGCCCACCTTGGCCTCCCAAAGTGCTGGGATTACAGGCGTGAGCCACCTTGCCCAGCCAGTGCCTGCCTTTTGAATCATGTGGTGGGGTGGAGGGAAGGCAGTGGCTCCTGGGATCATTTGTCACAGATATCCAGGTGGCCAAACAAAGGGTTTTATAAAAATGATCTTGCTGCAGGTGGGGATTGCAGGCTGACACCCACACCTCCTTCACATCCAGGGCGCCCTTTGCTGATTTTATTTGCACCCGCATTTAGCAGCCGGGATCTCTCTCCTGGGACCAGAAGGCTGTGCCTGGGGAGCATTTTAGGCCTGTGAGTAGGGTAGGGGACATTGAATCTCTGCACAAGGTGGGAATAATAGAAACTAACCTATCATGCTTAACTCTTTGCTGTACTGCAGAGGGAAGCGGAAGCTTTAAGGGTGTCCACTTCTCATCTAAATGGTTTTTGCCACAGACAGTGACTTCTTCACCCCAGCAGTGTCTCATGGGTGGCTTAGAAGGGAGATGAACTTACCTTGGTTGGTGTTTCAACTTTTTCTTTTCTTTTCTTTTTGAGACAGAGTCTCACTCTGTCACCCAGGCTGGAGTGCAGTGGCGCAATTTCGGCTCATAGCAACCTCTGCTTCCTGGGTTCAAGCAATTCTCGTGCCTCAGCCTTTTGAATAGCTGGGTCTACAGGCATGTGCTACCACACCTGGCTAATTTTTTTATATTTTTAGTAGAGACAGGGTTTCACCATGTTGGCCAGGCTGGTCTAGAACTGCTGAACTCAGGTGATCCACCTGCCTCGGCCTCCCAAAGTGCTGAGATTACAGGTGTGAGCCACTGAGCCCAGCCTTAACTCGTTCTTTATCAAGCCTGCTGATGCATTTTTGGGTGCATTCAGCCTGTGTCCCAGAAAAGTGCCCAAGAAGGGAAGGCTGGCTGGGAAGGCAGAGGTGAGAATCTGAGGTTCTGTGGGCCAAGGTGGCACTGACTTCTTATAGACAGGGAAGGTGACCTTCCTTTTTGGAAGCAAAAGAACTTTAAAATATTACTGGCAATACCAATACTCTGTTCTCAAGATAGAATTCGTTTCACATATTGTAAAAATCCTAGTAAAAAGCATTATTTTTCTTTTCTTTCTTTTTTTTGTTTTTCGAGACAAGGTCTTGCTCTAATGTCTGGGCTGGAGTGAAGTGGTACGATCTTGGCTCAGTGCAGCCTCAACCTCTTGGGCTCAAGTGATCCTCCTACCTCAGCCTCCGAAGTAGCTAGGACTACAGGCACATGTCACTATGCCTGATTAATTTTTTTGTAGAGAAAGAGTCTTGCTTTGCTGCCTAGGCTGGTCTCGAACTCCTGGTCTTAAGTGATCCTTCCACCTCGGCCTCCCAAAGTGCTAGAAGTACAGGCATGACCCATTATGCCTAAGTACTCTTTTTTTTTTTTGAGTCTCGCTCTGTCGCCCAGGCTGGAATGCAGTGGCGCGATCTTGGCTCACTGCAAGCTCCACCTCCCAGGTTCACACCATTCTCCTGCCTCAGCCTCCCAAGTAGCTGGGACTACAGGTGCCCACCATATTTTTTTGTATTTTTAGTAGAGATGGGGTTTCACCGTGTTAGCCAGGATGGTCTCGATCTCCTGACCTCGTGATCCACCCACCTCGGCCTCCCAAAGTGCTGGGATTACAGGTGTGAGCCACCACGCCTGGCCGCCTAAATACTTTTCAATTCATCTTTGTAACTGTTAACTGTTCAGGAACAGTATGCACTTCTCAGGGCTGTCCTGAGAGGTGGATTAATGAACATTGCAAAGACGTCAATATAGACTATAAATGAGATTTCATTCTTCTCATTTCAAAAGCAGTATGTGTATTCCTGGGAAAACTTCTGAAAATATAGATAAGAGAAAAGGATTAAGGGAAATCCTACCACTTAGAAATTATAATTCTTAACTTTTTATTATATACCTGTGATTGGCAACATAATAGCCCCCCTGCATTAGTCTGTTCTCACACTGCTATGAAGAGAGACCCGAGACTGGCTAATTTATAAGTAAAGAGGTTTAATGGACTCACAGTCCTGCATGGCTAGGAAAGTCTCAGGAAACTTACAATCATGGTGGAAGGCAAAGGGGAAGAAAGGCACTTTCTTCACAGGGCAGTAGGAAGGAGAAGTGCTGAGCAAAGCGGGGAAAGGGCCCTTATAAAACCATCAGATCTCCTGAGAACTCACTCACTAACACGAGAACAGCCTGGCAGTAACTGCTCCCATGATTCAGTTACCTCCCACCGGGTTCCTCCCAGGACACTTGGGAATTATGGAAACTATAATTCAAGATGAGATTTGGGTGGGGGACACGGACAAACTGTATCATTCTGCCCCTGGCCCCTCCCAAATCTCATGTCCTCACATTTCAAAACACAATCATGCCTTTCTAACTGTCTCCCAAAGTCTTAGCTTATTCCAGCATTAACCCAAAAGTCCAAGTCCAAAGTCTCATCTGAGACAAGGCAAGTCCCTTCCTCCTATGAGCCTGTAAAATTGAAAGCAACTTAATTACTTCCTACATACAATGGGGGTTCAGGCATTGGGTAAATATACCCACTCTACACGGAAGAAATTGGGTAAAACAAAGGGGCTACAGGCCCCATGCAAGTCCAAAATCTAATAGGGCAGTCATTAAACCTTAAAGTTCCAAATGATCCCCTTTGACTCCATGTCTCACATCCAGGTCACACTGATGCAAGAGGTGGGCTCCCATGGCCTTGGGCAGCTCCATCCCTGTGGCTTTTTGGGGTTCAGCCCCCCTCCCGGCTGCCGGCTGCTTGCACTGGCTGGCCTTGAGTGTCTGTGGCTTTTGCCCCACTGCACTCCAACCTGGGCGACAAAGCGAGACTCTGTCTCAAAAAAAAAAAAAACACTTCAAAAGAACTTTGGTCTCCACAATCTTTTATCTTAACCTCAACATTCCCTTTCTATCAATCCCACGTCTTTAGACAAACTCAGCCAAAAAATTGTCAACCAAAAAATCTTTAAATTCACGTATAGCCCGGAATCCCACCCCCGGCTTTGAGTTGTCCCGCCTTTCTGGACCACACACATGTATTTTTTTTTTTTTTTTTTCTTTTTGAGACAGAGTCTCGCTCTGTCACCCAGTGCAATGGCACAACCTCGGCTCACTCCAACCTCTGCCTCCTGGGTTCAAGCGATCCTTCTGCCTCAGCTTCCCGAGTAGCTGGGATTACGGGTGCCTGCCACCATACCCGGCTAATTTTTGTATTTTTGCAGAGATGAGGTTTCACCATGTTGGCAAGGCTGGTCTCAAATTCTTGACCTCAAGTGATCCTCCTGCCTCGGCCTCCCAAAGTGCTGGGATTACAGGAGTGAGCCACTGTGCCCAGCCCCAATGTATTTCTTTTTTTTTTTTTTTTTTTTTTGAGACAGAGTCTCACTCTGTCGCCCAAGCTGGAGTGCAGTGGCACAATCTTGGCTCACTGCAAACTCCCGGGTTCACACCATTCTCCTGCCTCAGCCTCCCGAGTAGCTGGGACTACAGGTGCCTGCCAACACGCCCAGTTAATTTTTTGTATTTTTTTTTAGTAGAGATGGGGTTTCACCCTGTTAGCCAGGATGGTCTCAATCTCCTGACCTCATGATCCACCCACCTCAGCCTCCCAAAGTGCTGGGATTATAGGCATGAGCCACCGCGCCCAGCCAGCCCCAATGTATTTCTTAAATGTATTTGATTGATGTCTCATACCTCTCTAAAATGTTTAAACCAAGCTGCGTCCTGACCACCATGGGCAAATGTTCTCAGGACCTCCTGAGGGCTGTGTCTCTGGCCATGGTCACTCATATTTGGCTCAGAATAAATCTCTTCAAATATTTTATACACTTCGACTCTTTTCATCAACAATCATCACCCAGGGCAAAGTTATTCCCAGAGCCACTTCCATAACTGATGGCTGCAAGATCCAGGCTCTCTAAAGGGAGGCTGAGGACAGTGACCCTAGGAAACAATCATTTTTCTTTTTGTCCAACAATGCAAGCCACTTCCTCTCTCTGCAACCAAGAATGCGTTTCCTTTCCGGAGCTCAGTCAACCAGTGTAATTACTCGAGCAGAAAAGTCACCTTTCAGAGCTTGGTGTTCTGAGACAGGAAGGCTTCTTATGTATTCCTTGGAAGACAAAGAATGTTCCTCAATGAAAACCGGGTAAACAACTCCATGCCTCTATTCTGGGTAACATGACAAAAGTTAAAAGGAAGCAGTTGGCCTGAAGTCAGTTCCAACTATTGTGTTGCTTGCACAGAAAGTACGGAATTAAAAAGCATGGGGGAGTCCAGTGGATTCCAAGAAAATGTTTGCGAGCCTACAAATTATGATGAATTATGATGCTATTTTCAAAAAAAGAGGCATATTAGGATATCAGCATTTTACGCATTTAGTTAATGTAACAGCTAACAGTCTGCTAAACTGTGGTGAGGCTGGGGACTCTAGTGGCTGGAAATGAGTAGATGCTAAGTACTGGTAGACTGTTTTGTTCCTTTTAGAACATATGGAACGGCATATCCTTCCAAGGCTGAGCATTAAACAATAAAAGCTACAGAAAGCAAAGAGAAAATATACCTTTGAACAGTTAGTTTCAGTTCGTTCTCTTTCAGAGTGTTAAACAAAAATCATAGGAGGCCCTTGTTTTGGACTAAACTCCTGCACTAGGCCCCAAAAGACCAGACAAAAATCAAAATGGAGTCACCCGTGCTCAGCAAACCAACACTGAGTTGTTATCTGACTTCCCAAGAAATCAGGCGAGAGAAATAGCAGCCTAATTTCCCAAGGAGGCCAGTTTCAGTCTCAAGTCAGCATGCTAATGAAGTTCCCTCTGTTTTAACCCTTACAACAAACAGTAACTTGGTGGGCTCTGTGACCCACGCCTATGATCCCAGCACTTTGGGAGGCCCAGGCAGGAGGATCACGTGAGGCTGGGAGTTTGAGACCAGCCTGGGCAACATAGCAAGATATCATCTCTATAAGAAAAAAGAGATGTAACTGTGACTGGTTATCTTTTTCTTGTTGTCTTTGTATTGTCCTGTATCTCTTCCTGCCTTACAAAGAATTTAACTTTGAAATGACCAATATGCTTTTTGTTCTGTTTCTGCTTTCTTCAGCCCTTAGTCTATAAAGCCAAACCCCAGGCTGGGTGCGGTGGCTCACGCCTGTAATCCCAGCACTTTGGGAGGCCAAGGCAGGATGATCACCTGAGGTCAGAAGTTTGAGTCCAGCCTGACCAACATGGTGAAACCCCATCTCTACTAAAAATACAAAAATTAGCTGGTGTGGTGGCTGGCACCTGTAATCCCAGCTACTTGGGAGGCTGAGCCAGAAGACTCGCTTGAAACCGGGAGGCAGAGGTTGCAGTGAGCTGAGATCAAGCCACTGCAGTTCAGCCTGGGTGACAGAACCAAACTCTGTCTCAAAAAAAAAAAAAGAAACAGATGACATATACATTCTTTTTTTTTTTTTTTTTTGGAGACAGAGATGAATGTATATATACATGTCAGCTGTTTCTTTTTTTTTGAGACAGAGCCTGGCTCTGTCGGCCACACTGGAATGCAGTGGCATGATCTTGGCTCACTGCAACTTCCGCCTCCCAGGTTCAAGCGATCCTCCTGCCTCAGCCTCCTGAGTAGCCCAGACTACAGGCATGCACCACCATGACTGGCTAATATTTTTGTATTTTTAGTAGAGACAGGGTTTCGCCATGTTGCCCAAGCTGGTCTCAAACTCCTGACCTCAAGCCATCTGCCCGCCTCTGCTCCCAAAGTGCTGGGATTACAGGCGTGAGCCACCACACCTGGCCTATACATTCATATTCTATGCTGGGGTCCCATCCCTCTGGCCCTCTGTTTCAGTTACCTGTGGGAAGAACCCACACGAACCATAGGGCTGCCACCTCCCAACTGTCCAGAGGAGACACACTGGACCCAGGTCTGTAGCAAGGGCTTCCTGCCGGACAGAACTGGGTTATGACGACCACGTTTAATGCAGAAACTCGGGACTCTGGATGGGGAAAGTGGAGCTCAGATAGTGCCGAGATGAGTCATCACCATGGGCTTTATTGAGCACATTTATATGGCAGCACTGCACACTCGCCCAAACAGCTGGAGGAAAGCTGCTCAAATGGGGAGAATCTAAGTCCGTGTGTGTGTGCGTGCGCATGGTATGGGGGGGCATGGAACAGGGGGCTGAAAACTGACACAAACATTTATACTGGCTGGGAGCAGTGGCTCACACCTGTAATTTTAACACTTTGGGAGGCGGAGGTGAGAGGATCGCTGGAGCCCAGGAGTTTGAGACCAGCCTGGGCAACATAGTGAGACCCCGTCTCTGTTTTTAAATAAATAAATAAAAAGTCAATACCAAATTGTGTTCAGAGACTGTGGGCTAAAACCAGCCAGCATGGCTCCTTTCTCAAAGGGACTTTCAGGCATCTGTGATAGTGTCAGCAAGCTCCAAGTAAAGCTTGAAAACCAACTCAGCCGTCAGCGCGTGGGAAACCTTTAGAACGCCACTGTGGAGAAGCCTTTGCTGTTGTTGCAAGAAAGTCAAGGAGGGCACCTTTACGTCACCGGGAATCCCCCAAGCCCCTCGGTGTGTGAGGAGGTTGCGGTTTATTCTGCCATCCACCGTTGTGGGTGGGGATCTTCTGACCTGGTCTACGGACTCCTGTATCTCATTTCTCTTTCCTGTTTTCTTGGACTTTCTCAATCTCTCTCCCCCTCTCTCCTTTTCATCTATGTCTTCATTAACTAGCATAACATAGAATAGAAATATATAATAGATTTTTTGTTTACTGAAAATACTTTTGAATTTTTTTCCATTTTTCATTAGTTTGAAACTACACGAAGGAGACTCTTTCTTTTCGTTCCTACCCAGCGCTCAATAGCTGTGTGACCTTGGCAAGTGATCGTCCCTGAGCCTCCATCCCTGTCTTTAAAGTGGAGATAAGGATGCCAGTCTCAGAAACTGTTCTGAGGATTAAATACCCAGAGCCTGGTGCCTGGAGCCTGGACCCCGGAGCCCGGAGCCTGGCGTGGGCTAAGTGGTCCTGAAGTGGAAGTGAGTTTTTGTTTGTGGCTCTTTGTTCTTTCCCCTGTGGGTCCACGGTGGTTGGCTGAATAAATTAGATTCTCCCCTGCCCCAGACTCTCAAGTCATTAAAGCTCTTCATTGATCAGCTGCTTCTCTCCAGTACTTAAGTGATCCTTGATGGTATATTACACCCCATGGGGGATGTGTGAACTCTTTTAGGTGATATGCAAATTACTGCTTTTCTGCAAAATGCCACCCTGGTGGCCGGATACAAGCATTCATGGGGAGTCAGCAAGGTGAACAGCAAAGAAAAGCCCGGGGCTGGAGAAGGAGAACGCAGCCTATTTCTCTCCTGAGAACCAAATAATTTTTCTTTTTTATTTTTTTTGAGAAAGGGTCTCACTCTGTTGCCTAGGTTGGAGTGCAGTGGCGCCACCAGGGCTCACTGCAGCCTCAACTTCCTGGGCTTAAGTGATTTTTCTCACTTCAGCCTCCTGAGTAGCTGGGACCACAGGTGCGGGCCACCACACCCAGCTAATTTATTTATTTATTTATTTTTTGAGATGGAGTCTCGCTGTGTTGCCCAGGTAGAGATGGGCTTTCACTATGTTAGCCAGGCTGGTCTCGAACTCCTGACCTCAGGTGATCCACCCGCCTCAGCCTCCCATAATTTTTTTGTTGTTTTATCTTTTTGAGATAAAGTCTCACTCTGTTGCCCAGGCTGGAGTGCAGTGACACGATCTCGGCTCACTGCAACCTCCGCCTCCCGGGTTCAAGCGATTCTCCTGCCTCAGTCTCCCGAGTAGCTGGGACTTCAGGTGCGTGCCACCACGTCCAGCTAATTTTTGTATTTTTAGTAGAGACGGGGTTTCACCATATTGGCCAGGCTGGTCTCAAACTCCTGACCTTGTGATCCGCCCACCTTAGCCTCCCAAAGTGCTGGGATTACAGGTGTGAGCCACCACACCTGGCCTCCTATAATTTTGAAATTATTTGTAGAAGACAGTCTCACTATGCTGCTCAGGCTGGTCTCCAACTCCTGGGCTCAAGCCATCCGCCAACCTCGGCTTCCCCAAGTGCTGGGATTACAGGCGAGAGCCACCATGCCCTGCCAGAACCAAATAATTTCAATGTCCCCTGGCCACGGAGAAGGAAAGTACAGGGTGATTTCCTTGATTCGTGGCAAAATTAGGTAGACGAACTGATATCCAGACTGACTTTTCCTTTTTTTTTTTTTCCTCTGAACTCTACTTATCTGCTTAAAAACAGAATCTCTCAAAATAATTCAACTGTCACAAATCCCCTCCCTGGGGCTTTTTAGGGAGTTTTGCACTAGGGAAGATTGTCTCCTCTCACCAGTCCCTCACCAGGATAAGCAATCACCTAAACAGCTGTTGTCACAAGACTAACATAAATCCCACCTGTGCTCCTCTGGGCCCATTCATCCTTCCTAAGAGTCCCCTGCTTCATGAAGATGGTATACAAGCCCCAGATCCTAACCACTTAACCTTGAGTCACATTTTTCTGTGAACTCTGGTGTACATGAATGTTTAAAAGTCTTTTCTCCTGTGAATCTTTCTTTGGTCAGTTTAATTTGCAGGCCTCCAACCATGAACATGAGGGTAAAGTTTTTCCTCCCTGACACAGGAGTTCACATCTCTGCACTATATCCTTACCATCATTTAATCTTTCGGAGGTTAATCTGAATGTTCTCTAAAACATGGGGGAATGGGACTATATCATGGAAAGAGGGTGGTAAGCACAATTTATAATATTACAGACTTACTAGGTACCCAGTACTTTGCAAATGGGACCTCCTTGAACTCTTTTTACGTGGGGTGGGGGGGGGGGTGGTCAGCGAGGAGCATGTCACAGGCTAGAGTCACTTTCTTGTTCACGAACACTGACCACACACTTGAGCCCTGTCTGGGTATAGGGGTAAACAAGACAGTCACCATGGCCCTGGAGTGGACTTTCCAGTTGAAGGCGTGAAAGGAAAATATCTTGGGCCCCCAAAATCACTAAGGAAAAATCCAGCTGGAAACTGCTTAGGGCCAACCTGCCTCCCCTTCTATTCAAAGTCGCCCCCCTGCTCACTGAGACGGATGCATATCCGATCGCCTTCTTTGGAAAGGCTCATCAGAAACTCAAAAGAATGAAACCGCGTCTCACCAATCTGTGACCTGGAAGCTCCCTTCCTGAGTCTTCCTTCCTTTGCTTCAAGTTATCCTGGCTTTCCAGAGACCGAACCAATGTACTTCTTAACATATATTGATTGATGTCTCCTGTCTCCCTAAGATGTATAAAACCAAGCTGTGCCCTGACCACCTTGGGTATGTGTCCTCAGGACCTCTTGAGGCTGTGTCACAGGTACGTGTCCTCAACCTTGACACACACACACACAAAAAAAAACTTTCTTTTTTTTTTTTTTTTTGAAATGGAGTCTCACTCTGTTGCCCAGGCTAGAGTGCAGTGGCGCAATCTCGGCTCACTGCAACCTCCACCCCCTGGGTTCAAGCGATTCTCCTGCCTTAGCCTCCTGAGTAGCTGGGATTCCAGGTGCCTGCCACCAGGCCCAGCTAATTTTTGTATTTTTAGTAGAGATGGGGGTTTCACCATCTTGGCCAGGATGGTCTTGATCTCCTGACCTCGTGATCCACCCTCCTCGGCCTCCCAAAGTGCTAGGATTATAGGCGTGAGCCACCACACCAGGCCAAAAACATAAACTTTCTAAATTAACAGAGAACTGTCTCAGATTTTCTGGGTTCACAAAGGGAGACAAAAAAAAAAAAAAGTAAACACAAGGCCGGGCGCAGTGGCTCACGCCTGTAATCCCAGCACTTTGGGAGGCTGAGGCGGGTGGATCATGAGGTCAGGAGATTGAGACCATTCTGGCCAAATGGTGAAATCCCGTCTCTACTAAAAATACAAAAATTAGCTGGGCGTGGTGGCAGGCACCTGTAATCCCAGCTACTCAGGAGGCTGACTGAGGCAGGAGAATTGCTTGAACCCAGAAGGCGGAGGTTGCAGTGAGCCGAGATCGCACCACTGCACTCTAGCCTGGGTGACAGAGGAGACTCTGTCTCAAAAAAAAAAAAAAAAAAGTAAATACAAAAAAGAGTCCTTTGGATACGGTCTCTGCTTTGATGATCTTGGGACAAAGTGAAGATGGGGTTCCTACTTTACGGTGGGAAGAGAGGGAGGGCCTCCCTGGTGGTATTGAGCTGTGAGCTGACTCACAAGAGGGAGTGGGAAGGACAGGGGCAGGGCGTGCCAGGTGGCAGGGTCAGCGAGTGCACAGGCTCTGGAGCAGGTCATAAGCAGGTGGCACTGGGACCCCGCCCGGTGCCGCCTGGATCCACGGTCTTCCCGCTGTGCATTGTATCCTCATAACCCCATGGAGCCGGGCCTTCTGGCAGCTCAGTGTCAAATGAAAAACAAATCCAGGCGTAGGAGGAGAGACTATTGGAAAGGATGACTGCAAGGGCTGGGGACAGTAACTACTGCCATGGAGAAGCACTTTGGGAGGCCGAGACAAGAGGATCACTTGAGATCAGGAGTTCAAGACTGGCCTGGCCAACATGGCAAAATATCGTCTCTACTAAAATACACAAAATCAGCTGGGCATGGGGGCGCATGCCTGTAATCCCAGCTACTTGGGAGGCTGAGGCAGGAGAATCGCTTGAGCCCAGGAGGCAGAGGTTGCAGTGAGCTGAGATGACACCACTGCCCTCCAGCCTGGGGTGAGGTTCTGTCTCAAAAACAAAACAAAACAACAACAAAAAAAAAACAACAACAAAAAAGAAAAATCTGGCTGGGCATGGTAGCTCATGCCTGTAATCCCGGGACTTTGGGAGGCCGAGGCAGGTGGATCACCTGAGGTCAGGAGTTCTAGACCAGCTTGGCCAACATGGTGAAACCCCATTTCTACTAAAAATACAAAAATTAGCCAGGCATGGTCACATGTGCCTGTAATCCCAGCTACTCAGGAGGCTGAGGTGGGAGAATTGCTTGAACCTGGGAGGCAGAGGTTACAGTGAGCTGAGATCGTGCCACTGCACTCCAGACCGGACTACAGAGGAAGACTCCCTCTCAAAAAAAAAAGAAAGAAAAATCATTTCAGGCCAAGCAGTGCTCATGCCTGTATTTCAGTACTTTAGGAGGCCGAGGTGGAGGATCACTTGAAGCCAGGAGTTCGAGTCCAGTCTGGGCAATATAGTGAGACCTCGCTTCTACTAAAAAATAGTAAAACAATTAGCCAGGCATGGTGGCATGCACCTGTATAGTCCCAGCTACTTGGGAGGCTGAGTAGGGGGGATCCCTCGAGCCCAGGAGTTCGAGGTCACAGCAAGCCATGATCACACCACTGTACTCCAGCCTGAGCCACAAAGTAAGACTCTGTCTTTAAAATAAACAAAAAAGGCCAGACATGGTGGCTTATGCTTGTAATCCCAGCACTTTGGGAAGCCAAGGTGGGAGGATCACCTGAAGTCAGGAGCTTGAGACCAGCCTGGCCAACATGGTGAAACCCTGTGTCTACTAAAAATACAAAAATTAGCTCGGTGTGGTGGCATGTGCCTGTAATCCCAGCTACTCATGAGGCTGAGGTAGGAGAATCACTTGAACCTGGGAGGGGGAGGTTGCAGTGAGCCGAGATCACGCCACTGCACTCCAGGCTGGGCAATAGAGTGAGACTCCCTCTCAAAAAAAAGAAAAAAAGAAAAAAGAAGAGAAAGAAAACAAGGGAAGATACCCTTCACTTCCATATCCTTTCAGAATTTCTTTCTCTGTCCTTTTCAAAAGTGTATACAGCTTTCAAGTGGTTAAATGAGTCTCCTGCCAGTTTCCCCCAACTCAAGTCATGTTTCCCCAAGGACCTGAGCCACCCACGTGAACTGTAATCATCAAGGAAGATAACTGTTTTCCGGAGGGGATGATCCCAACTTCAGCTGTCACCTGATTCTAAATGGCAAAACCCACTTACACAGTGCATGGGCTGTATCCACTTAGCTGTATCAAAGCGGGAGATTTGTCTCTGCAGTTCTTTCAGTGGGCTGCCTGTGATGCTCAACGCGTTTTGGTTTAATGCTTATTCAATCATAAAATTGTTTTCTTTTGCTTTTACTTTTGTGGCGAGGCTTTCTGGGTTGGGGGATTTTGTTTTTAAATTATATTTCCCCAACAGATGACTGCAGTTTTGTTAAGCAAATAGCAAAGAGGTCTTTGGATGTTAATCATTGCCTCTTGATGTACCTATGTAAATAAGAGACCTCAGAGAACCCAGCTTGCATGACATAGAGACCCTGGTGAATAAACTACAAGAAATGGTGACCGCAACGGGACTGTTGGGAACGTTTTCCCTAACACAGGACGCTGGTTTAAAGGAATTACATCAACGTGTAAATGAGCACCACCAATAGTCAGGATGATGTGTTCTACAAAGTAAGTCCACGCCTAAGTCCCACCATCCCTGAGAAAGGACCGAGTGGTCCTCAGACCAGCAGTATCAGCATGGCCTGGGAGCTTGTGAGAACTGCCGAATCTCCAGCCCAGGCCAGACCCACAGAACCACCAGAAGCTGCATTTTGATGGGATCCCCAGGGGAGTCCTTTGCAAATTGTTTGGGAAGCACTCAACTAGACAACAAATTCACTTATATTCTTAGACCAAAAATGCAACAACGTGGGCCTTCTGAACCAAGACAGGGATTTAACCATGACAGTTATTATGTCTGGTCAAAAAAGAGGGGCCGGGAACAGTGGCTCATGCCTGTAATCCCAGCACTTTGGGAGGCTGAGGTGGGCGGGTCACCTGAGGTCAGGAGTTCGGGACCAGCCTGGCCAACATGGTGAAACGCCATCTCTACTAAAAATACAAAAATTAGCCTGGCGTGGTGTGCGCCTGTAATCCCAGCTTCTCAGGAGGCACAGGATAATTGCTTGAACCTGGGAGACTGGGGTTGCAGTGAGCCGAGATTGTGCCATTGCACTCCAGCCTGGGCAACAGAGCAACAGGGCGAGACTCTGTCTCAAAAAAAAAAAAGAGAGGGACTATATGCTTAACACTAAACCAGGCTTGGGACAGAGCCCTTTCTACCTGATATAATTAATAAATTCATAACTTGCTTCTGGGTAGAGACTGGCAAGATTGGGAAGGAGTTTTCTGGGAAACCAGTTACCCAACCAGCTGCCTGTCAGAACCATCAGCCTGTGACTCTAGATTTGGCCTAACAACAATAATCCAGCTCTTATATTTTCCTATAAAATATCCCTACCTAAATGTGAACTTATGAATTGGACTACTACAGCCTGACCCCTGCATACAATATTGTAACAAAACTTTAATCAATTGTATGAAAAGTCTTCTCTCACTCATCTAAGAAAAAAATTGGAATGGATAAATTAACTTGATTGACCTTACGTAAAGTTACGCTGAGAGGCCACCAGGAAGTGTGGGAAGAATTTAGCAGCAGGTTCAGAGAAAGCCCAGGCTGGGCGCGGTGGCTCACTCCTGTAATCCCAGCACTTTGGGAGGCCGAGGTGGGTGGATCGCTTGAGGTCAGGAGTTTGAGGCCAGCCTGACCAACATGGTGAAACCCTGTCTCTACTAAAAATACAAAAATTAGCCGGGCGTGGTGGTGGGCGCCTGTAGTCCCAGCTACTCTGGAGGCTGAGGCAGGAGATTTGCTTGAACCCAGGAGGCAGAGGTTTCAGTGAGCCGAGATCACAGCACTGCAATCCAGCCTGGGCAACAGAGTGAGACTCTGTCTCAAAAAAAAAAAAAAAAAAAAAAAAAAGAGAGAGAGAGAGAAAGAAAAGAAAAAAAAAAAAAGAAAAAGCCAGCCAAGGAAGGGGAAATTAACAGGGACAACAATACAGAATGCACACACTGCAGCGCAGGGCGGTAGGCACCTTTTGCGCATGCGCACTAACGTGAATGCCGCATGTACAGATGACCACAGTGCTCGGAGGGTGCAGAAGGGGAAGCAGAGGGTGAATAGGCAGAAGTCAGTCCACATCTACCAGGAAGAGGTCAGTCCACATCTACCAGGAAGAAAGTCAACAGGCGAGGACCCAGATGACTCAAAGAGAAGCAGCGCAGCACGCCCGCTCCTCGGAAACAAAACCAGCGAAGCTGAAGGAATGGAAAATGGCTCCCGCTGGGAGCGCCAGAGCAGGGAAGCTTAGCCTAGTGTTAGAAGCCTTTTAGTTCTATGAATTTTTTGAACTAATGCATGTATTACTTTGGGAAAAAAAATTTTTTTAAACAAAAAGACATGTTTTTGTTGTAATGCTGGGGCATGTTAAAAAAAAACAACAAAAAACGCATGAAGCCTTTATTTCATTTTGATCTCTTAATACCTCCTTTTGATCTTCCCCGTTAACTTTCGAAGGGGTGAAGTATCTTGGAACAAAGACAGTACATTAGTGAAGGAGACTCACGTACCTTAGGATTTTTTTTGTTTTTGTTTGAGAGAGTCTCACTCTGTCATCCAGGCTGGAATGCAGTGGGGTGATCTCAGCTCACTGCAACCTCCACCTCCCACGTTCAAGTGATTCTCCTGCCTCAGCCTCCAAGTAGCTGGCATTACAGGAGTGTGCCACCACACCCGGGTAATATTTGTATTTTTAGTAGAGACGAGGTTTCACCATGTTGGCCAGGCTTGCCTCGAACTCCTGACCTCAAAGTGATCCACCCGCCTTGGCCTCCCAAAGTGCTGGGATTACAGATGTGAGCCCGGCCATGCCTTTGGATTTTAGGGGCTTCAAGATGTGCCTTAGGATTTATGGGGGGCTTCGTCCATAACTCATCCTGATAGAAGATGACAACTGAGCAAAGTTTTCAAATAGGCTCATGTCAGAAATTTGACTTTCAGAAATCTACTCAATGGGGCCAGCCACGCATAGAAGGTAAAATGTGGCTTACGGAGCCTCGTGTGGGAGTCAACATTAAAACCCAAGTCTTGGTTTTGTTAAAAGGGATTTGTCATTCAAAGAGAGTGGAAGTCTTATTTTAATTCAATAAAATTATCTAAATGTTTTGCTGCTCGGGCTGTAGTTCTAACGTGGCATTGCATAACCACTGTTACATAACCCTCCACAGCTGACAGTCTGTGAACATGTGACCTTCCAGTGACTTACACGGGGCTCCTTTCATTACCATTGCAATAAAAAGAACTTGGTTTTGGCTGTAGCTGCATAATTGATCTGAAAAAAAAAATCACAACAAATAACTATTTCAAATACATTAATCACATGTAACCACATCAAACCCAAACAGGCTTCTATGAGAATGTAGTTTTTGTGGTCTTGTTGCTAGCAATTTAAATACTGATATAAATGAAACACACATATCTACTCTGTTGAAAAAGCAATAAGTCCAGGGCTCCCACTCTCAAGGAGCTAGTGTAGAAGTAGTGTTCAGGGAAGCTAAGGCACAGGGAAGGAAACAATTCCAAAACCACGGGGTGAGCTCCATGAATGAGGTGGGCACTAGGAGAGGACAGATCCAGGGCTGAGGTCCTTGTCACAGAGAAAGACAGTCTCCAGCTTCATCACTGCAGTGAAGGGCACGCGATCTTTATGTGAACAAAGTCTGTCCCAGAACACTTCCAAATACTGCAGGACATGTGGCTCAACATGAGCCAAAAAGACGGTGTCCCCATGCATAGACCTGGGATCCTCTCAATGGGCCAATGTGTAGGAACAGGAAATACTTTTTTTTTTTTTTGAGACAGTCTCACTGTCGCCCAGGCTGAAGTCCAGTGGCACGACGATGGCTTACTGCAACCTCTGCCTCCTGGGTTCTGGCATTTCTCGTACCTCAGCCTCCCGAGTAGCTGGGATTACAGGTATGCACCACCACGCCTGACTAATTTTTGTATTTTTAGTAGAGATGGGGTTTTGCCATGTTGGCCAGGCTGGTTTCGAACTCCTGACCTCAGGTGATCCACCTGCCTTGGCCTCCCAAAGTGCTGGGATTACAGACATGAGCCACTGCACCGGGCCTAGAACAGGAAATACTTCTAACGTAAACTACCATTAGAGGGAAAAATGGTTCCTAAAAGGCAAGAGTAGATAGAATATGTAAGCTACGGACACTATTCAGAGAAAAGGCAGAAGTCCCACACTTTCCTCCATGTGAGGCCCCATGAGATCTGGCCTCAGCCCCCCAGCCCTCTCATCAACTCCTTTTGCTTGTGTGCCAGGGCACTGGCTGCCTCCCCTGCTGGGGTGCTCTTCCTGGTCATCATGTGACTTACTCTCACTGAAGGATTTGGTTAAAGGCCACCCATCTAAAATTGCAAACCCCATCCCGTGCTCCTCCGTAGTGGGGCTGCTGTCTTTCTCTCCATAGCACTCATCTGTTATTCTGCATATTCTAATGACCTGTTTCCAGTCTCCCCTATCCTGGGATATAAGTTCTCTGAGAGGAGGGAGTATGTTTTGCCTCTGGCTGTATTTTAACATATCCAGCAATACTTGTTCAACTAAAACCATCAGAAAGCTGTTCACCGGGCTAATAAGCCAGAGAACGTACAGTACTCTGTTGAAGATTACACTTTCAGAATGGTCATTCTCCCCACTCCCCCGCCCCCACCCAGCAAGTCCACTTTCCCACCAGCTAACAATCAGCACTCTTTTTTTTAAATTTTTTTTCTTGAGATGGAGTCTTGCTCTGTCGCCAGGCTGGAGTGCAGTGGCACAATCCCGGCTCACTGCAACCTCTGCCTCCCAGGTTTAAGAGATTCTCCTGCCTCAGCCTCCCGAGTAGTTGGGATTACAGGCGTGCGCCACTACGCCCGGCTAATTTTTGTACTTTTAATAGAGACGGGGTTTCACCATGTTGGCCAGGATGGTCTTGATCTCTTGACCTTGTGATCCGCCCGCCTCGGCCTCCCAAAGTGCTGGGATTACAGGCGTGAGCCACCGTGCCCGGCCACAATCAGCACTCTTAACTGTGCTGGCTTTGTGCAAACTTTGTTTGGTCTTGATAAGTACCTGTCAATTTCAAGTTATAAGCAATGTTCATGCCAGAGACACTTCTAAACCCTTAATGCACACTGTCTGGGACTTCAAATACTGGTACGTGTTAACACTGGATTCCTTACAAAGAAAATCTTTCCCGATGTTCTCACCAGCTGGCACTGGGAGTACATTGGAACGGAGAAATGTATTAGAACACGCTCTTATCTCCACGTGCAGTGCCTGTGCTTGGTTCCTGACATGATAAACGCTTCCAAGGAAAGCACTTATCACGAACCAAGACACCTGGACTGATTCCACTGGGACAACCGGACAGATTCGTAACTAAGAGCCCAGCCCCGCAGATGAATCTTCTGCATAACTTTTTGGTGACAGAAAGTCTTGGCTAAATTACACAAATCAAAACAAAACAAAAAAACCCCAAAATCCAAACTCTGTACCAAGTTACAACAGACATAACTTTTTGGTCACAGAAAGTCTTGGCTAAATTACACAAATCAAAACAGAACAAAAAAGCCCCAAAACCCAAACTCTATACCAAGTTACATCAGAGAACACAGTCTGGTGTTGGATTACATCCTCTAGTGGACGAAGAGAGAAATTCAAAATCTTGACTTAACTGTTCTTTAATTTCTATACCTTTTCTGATACAGGGCTTGTGTCCCACGGTGACTTTTTTTTTTTGAGATGGAGTCTCACTGTCACCCAGGCTGGAGTGTAGTGGCGCTATCTCGGCTCACTGCAACCGCTGCCTCCCAGGTTCATGCGGTTCTCCTGCCTCAGCCTCCCGAGTAGCTGGGATTATAGGTACGCAACATAACGCCTGGCTAATTTTTGTATTTTTAGTAGAGACAGGGTTTCAGCATGTTGGCCAGGCTGGTCTCGAACTCTTGACCTCAGGTGATCCGCCTGCCTTGGCCCAAAGTGCTGGGATTACAGGTTTGAGCCACCACACCCAGCCTCATAGTGATTTTTAACCTTAAATACAACTTCTTAACCACATATTTAATTATCCATTGCTAATATTGAAAGCACCATCTGTAGCCAGGCGTGATGGCTCATGCCTGTGATTCCAACACTTTGGGAGGCTGAGGTGGGAGGATCACCTGAGCCCAGGAGTTCAAGACCAGTCTGGGCAAGACAGTGAGACCTCATCTCTATTTAAAAAAAAAAAAAAAAAAAAGACTGACTGCAAGGAGCTGGAACTGAATGACAGCAGGAGACAGCCAAGGCCAGGGAATGTTCCTGACAGCCACACAAAACCTTCCTAGGCCTCCACCCATGGAGTCTAGGCCTCCCTCCCATCACCCAGAAAGATGCCCAGCATGCCAGTCCTGTGTAGGAGGAGCGCGCCCATTACTGTGTAGGAGAATTAGTGAAGGCTGTTTATTTATTTCAGTAATTAGTTAATTTTTTTTTTTTGAGACAAAGTCTTGCTCTGTCTTCTAGGCTGGAGTGCAGTGGTGTGACCTTGGCTCACCGAAACCTCTGTCTCCTGGGTTCAACTGATTCTCATGCCTCAGCCTCCCGAGCAGCTGGGATTACAGGTGCCTGCCACGACACCTGGTTGAATTTTGTATTTTTAGTAGAGATGGGGTTTCACCATGTTGGTCAGGCTGCTTTCGAACTCCTGACCACCCGCCTCGGCCTCCTAAAGTGCTGGGATTACAGGCGCAAGCCACCATGCCCAGCCAATGAAGGCTCTTCATTGTCTTGGGGTCTAGTGACAGAGAAAAGGCAAGCAGGTTCATTGTTAAGGAGCCACTTTCAGGCAGTGTGTCTGCAGACACTTCATGCAGAGACAAGGTGGCACCCTGAAGGTGGAGGATTCCTGGGAAGGTTCAGCCTCAGCTTCTGTCACTGCCTTGGGACACTCATTCCCATCCTGTCCTGATTTCCCTGTTACTGGCAGACTCTTCTGCCTTAAGAGCTTGCAGACCAACAATGACCTCTTGGAGACTCAGGCACTCTCCTCGGGGTGATAATGAGGAAAGCTCTCCTAAGTATCAACAGCTCTGTCCATTTTCCACGCTATAAATAAGATGTTACTGCTCAGGGGAGCCTAGGATCTAATCCTTCCAATCAAACTCCCAAACCAAGATTGAACCAACTCCTCGAGGAACTGTGCACATGGGCAGCAGCTGCTTGCAAAGACTCATATTCCAAGGACAGACAAGTCACCCCCAGCCCCTGTGGGGAAGCCGGCCTTCTGCATACAGGAAAGACACCACACAGGAGAACGAGTCAGTAACTGGGAATCAAAGTGGTTTATTCCAGAAATGTCAATATACACTTTTTTTTTCCCCAGTATATATCACATCTTAACACAATATATTACTTTGGGCAATTAATACATTTCCTTCCTCTAAAGACAAGCATGCAGAGGAGAATGTAGGTAACTGTTTATCACAGGGTATACACTCTTGTGAGTGGCCCAAATTGTGCAAACAAGGAGGTAAAAAAACAACAGCCTGGCTGGGCGCAGTGGCTCATGTCTGTAATCCCAGCACTTTGGGAGGCCGAGGCGGGCGGATCACCTGAGGTCAGGAGTTCAAGACCAGCCTGGCCAACATGTGAAACCCTGTCTCTACTAAAAATAAAAAATTAGCTGGTTGTGGGGGCATGTGCCTGTAATCCCAGTTACTTGGGAGGCTGAGGCAGGAGAATCGCTTGAACCTGGGAGGTGGAGGTTCTGCAGTGAGCCAAGATCATGCCACTGCACTCCAGCCTGGCGACAGAGTGAGACTCCATCGCAAAGACAAAAAACAAACAAAAAAAACGACAGCCTACAGTAAGTCTTACCTCGGCTCTCCTGCCCTGGGAGCAGGAAGGCATCTTTCCGTGGCAAATAGCACCCGTCAAGACCCCAAACCTTCCTCTACTGCAGCACCCCAGGGAATTTCACAGCTGAAAATGCTTTGTGCCGGGCGCGGTAGCTCATACCTGTAATCCCAGCACTTTGGGAGGCCAAGGCAGGTGGATCACCTGAGGTCAGGAGTTCGAGACCAGCCTGGCCAACATGGTGAAACCTCGTCTCTACTAAAAATACAAACAATTAGCTGGGCGTTGTGGCAGGCACCTGTAATCCCATCACTTGAACCCGGGAGGCGGAGGATGCAGTGAGCCGAGGTCACACCACCGCACTCCAGCCTGGGCCACAAGAGCGAAACTCTGTCTCAAAAACAAAAACAAACAAACAAAAAATGCTTTGAAAGAGGAGAAAGGTGACAACAACATAGCTACCACGTCTAAAGTGCTCCCAGGCCCCAGCCCAAACCCCACAGCCCTCTCCTGAGTGCTTTATAGGATTTGCTCATTTAACCCTCAAATGTACCAATCTGGGCCAGTGCAGTGGCTCATGCCTGTCACCCCAGCATATTTGAAGGCTGAGGCAGGAAAACTGAGGCCAAGAGCTTGAGACCAGCCTATAGGCAACATAGTGAGACTCTGTCCCTTATTAAAACAAAAAAAGCACCAATCTGGTGGGAGGCATGGTCATCTTCAGTGTCCCCATCTTACTGAAGAAGTAATGGAGGTACAAACAGGGAGGGACCTGCCCGAGGTCCAGCAGGCTGGTGGGGAGCTGGGATCAGAAACCCCACGTGGACAACGTGGTGGCCTCCGCCTCTAAGTGCTAAGGAGGCACTTGCTGGGTCGTTTGAACCCACCTGCTGCTGCGCTCCCAAAACTTCCCATGGGACCAGGCCTCCCCTCTGCAGCCAAAGTTCCTTTAGATGATGAGAGGCTACACACTCAGACACATGGCCGGCGGGCACAGGAACCACAGAGTATGTGGTCACCTTGGCGTGTATCTATTTATAGCCATACACAACAGGGTCTTAAGCAGTCACCATTCAAAAAATATGTGGTCAAGAACTAAACCAAACAAACCTGGATGATCCTAGGCCAAAACAATTCCTTTCCAGGCACACAGGCCCAGCAGAGACAAAACCAGATATTCATTCATCACACACACAAGTCTTCCAGAAACTGACCTGCAAAGAAAAGTATATGCATCAGTTCTTATTCTACTTTACCAAGTCTGAATATTTAAAACTGTGAGCTCCATGAGATACTCTCTAAAATCTAAAATCCACCTTCCACCTAGAACATGACATGGGAGGTACCCTGGGATTCTGCCCTGCGGGGAATGGGCCCCCAGCCACCCCTCATTCTTCCAAGTCTACAGGTACCACTGAGCCAAGGGCTGGTCACCTCCTACTCAAAGACATCACAAGGACTTCCTAACCTCATCTTTCCCTTTCTTTTTTTTTTTTTTTTTTTTTTGAGACGGAGTTTCACTCTTTTTAGCCCAGGCTGGAGTGTGCAATGGCGTGATCTCGGCTCACCGCAACCTCCGCCTCCCGGGTTCAAGCAATTCTCCTGCCTCAGCCTCTTGAGTAGCTGAGATTACAGGCATGTGCCACCACGCCCAGCTAATTTTGTATTTTTAGTAAAGACGGGGTTTCTCCATGTTGGTCAGGCTGGTCTTGAACTCCCGACCTCAGGTGATCCGCCCGCCTCAGCCTCCCAAAGTGCTGGGATTACAGGTGTGAGCCACCACGCCCGGCTCTAACCCATCTTTCTCCAGGCTGTCATCTGTAGACCACCACGTTGCCCTTAGAAACCTGCTTGTTAAAAAAGCCACTTGAACTTTGACATTCAAGGGCCCTACAACCTGGTTATCAACCTACATATTCCAACTTTACTTTTCTTCCCTTCCCTCCAGCCACATATTACTCAGTACAGCTCTCACTAGGGAGCTCCCCACATTCTTCCATGCTTCCCGCCTTTTGTCACATTTCAGCAGATGGAAACAGCCTTTACTTCCCCGAGAGGGTCCCATCCCCTGAAGGGTTCAACAGAAAATGTCCTTTCCTGTTGTTCCATAGTGCCTACTGACATCGCTAGATTCTAAGCCCCTAACACCAGGGACCATACTTTTCTTTATATTCCCTCCACGGCGTATGACTCAATGTGCTTACCCCTGTAGGTACTTAATTGCACTGATGATGTCACTTCTCAATCTGTGTGCTAACAAAAAACAGGCAAAGACAGAAGGAAGACGCTGCTTCATGAAGGAGCAGGCTAAACTACAGCCGAGAAAATCAATATTACATTCCATAAACAGGCCAGGTGTAGTGGCTCAGGCCTGTAATCCCAGCACTTTGGGAGGCTAAGGCAGGCGGATCACCTGAAGTCAGTTCAAGACCAGCGTGGCCAAAATGGCGAAACCCCGTCTCTACTAAAAACACAAAAATTAGCCGGGTGTGATGGCATGTGCCTGTAATCCCAGCTATTTGGGAGGCTGAGGCAGAAGAATCGCTTGAACCCGGGAGGCGGAGGTTGCAGTGAGCTGAGATCGCACCACTGCACTCAGCCTGGGCAACAGAATAAGACTCCTTCTCAAAAAAAAAAAAAAAATTTCATAAACTGTTATTGTCTCTGTTGGAGACCTCCAGGAGAAATCAACATGAAGGTTCTCCCAGAAGCATAATCTCAACCTTCAGCCAAGACGGGAGGAAGAGCAGGAGATGCAAAAGGGTTCTGTGTGCCACGACTCCCGGAAAGGTGGCACTGCTCCCTCTAATGCACTGTAGACCAACACAGCAGCCACTAGCCACATGTGACTATTTACAGTTAAAATAAAAAATGTGGACTCACAGTCACCAAATGCTCAACAGCTACATGTGGCTTGCGGCTGCTCTGGATAGCATAAAATGGTCAGATAGGCCATTTCCATCATTGCAGAAAGTGCTGCTGGACAGCACATCATCTATGTTCTGCACATAGTGCTCTTTTGCAATTACAGATTTGTCTGTATCATCCTCTTACATAAAACCCATAAAGGGGCAGGGCAAGGTGGTTCAAGCCTGTAATCCCAGCACTTTGGGAGGCCGAGGTGAGCAGATCACCAGAGGTCAGGAGTCTGAGACCAGCCTGGCCAACGTGATGAAACCCCGTCTCTACTAAAAATACAAAAATTAGCCGGGCATGGTGGCGTGCGCCTGTAATCTCAGCTATTTGGGAGGCTGAGGCAGGAGAATCGCTTGAATCTGGGAGGTGGAGGTTGCAGTGAGCCAAGATCACACCACTGCACTCCAACCTGGGAGACAGAGCAAGCTCCATCTCAAACAAAACAAAACAAAACAAAAACCCCAAAAATCCCATAATGGTATCCCATTATTCTTAGGCCAAAGACCAACATCCTCGCCTGAGCCGCAAGGCCCTGTATGGCCTGGCCTTCCCTATCTTTTTTTTTTTTTTTTGAGACAGGGTCTCACTCTGTCACCCAGGATGGACTGCAGTGGCACCATCATGACTCACTGCAGCTTTAAGCCCCCCACCTCAGCCTCCCAAGTAGCTGGGATCACTGGCATGGGTCACCACACCCAGCTTACTTTTTTGATTTTGCATAGAGACAAGGTCTCGTGTTACCCAGGCTGATCTTGAACTCCTTGGCTCAAGCAATCTTCCAGCCTCAGCCTCCAAAAGTGCTGTGATTACAGGTGTGAGCCACCGCGCCCAGCTCTTCACCTTTTTAGCTTCATTTCCCACCATTCTCCACTTTGCTTTCTGGGCTACAAAGGCCTTCTTTCAGTTCCTTCACCAGCTGCACCTGCTGGGGCACTGTGCCCAGCAAACTTTTACCCATCCTTCAGATTCTAGCTCGAGGGTTTCATCCTCAGAAAAGCCTTCTAGTCTCCATCGGATCTTTTTTTTTTTTTTTTTTAATAATTAAAAAACATAGAAATGAGGTCTTACTATGTTGCCCAGGCTGGTCGCGAACTCCTGAGCTCAAGTGATCCTCCCACCTTGGCACCCCAAAGTGCTCAGATTACAGGTGTGAGCCACCACACCCGCCAGATCCTTGGGATATATGTTCTTACGTTCCCTTCCTTCAGAGCACTCACTTTGGCTTGAATTATGCCCTTTTTTTTTTTTTTGAGATGGAGTCTTGCTCTGTCACCCAGGCTGCAGTATAGTGGCGCGATCTCGGCTCACTGGAACCTCCACCTCCCGGGTTCAAGCGATTCTCCTGCCTCAGCCTCTTGGGATTACAGGCATATGCCACTGCACCCAGCTAATTTCATGTTGGCCAGGCTGGTCTTGAACTGTTGACCTCAGATGATCTGCCTGCCTCGGCCTCCCAAAGTGTTGGGATTACAGGCATTAACCACGGTGCCCGGCCTGAATTATGACTTTTTTTTTTTTTTCTCGGAGTTTTGCTCTTGTTGCCCAGGCTGGAGTGCAGTGGTGTGTGTGATCTCGGCTCCCTGCAACCTCTCCACCTCCTGGGTTCAAGCGATTCTCCTGCCTCAGCCTCCTGAGTAGCTGGGATTACAGGCACATGCCACCATGCCCAGCTAATTTTTTGTATTTTTAGTAGAAATGGGGTTTCATCATGTTGGCCAGACTGGTCTCGAACTCCTGACATCAGGTGATCCACCCGCCTCGGCCTCCCAAAGTGCTGGGATTACAGGCATGAGCCACTGCACCTGGCTGAATTATGCCCTCTTAAGTGTGATCATTTAACCTTGTCTCCCTAACTGGGTTGTAGTTCCCAGAGAACAAGGGCCATGACTGTTTTCTTCATCTCTGTATCCGTAACATTTAACATGATGTCAGGCCAATGTATCAACAAATGTTTATTGAATGAAAGACATGACAGTAACATTGTTTATGAAGTTTTGAAAAGCAAGGGCTCTCTGATACTAACTACAACCATTTTCTTTAAACGTAGGTCCTGTTTGCAGTATCATACATGATCATCAAACTGCTGCTAGAATGCTCACACCTGTTACTGCAAATTCAAAACCCAGGAAAGACTTCTTCCGGGAATTTACTTTAGGTCAGGGTTGGGCTGCCTGGTACCATGCTGCACCCACAACTTGGCAGGCTCAACAACACAGGAGCCTTTCCCCAGACCGTCTGACCTGAACACTTTGTCACCATGCTTGACATACCTGGATGCCCTGCTGAGGTCACTTCGAATGCTCTCATCAACGAGGGGCAGGAAGAAAATAGTGGTTGCTGCATGTTTTCAGCCAATCGTCGGGGGATATTTCTCATTTTCTGTTGAAACCTTGGGGGAAAAAGTAACATAATGTGCTTTAAAAGGACAAAAGTCATTCGACGCTTACCACACTCCTAGAAACCTGGGCTAACCCAGCCAGGGACCCCAATGCTTTTCTGCTGGCTACGGGGCCTCCCTACAGCTCCTCATTCCAATTTCGGTGGCTGTGTGCGGACCAAGTTCTCTTTTGTCGCCTCCCGTCCAAGCCCTACTTGCGATGGGAGAAGCCGTCCCCGAAATCCCGGGCGCCGTGGAGGGGGTCTGGTCTCTGGGTCTCTGGTCACCCGGTCAGTGCCTCCAGCCCCCGGCAGAGCTCTGTTATCGTCCCGGGGCGAGCCCAATTCCGCAGGCTAGGGCCGATGGCGGCGGAACTGTGGTCAGGGCTGCCCTGAGTCATCCTGCGGACTGCGAGTCGGCGACCACCAGGAGGCGAGAGCGGGTTTCCCCTCCAACAGGCCAAAGCACGTGTCTCCACTTACTTCCCACTCCCCTGGGCGGAAGTAGCTCCGTCAGCAACTTCCGGCCGGAAGTGATAACTTACCATAGAGATAGCAGCTAGAGAGTCGATGACTTTGGATCTGGGTCATCCAAGCCGGACTTAAAGGGGTCGCAGCCCGCGCGGTGTGATTAATGGGGACTAGAGCCTGGGCCAGAGGGGAGGGCCCTGGAGCGAGGGAATCAGAAGGAACATCCCATTTCTTGAAAGCCCGCTGGGTTCCTGGAGCCGTGAAAGCATTATCTCTCTACTCCTCATGCAACCCTCTGAATTAAGTGCAAAGACCACTCCTGTCTTGTAGATGAGAAGTGGGGCGCTCCGGAGATGCTTGGTTACTTTTCCAAGCACAGCCGGCCAGGAAGTGGCAGAGCTGGGTTCACACCTAAGTCATTTCTGCTCCAAACCCAATGCCCTTTCCACCACCCCAGGTGGCAGGAAGGAGAAAGCTCAAGAGCAGAGGGGCTACGTGAAGATGCAGGCCGTCCTGGCCTATTGGGATACCCCCTGAAAAGCCTATTGCTCCAAAAGACCTGGTAGATTCCCGACAGTTCACTGTCTGTGGGCACAGGAAGCAACGAACAGGAATCTTGCTCTGAGTCTAATCCCACAACCAAGGAAGAATTGCTGGACCTTGTCTCAGAGGCGTTTGAACCAGAGCAACTCCATCTTGAATAGGGGCTGGGTAAAATAAAGCTGAGACCTACTTGGATGCATTGCTAGGTCATACAGCTCATAAAGACCTTGCTGATCAAACAGGCTGCAGTAAAGAAGACGGCCAAAATCCTCCAAAACCAAGATGGCTATGAGAGTGACCTCTGGTTGCCCTCACTGGTACACGCCCACCAGCGCCATGACAGTTTACAAATGCCGTGGCAACGTCAGGAAGTTACCCTACATGGTCTAAAAAGGGGAGGCATGAATAATCCACCCCTTGTTTAACATATCACCAAGAAATAACCATTAAAAAAAAAAGGCCAGGTACACTTTGGGAGGCCGAGGCAGATGGATCACTTGATGTTGGGAGTTCGAAACCAGCCTGACCAACCTGGTGAAACTCCATCTCTACTAAAAATACAAAATTAGCCAGGTGTGGTGGCACACACTTGTAATCCCAGCTACTTGGGAGTCTGAGGCAGGAGAATCGCTTGAACCCAGGAGGCGGAGGGTGCAGTGAGCCAAGACTGCACCACTGAGGCCAGGCATGGTGGCTCGACCCTGTAATTCCAGCACTTTGGGAGGCCAAGGCGGGCAGATCACCTGTGGTCGGGAGTTTGAGACCAGCCTGACCGACATGGAGAAACCCCGTCTCTACTAAAATTACAAAAAATTAGCCAGGCGTGGTGGTGCATGCCTGTAATCCCAGCTACTTGGGAGGCTGAGGCAAGAGAATTGCTTGAACCAGGCAGGTGGAGGTTGCGGTGAGCCGAGATTGCGCCATTGCACTCTAGCCTGGGCAACAACAGAGAAACTCCGTCTCAAAAAATAAAATAAAATAAAATAAAATAAAGACCGTGCCACTGCACTCCAGCTTGGGTGACAGAGCGAGATTTTTATGACCGCACCTCCTTCACAATGTCTTTGAGTTGTCTCACTCACATTCAACAATACATACTGTTAGTTTTATTAACTTGGAAATATTTAACTTACATTTTTGTTTTGATGGAGGAGCTACAGTTCTGTTTTGTTTTACCATATTTCATGAGTTTACATAAGAATGAAAGGATATAATTGTATAATCAGCTTAACTGGAGTAAACAGGTTTGTAAACAACGCAAGTGGCTTCAGGCAGGCATTGGGCTCACCTGGTTGGAGCAGAAGCCGGGTGCCCCAGGAGGGGAGCCTCCAGGTTTCTTTTGTGTGGGTGATCCCCGTCAGTACCACTTGGAGTGGGAGAGGGACTTTTCTCAAAGGAAGCAGGGGTGAAGGCGTCCTGGACAGGCGAAAACTACAGGCGTCTACTACATGGCCCTACCTCTGCCCCCTGGTGGTGGCTCTTGGTGGCGCTGCTGACCACAGGTGATGTTAGAAACAAGCCAGCCGTGCACCTAGCAGGTCTTCTCCGGGGCTGCCTGTCTGACCTGCAGGATAGAGTCCACACGATTGCTTTCCCCCTCTTTTTCCATTTCTGCTTCATTAGGAAAAAACAAAACTCAACAAATCACCCTTACCTGTCCTGGCCCTGTTGATCTGACCGCCTTTCATCACCTTGGTGCCCACACAGACCCCTGCTCCAGCCATTCTGCCCAGCCCAGCTCCCAGACACTCCGCGCATCCGCACTCCAGCAGAGCACACCTGCCCTTTGAAGCCAGCTCTGGTCCCAGGTGACAGTTTCTTCTCACATGCTCTCCGGTGCCAATTGTTTGACATATCCTGTGTCCCCTGGGCTATTTGTTACACACCTTTCGATGAACACATCTGGTCTCTGTTGAGTGGGGCTGTTCTCTCTAAAGGCAGGGTGTTGTCAGCATCCTCAGCCTTATCGGGAAGATGAGGTCTGCAGCAGGAACCTTTGCCCCCACCTCCCCAGACGAGAGAGGATGAATCCCCCGGAGCTGGGAGGGCTGCAGGAAACAGAGATACACATCTCCTTCCTGGCCAGATGCTTGCTACATCACAGACCCTGCCAGCAGGTCCTGGCACTGCTGCCAGAGAGAATGTGGTGAGAGGCCAGGCATGATGGCTCATGCCTATAATCCCAGCACTTTGGGAGGCTGAGCAGGTGGATCACCTGAGGTCAGGAGTTCAAGACCAGTCTGGCCAACATGGTGAAACCCTGTTTCTACTAAAAATACAAAAATTAGCTGAGTGTGGCAGTGGGTGCCTGTAGTCCCAGCTACTCAGGAGGCTGAGGCAGGAGAATTGCTTGAACCCAGGAAGGGGAGGTTGCCGTGAGCAGAGATCGCACCATTGCACTCCAGCCTGGGTGACAAGAGCGAAACTCCATCTCAAAAAAAAAGAAAGAAAGAAAAGAAAAAGACAAAAAAGAAAGCATAGGGAAGCCGGGCATGGTGGCTCACACCTGTAATCCCAACACTTTGGGAGGCCGAGGCTGGTGGATCACTTGAGGTGAGGAGTTCAAGACCAGCCTGGCCAACACAGTGAAACCCCGTCTCTACTAAAAATACAAAAATTAGCCGAGTATGGCAGCAGGCGCCTGTAGTCCCAGCTACTCGGGAGGTTGAGGCAGGAGAATCACTTGAACCCAGGAGGCGGAGGTTGCAGTGAGCTGAGATTGTGCAACTGCACTCCAGCCTGGGTGACACAGAAAGACTCTGTCTCAAAAAATACATAAATAAATAGTTTTGTTACAATTTTGTATGCAGGGAGTCAGGGACACACTTATATAAACATTTTCTTTCTTTCTTTTTTTGGGTTTTTTTTTTTTTTTTTTTTTGAGAGAGAGTCTTGCTTTGTCACCCAGGCTGGAGTGCAATGGTGCGATCTTGACTCACTGCAACTTTCACCTCCTGGGTTCAAGCGATTCTCCTGCCTCAGCCTCCCGAGTAGCTAGGATTACAGGCATGCGCCACCACGCTTAGTTAATTTTTATATTTTTAGTAGAGATGGGGGTTTCACCAGGTTGGCCACGCTGGTCTTGAACTCCTTACCTTAAGTGATCCGCCTGCCTCAGCCTCCCAAAGTGCTGGGATTACAGGTGTGAGCCACCGCGCCCCGCTAAAAGTTTTCTTCGTTGATTTTGTGAAATTCAAATATAACCCGTGTTCTATATTTTATCTGGCAGCCCTAATTGCAAGGCAAAAGCCACAGTATCCCCCTGCACAGGGCTGAGAGGAAGCAGGTGGGGGCAGGAGAGGTGCCGGCAGTTTGCAGATGTGCAGAGCTAGTGGAAGACATTCCTCAAAGTCCCCATGGTTCAGGAACCCACTTTATTTATGTTTTACTTACTTTAATTTTTTTTTTTTTTGAGACGGTCTCACTCTATCGCTCAGGCTGGAGTACAGTGGCACAATCAGGGATCACTGCAGTCTTGATCTCCTGGGCTGAAGGGATATTCCCGCTTCAGCACCCAACCCCACCCCTGGCCCCAGCAGCTGGGACTACAGGCACGTGCCACCATGCCCAGCTAATGTTTTTTCTTTTTTTCTTTTTTTTTTTGAGACAGAGTTTTGAGAGTTTTGCTCTTGCTGCCCAGGCTGGAGTGCAATGGTACAATCTCAGCTCACTGCAACCTCCGCCTCCTGGGTTCAAGTGATTCTCCTGCCTCAGCCTCCATGCACCACCATGCCCAGCTAATTTTTTGTATTTAGTAGAGACGGGGTTTCACCATGTTGGTCAGGCTGGTCTCGAACTCCTGACCTCAGGTGATCCACCCACCTTGGCCTCGCAAAATGTTGGGATTACAGGCATGAGTCACTGCACCTGGCCTATTTTTTATTTTATTTTTTTTTAATTTTTATTTTAGTAGAGACAAGAAGGTCTCACTATGTTGCTGGTCTCAAACTCCTGAGCTCAAGAGATCCTCCCACCTCAGCCTCCTAAAGTGCTGGCAATATGGGTGTGAGCCACTGCGTCCGGCCTCAGGACCCCATTTTAAAGAACAGGCATCCCAGTCCTAGGGCCAGCCACAAGCCCTCCACAGCAAAGGCTTGGCAGCCTGTGGCTGGCAGCTCCTGATGTTTTGCTCACCTATGCAGAGGTGGCCACGGGGCTGCTGCCTGGCATCTGGAATGCTTTTGAGGGGAGGCAGAGGAGAGCAGGGGGGTTGGGTTACAGTGTGTGGTGCTAACCATTCCACAGTCGTTTTGAGCTCTGCAGGGTGGTGGCTGGCAGGACCCATTGAGGAACCAGGGCCAGGAAGCAGGCCTTCCTCTGGCCCTGATAGCTCTGGGTAGTGCTGGGCTCAGGCTGCAGCTGTGCCTACAGCTGTCAGGCAGGAACCTGACTCTCAGAGGCACCTGTGTGCAGGAGCCTCCTGTGGTTTGAGGCCAAAGCTCATGCACCACCCCTGCCCTCTGATGCTAAGTGACCTTATCGAGTCCTCATATAACCCAGGAGGTGGCTGCCACTAATAGTTTTCCATTTTACAGATGGGGACTCGATAAGGTCACGTTGTTAGAGCCTCTAGCCATGGTAACTACGTACCACAAGGGAGCACTGCAGGAGGGCAGCCAAGCTGTGCCAGGGAACACCATGGGGAGGGCCTCTGTCCAGGTGTCTGCGTCTGTTTTGTGCGGCTATCACAGGATACCTGAGACTGGGTTATTTATAAAGAAAGGAAATTTAGGCCAGGCATGGTGGCTCACACCTGTAATCCCAGCACTTTGGGAGGCTCAGGCAGGTGGATCACCTGAGGTCAGGAGTTCAGGACCAGCCTGGCCAACATGGTGAAACTCCGTCTCTACTAAAAATACAAAAATTAGCCGGGAGTAGGGGTGTGCTCCTGTAATCCAGGTACTCAGGAGGATAAAGCATGAAAGTCGCTTGAACCCGGGAGGCAGAGGTTGCAGTGAGCCAAGATTGCACCACTGCACTCCAGCCTGGGCAACAAGAGCGAAACTGTCTCAAAAAAAAAAAAAAAGGGAAATTTATTTCTCACAGTTCTAGAGGCTGGGAAGTCCAAGTTCAAGCCTCCACTATCTGGTGAGGGCCTTCCTGCTGTGTCCTCACAGGCAAAGATGGAAGGGGGAACTCACTTCTTTAAGTCTTTTTTTTTTTTTTTTAAGACGGAGTCTCGCTCTGTCACCCAGGCTGGAGTGCAGTGGTGCAATCTTGGCTCACTGCAAGCTCTGCCTCCCAGGTTCACACCATTCTCCTGCCTCAGCCTCCCAAGTAGCTGGGACTACAGGCGTGCACCACCACACCCAGCTAATTTTTGTATTTTTGGTAGAGGTGGGGTTTCACTGTGTTGGCCAGGCTGGTCTTGAACCCCTGATCTCAGGTGATCTGCCCACCTCGGCTTCCCAAAGTGCTGGGATTACAGGCATGAGCCACCGTGCCTGGCCCTTAAATCCTTTTTATAGCAACATTAATCCATTAGCCTCTACCTCACAACACTGTTGCATTAAGGATTAAGTTTCCAACAGATGACTTTTGGGGAACATATTTAGGCCATAGCACTAAGTGAGCACTGGACTGGCTTCAAATCCCCCAGATCTCCAGCTTTCCCACTCATGCATGTTCTCTCTCTCCGTCCCTCCCTCTTCTAAAGTAAGTTTACTAACCTCTTGCCTCAGTTACTTTTTCTGTAAAATGGGAATCATAATTCATAATCTCACATGATTTCTGAGGATTCAGTGAGGATTGACGTGTAAAGCACTCAGAAGTCATGTGAGAAGTGCTGGCTCTCCTAGGGAGGTAGACAGGAGCCTCTGGGGTGCCCTGGTTAAATAGTCACTGTTTTTCACAGTTCAGAAAAGCCCTCAACATCACAGGCTCATGGGACCCCATTAAGAGCCTGCATCATGGCTTTGGGGATGGATCTATTTGATTCCAGTGGGGGCAGCCCCATCCAATAGAAATATAATGCAGGCCACATAAGTCATTTTAGATTTTCTGGTAGTCACAGTAAACAATACAAAGAAACAGATGATGTTAATTTTAAGGACACGCATGGTGGCTCACACCCGTAATCCAGCACTTTGGGAGACTGAGGTGGGTGGATCACTTGAGGTCAGGAGTTCAAGACCAACCTGGGCAACCTGGTGAAACCCCATCTGTACTCAAAATACAAAAATTAGCCAGGCATGGTAGCACACGCTTGTAATCCCAGCTACTCAGGAGGCTGAGGCGGGAGAATTGCTTGACCTCGGAGATGGAGGTTGCAGTGCGCCAAGATCATGCCACTGCACTCCAGCCTGGGTGACAGAGCAAGACTCTGTCTCAAAAAAAGAAAAGAAAAGAAAAAGAAACAGGTGGCTCACATCTGTAATCCCAGCACTTTGGGAGGCTGAAGTGGACAGATCACTTGAGACCATGAGTTTAAGACCAGCCTAGCTGACATGATGAAACCCCGTCTCTAATAAAAATACAAAAACTAGCCAGGCATGGTGGCACACACTTGTAATCCCAGCTACTCAGGAGGTTGAGGTATGAGAATTGCTTGAACCTGGGAGTCAGAGGTTGCAGTGAGCTAAGATTGCACCATTGCACTTAAGCCTGGGCAACAGAGCAAGACTCTGTCTCAAAAAATTTTTTTTAAACTTTATTTTATTTAAGAGATAAAAATATGATCATAACATGTAATCATATAAAAACTGTTAGACCAATTTTACTTTCTTTTCTGTATTAAGTCAGAAATTGGTGTGTGGTTCCTGCTTATGACACCTCTCAATTCACGCTGACCGCAGGTCAGGGGCTTAGTAGCCACATGGGGCTCATGGCTGCCACAGTGGATGGCGCAGAGCTAGGAGCTTTTGTCTCCCCAAGCCCAATCCTTGAAATCTTGGGATATAAAGGAAGGAAGGGAGGGAGGAAATTGGCATGATCGCCTCGGCTGGCCAGGTATCTGGCTTTGTGCTAGTTATTTTCCTGTGCAGTATGTCATTTAACTTCAAAGCAACCCTAGGGATGAGGTATTGTTGTGCTTATGTTTTAGTTTGTTATTTTTTATTTTTATTTTTATTTGAGACAGAGTCTTGCTCTGTCACCCAGGCTGGAGTGCAGTGGTGTGATCTCGGCTCACTGCAACCTCCGCCTCCCGCCTCCCAGGTTCAAGTGATTCTCCTGCCTCAGCCTACTCGGGAGGCGCACACTGCCACACCTGGCTAATTTTTTTTTTTTTTTTTGTATTTTAGTAAAGGAGGGGTTTCACCATGTTGGCCAGGCTGGTCTGGAACTCCTGAGCTCACACAATCCACCCACCTTGGCCTCCCAAAGTGCTAGGATTACAGGCATGAGCCACTGCGCGCACCCTGTGCTTATGTTTTTTTTTGTTTGTTTTGTTTTTGTTTTATTTTTGAGACAGAGTCTCGCTGTGTTGCCAGGCTGGAGTGCAATGGTGCGATCTCAGCTCACTGCAACCTCCGCCTCCTGGGCTCAAGCAACTCTCCTGCCTCAGCCTCCCAAGTGAATGGGATTACAGGTGCATGCCACCACGCCCAGCTAATTTTTGTGTTTTGAGTAGAGACGGGGTTTCACCATGTTGGCCAGGATGGTCTAGAACTCCTGACCTCAGGTGATCCTCCCACCTCAGCCTCCCAAAGTGCTGGGATTACAGGTGTGAGCCACTGCACCTGGCCATGTTTTAAAGGCTCAGAAAGACTAAGTGACTTGCTTGAGGCCACCCAGGAAACAAGAAATATGGTCAATATTTTAAGCTTCCAGGCCAGGCGCGGTGGCTCAGGCCTGTAATCCCAGCACTTTGGGAGGCCGAGCCGGGCAGGTCACGAGGTCAGGAGATCGAGACCATCCTGACTAACACGGTGAAACCCTGTCTCTAGTAAAAATACAAAAAATTAGCTGGGCGTGGCGGCGGGGGCCTGTAGTCCCAGCTACTCGGGAGGCTGAGGCAGGAGAATGGCGTGAACCTGGGAGGCGGAGCTTGCAGTAAGCCGAGATCGCGCCACTGCACTCCAGCCTGGGTGACAGAGCGAGACTCCATCTCAAAAAAAAAAAAGAAAAAAAAAAGATTTTAAGCTTCCAAATCCCTGATTGCTCCCTATGGTCTGCTGGAATCAATGATGTCCTCAAAGTCATCCCAGTGGCCATTTCTCCAAGCTGGCCATTCCTTTCTACCTGTAACACATTCCTCCCAACTCCCAACTGCCACCCCCTGGCTTCTGGCCCAACAACTTACTCAGGTTGTGTGTTTGTCTGTGTGTGTGTGTGTGTTTTAAGATGGGGTCTTGCTATGTTGCCCAGGCTGGTCTCAAACTCCTGAGCTCAGGCGATCCTCCTGCCTCAGCCTCCCAAGGTGCTGGGATTACAGGTTGCTCAGGGGTTTGGCTGCCAGGATATCTGGCCAATTCCAGTAATGGCCAGTCCTATCCTCCCAGACCATTTCCCTGGGGCTGCTCTTTGGGTGAGACTAGGAGGCCTGGGGAGTTTTGTGATTGCAGCTCTCCCCAGGCTGCAAACTCACCTGGGCAGCTGAAAGCAGACATCTTCGGTTATACTTTCTGTACAAAGATCCAGCTGGGAGCTTAAGTGTCTCCTTATGGTGCCTGGATTTATGCTCTTGCAAAAGGGGCTGGCGGGCACATACAGGCAGCCCCAGAGCCCACCTGCATCATGATTACAAGCTTTCAGGCTGGCAGCTGGTTCGTTACTATTAAAACTATTTATTTAGCCGGGCACTTTAAGAGGCCTCTGTGATTACTGTCACTCGGCGGGACAGCCAGGAGCCAATTTTCTGAGGATGATAGATTTCTTCTCATTTGTTGCTCTCAAGCTGTGGGTTCCTTCCGTGTTGTGGAGCAAATCACAAGATGCTATCTCCTGGGACTCAAAAGGGGGTTTCAAAGCTGCCCTTGGGCTGCCCCATCAGTCACTTCTGCAAAATAGCAGGGACGTTTCAGGAGCCCGAAGAGGCTGCAGTGACTACCCCCTAAGACACAAAGGAAGCCTTTCGAGGAGGAGGGAGAGGTGGGAAGGCTGGGGAGGAGGGTAGAGGACAGCCTGGAGTTCCTGCTTGGATGTCCTCAGAGCTGTGGTTCTCAACGTTGTTTGCACATCAGAATCATCTGGGAGCTTGAAAATAACTGAAGCCAGCTGGGTGTGGTGGCTGACACCTGTAATCTCAGCAGTTTGGGAGGATCACTTGAAGTCAGGAGTTCGAGACCAGCCTGGCCAACATAGTGAAACCCTGTCTCTACTAAAAATACAAAAATTAGCTGGCCATGGTGGCAGGCACCTGTAATCCTAGCTACTCAGGAGGCTAAGGCAGGAGAATCGCTTGAATCCAGGAGGTGGAGGTTGCAGTGAGCCGGAATTGTGCCACTGCACTCCAGCTTGGGTAACGGAGTGAGACTCTGTCTCAAGGAAAAAAAAAAAAAAAAAAAGATACCGAAGCCGGGTACCAAGTACTGACATTCTGATTTTATGGGTGTGGGTGTGGCTTGGGGAGCAGGATGTTTCGAAGCTCCCTGGGTGATTCCAGTGTGCTAGATTAGAGGTGCCCTACATGGTCCTGCAGATGTGTGAACAGACTGGGATAGTCCCCGGTCAGGAGAAATTGTCCAAGACTTGGAGATGGACAAGAGGGATTCTGGGCATGCTTCCCATGGGGTTCAGGGCCGGGTTTCAGGGATTGCCTGTTTACACAGGACTCTGTTTGCTGTCTTTCTGTTGACCAGGCTGTTTTATTTATTTATTTATTTATTTAGAGATGGAGTCTCGCTCTGTCGCCCAGGCTGGAGTGCATTGGCACCATCTCGGCTCACTGCAACCTCCATTTCCTGGGTTCAAGAGAGTCTCCTGCCTCAGCCTCCCGAGTAGCTGGGATTACAGGCATGTGCCACCACGCCCGGCTAATTTTTGTATCTTTAGTAGAGACGGGGTTTCGCCATTTTGGCCAGGCTGGTCTCAAACTCCTGACTTCAGGTGATCTGCCTGCCTTGGCCTCCCATAGTGTTAGAATTACAGGCATGAGCCACTGCACCCAGCCTGACCAGGCTTTTTTAATTCTCTGATAGGGGAGACATTAAATGGTAGAAAATGGAAATAATGATTGTCCATAACAATGTAAATGGATTTTGTCCCACAGAGATACAGTTGGTGTCCGTCCCATAGAAAAGATGACTGTAAACATTACATTTTATTGCCCCGTAGGACACTGACCCACTTGGTATCTATTAGCAAATCCATCCTAGCATTCCTAACTGCATCTGTATATGGCTGATTTTCAAATTCTGTTTTCAACTGCTCTCCACATCTCATTGGTTCCCTCATTAATTCACAAGTTGAATGAAATTATTTACACGTTTATTTTATAGTTGAAAGCCATGTTTGCAACTTTTTGAAAAGTACCATTTGGCTTCCCTCCAGGGAGAGCCATGCCCCTTCCTCCTTAACCCTCCGTGCCCGGTACCCCACCTGGCTGTGGCTCTATCACACAGTACTGTCTCCCCAGCTACGCTAGGGTCCTGGGAACCTGCACTTCATCCTGCTGGTTAGGTCTTGTGACGTCTGTATTCACTGCACCTGGTCCAGGGTCAGGGAAAGAGGAGGTGCTCAATAAATGTTTCTGGAGAGCCTCGCCCCATGGGTCACCAGCATGGATTACCCAGGTCACTTCATCAGCACCCAATTCACTGTGGGTTTTTTTTATTTTTTGAGACAGAGTCTCACTCTGTCACCCAGGCTGGAGTGCAGTGGCTCAATCTCAGCTCACTGCAAGTTCCGCCTCCCGGGTTCAAATGATTCTCCTGCCTCAACCTCCTGAGTAGCTGGGACTACAGGCACCTGCCATCACGCCCAGCTAATTTTTGTATTTTTGTAGAGACAGGGTTTCACCATGTTGGCCAGGCTGGTCTTGAACTCCTGACCACAGGTGACCCGCCTGCCTCAGCCTCCCAAAGTGCTGGGATCACAATCATGAGCCACCGTGCCCCGCCCAAATGGTAGTTTTTATACCTTTACACATGTAAGCAAAGATACTTGCCCAGAAAAATTCGATTGTACCTGGAGCGTCACTCAGAAGGACAATATATATAGGGATTTGAACCCAGAAGACATGTCATCAAGTACGATATTTAGGGCATGTGGTTCTTCAAAGACTCTCTACATCTACTGTTTCTTAGCTTCTTGGATGCTCAGTGATGCTTGCAAAGAAAAATCTCCATCCCAGCACATTCTACAACATGTCAGCGTCACTGTGCCATTCATTACAGTTCTTTTCTTCTCGCATCTTTCTTTAAAAACAGCAGCTACAGAAGGAGTCGCATGCCTGTGTTTTATAACTCCTTTCTCTCTCCTGTTGACTTCCTGGCAAGTGTTTGATTTCATTATGACATGGAGAATCAACTTTGGGCCGCGGGAGGCTCATCGAGCTGCTGTAATGGCTGGGCGTTTATTCATCATCCCCTCCCATGCTGCTTCTAGCCTTGACAGTCAGCACAACAAATACTTAATGGCTCCCGACTTCCGTGAGGCTTCATATTTCACACTCGATGGGCTATGGTCTGTAGTGGGTCTGTTCCTCCCTGTGTTTGCAGAAAAACCGGCAGAGGCATAATCGTAAAGTTTTATTCTCCTGTCTTCTTCTGCTCATTTGTAAGGGCTTCCAGACACACATAACTTACTGATAGTCGGACTCTGAAAGAAGCTTCTCCAAGGATGCCTGCTGGGTGATGGAAATGAGGCTCTTCAGAATTGCTCAACTTTCTATCACTATGCAGTTATCGATGGTGGCATTCCTGAAGAATATATTGCTCTTGCAAGCACTTGCTGGGGCTTTCCAGGGTCTTTCGAATCCATTTTGATTTGTTTACAGTTGCTGGCCTGTTTGGTGACTTGGAGATGGTGATATGTTGGGATGATGCCCAGGATGTCCAGGAATAGACTTTGCGGGTAGAGAATGACAGGAGAATCTCTCTGCCTTCTTTTTCCCACTGTTTTCTTTTCTTTTCTTCTTCTTTTTTTTTTTTTTTTTTTTGAGAGGGAGTCTCGCTCTGTCGCCAGGATGGAGTGTAGTGGTGCAATCTCAGCTCACTGCAACCTACGACTCCTGGGTTCAAGCGATTCTCCTGCCTCAGCCTCCCGAGGAGCTGGGATTACAGGCATGCACCACCATGCCCGGCTAATTTTTTTGTATTTTTAGTAGAGACTAGGTTTCACCATGTTGGCCAGGATGGTCTCGATTTCCTGACCTTGTGATCCACCCGCCTCAGCCTCCCAAAGTGCTGGGATTACAGGCGTGAGCCACTGTGCCCGGCCCCTTTTTTTTTTCCCCAAGATGGAGTCTCACTGTTGCCCAGGCTGGAATGCAGTGGTGCAATCTCGGCTCACTGCAAGCTCCGCCTCCTGGGTTCAAGAGATTCTCCTGCCTCAGCCTCCTGAGTAGCTGGGATTACAGGCACCCGCCACCACACCTGGCTAATTTTTTTTTTATTTTTAGTAGAGACGGGGTTTCACCGTCTTGGCCAGGCTGGTCTTGAACTCCTTATCTCGTGATCCACCCGCCTTGGCCTCCCAAAGTGCTGGGATTACAAGCTTGAGCCACTGCACCTGGCAATTTTTTTTTTTTTTAAATACAGGCTCTTGCTCTGTCACCCAGGTTGGAGTGCAGTGGTGTGATCATAGTTCACTGCAGCCTCTACCTCCTGAGCCCAAGCAGTCCTCCCAGCTCAGCCTTCCGAGTAGCTGGGACCACAGCCACACCCAGCTAATTTTTGTATTTCTTGTAGAGAAGGAGGTCTCCTTATGTTGCCCAGGCTGGTCTTGAACCCCTGGGCTCAAACAATCCTCCCGCATTGGCCTCTCAAAGTGCTGGGATTACAGGCATGAGCTACTGCACACAGCCCACTCTTTTTTTCTTAACCTAACAGTTTGCCTAGGACAGAAGTCCATGTAGCAGAGGAACAAGCACACAGACTCTTGAGTCAGGCAGCCCTGAGTTCAAGTCCTGAATCCCCCAACTGCAGTCCCTGAGATCCTTACTTCCCATCCTTTACTCCCTCCTGGTCTATGAATGATAAATTCCCATCCTCCCAAACGTGATCTTGCAGTGACTCTTGCTAGAAAGTGCAGAGTGTGTGGTGAGCGAGGAAACGACGGCGCGCCTGGCCTGCAGTGGGCTCACGTGTTCTTGCTCATCTCTCCTGTGCTTCCTCCATCTGCCACGAGAAGACTATGCCCTGGGTGGCCGCTGGGCCCAGAATGATGAAGATGGGGCCAACCTGAACCCAACCTGCAACCTGGAGATGATCCCGGCCAACCCGGAGAGCTGTGCGTGAGAAAAATAAATGTTGACAGGGGTTGGCATAATTTTTTCTGTAAAGGGCCAGACAGTCTCAGCTGCAGTTTCTCAATTCTGCCCCTGTGGTACAAAGGCAGCCACAGACAACACAGAAACAGATGGGTATGGCTGGGCCCAATAAGACTTTATTCATGGACACTAAAATTGGAAATTCACATAATTCTCTTGTGTCGGGAAATATTCCTTTTTTGATTCTTTTTTTAACCATTTAAAAACATAAACTATTCTTAGCTCATGGGCTACAGAAAAGTAGGCAGTGGGCTAGATGTGGCAGTAGTTTGCCCAGACTTGCTGTAAGCCATTGAGATGTGTGAGGTTTCTCTGTTACAGAGCAAAACTGACTAATATACCCTTCTGTTTGTGCAATCTTGAACAAATTACTTATCCCCCCCTAAATCTCAAGTTTCCTTCTGTTTTTCTTTCTTTTTTTTTTTTTTTTGAGACTGATCTCACTCTGTTGTCCAGGCTGGAGTGCCACAGCACGATCTCAGCTCCCTGCAAATTCCACCTCCCGGATTCAAGCGATTCTCCTGCTTTGGACTCCCGAGTAGCTGGGATTACAGGCACGTGCCACTATGTGGGGCTAATTTTTGTATTTTTAGTAGAGATGGGGTTTCATCATGTTGGCCAGGCTGGTCTCGAACTCCTGACCTCAGGTGATCTGCCCGCCTTGGCCTCCCAAAGTGCTGGGATTATAAGTGTTAGCCACCATGTCTGGCTAAATCTCAACTTTCTTATCATAAGATGGAGGTAACAGTAGAATATTCTCATTGTAAATGAAATCATGTACAGGAATTGTTTTAATTATAGATGTTTAATATATTATGGTGTTATTCTACATACTGTCATTCTAGTAGAGGGAGGGGACAGGAGTTCTTCCCCCAAACCTAAGTCGACTGAGGCTGTGTTTCCCTCTCAGCCAAGTCAAACAAGTGGGGCTCCAGGAAGATAACTCTTCAAGACTGGGGGTGCCGGCAAGCAGAGGCCATGGGCAGCTCACTCCCTGCCAGATGCTTACAGAGCTGCCAAGTCTGCAGTCTCCTTTGTTCCTGCTCTCAGGACAGCCTGGGGTATGGAGAAGGTGTGCCCAGGAGCTTGGCCTGGGTTCCCAGGAGTATAGTGTATATGTGAGCGTAGAGACCGGGGTCTGCTTCCCATCTTGAAAGAATCCGACTGGAGCAGCTGGTGATGGCTGCGCAGGTAGGGACTGTGATGCAATTGCCCAGGAGAAAAGGATAGGGAGTCCCCCACCCATATGTTTACAGCACTTAGAAAACATTGCAGAGGACCTCATTGATACCTGTGGCTCCGTGTGAACGACCATGATACCAAAGGGAAGCAGGAGCCGTGACCCGCCCAGGGTGCCCTCAGTGAGGGACATCTCACCCAGAGAAGGTGGTAAGGGCATGGACCACTGGCAGAGCTTGAAGGGAAATATGGACATCCCTTTTCTTTTCTTTTCTTTACTTTTCTTTTCTTCTCTTTTTCTTTCTTTTTCTTTCTTTTTGACAGAGTTTTGCTCTTGTTACCCAGGCTGGAGGGCAATGGCGTGATCTCAGCTCACTGCCACCTCCGCCTCCTGGGTTCAAGCGATTCTCCTGCATCAGCCTCCTGAGTAGCTGGGATTACAGGCACCTGCCACCATGCCCAGCTAATTTTTAGGAAAGATGCGGTTTCACCATGCTGGCCAGGCTGGTCTCGAACTCCTGACCTCAGGTGATCCACCTGCCTCAGCCTCCTAAAGTGTTGGGATTACAGGCGTGAGCCACGCACCTGGCTGGACATCCCTTTCTGAAGGTATCTTCAGTAATGGAGAAGTCCAGTGTCAGTCTAAACATCACTCCAGGAAACATGGCGGGTGGGGAGTGATGGGCACACCATCTCCATGGAGACCACCCGGGGGCAGGTGGTACCAGAGCCTCAGAGAGAGATGGAGAGCACCTCCATTCTTATCTCAGAGCCACAGCTGGGCTGCTGCAGGGGGAATGGGACCTCAGAGCTTTGAATTAGACATGGGGTTGTGGTTTAAAACTGGAAAGCTTTCTAATAACTGAAAATGATCAGAAAAAAATATAGGATCTGCTTAAAATGTCATTTGGAGATAGAAAGTGGAATTTGACAGAGTGTGGCTGAAGGCATTGATTAGAGAAAATATAAAACCATTTTATGTTTATATCCCCTGAGTCTGAGATTGCTCAATAAACCAGTTAAACATTTGATTACAATCCTCATGTTTTCCCTTCACCCCATCTCCCTAGCTCCCCTGCCAGTGGGAAAATGTCACAAGCTGGTTTCACACTTTTGCTTAAGAAAGGAAGGAAAAGGAAAGAGGGGAGAGAAAGAAAGAAAAGCTCAGTGTCATGGCTATTTTCAAGGACACACTTAAGTCCAGCATGCACTATTTATTTCTGGAACTCCCCTGAGTTAGATGTAACCACAGTTATCTTCCTTCTAGGGTGATTTTACTCAAGGAAAAAATGTTATCCCTAGTGTTCACTTGCTTCAGTCCTTTCAGGCAAAGTCAGAAAGATAGAACCTGCTCCATTTGCAGAACAGCAAGGAAGGAAGGAGAGAGAAAGAAAGAAAGAGAGAGAGAGAAAGAAAGGAATGAAGGAAGGAAGGAAAGAAGAAGGAAGGAAGGAAGGAAAGAAGAAGGAAGGAAGGAAGGAAAGAAGAAGGAAGGAAGGAAGGAAAGAAGAAGGAAGGAAGGAAGGAAAGAAGGAAGGAGAAAAGAAAAAAGAAGGAGAAGGGAAAGAAAGGGGAGAGAAGGGGAAGGGAAGATAGAACCACTCCATCAAGGTGGATCTCAAGAGCCATCTGAAGAAAGCCTAACAAGAAGAGGACCCAGAATCTTTTTTTTTTTCTATTCTGTGAGAAGTGCTTTCTCCAGGTTGCAGTCAGTTATCTTGATCTTGTCTTCATCTGCCCAAGTAGTTTGGGTGGCCTCCAGGTCCCAGGAGCTCAGACCATCCCTGAGGCTGGCCGTTGCTGTCACCCACCAAATTGCTCTTGAAATCTCCTTTATCCGGTTTTGCAGGGGCAGATACGAAAAAGAACAGGGAAGGTTTGGCCTCCGGGCCCTCCACTTCTGTTTTTAAAGTACTCAAAGAACAAGGCGCTTCTGAAGCCAGAATGATAAAGCTGGCTTCACAGATGTCACTGGTGATGGGCGGATGAAAACACAAATGCAGGCCTTGGCTTTGAGAAAGCGAGGAATGCCTGAGAAGGGAATGGTGGATAAAGCGCACATGGAGGCCGGGCGCGGTGGCTCACGCCTGTAATCCCAGCACTTTGGGAGGCCCAGGCGGGCGGATCATAAGGTCAGGCGTTCCAGACTAGCCTGGCCAACATGGTGAAACCCCATATCTACTAAAAACACAAAAATTAGCCGGGTGCGGTGGTGCGTGCTTATAATCCCAGCTACTCAGGAGGCTGAGGCAGGAGAATCACTTGAACCTGGGAAGCTCACAATTGCAGTGAGCTGAGGTCATACCATTGCACTCCAGCCCGGGTGACAGAGCAAGACTCCATCTCAAAAAAAAAAAAAAAAAAATGGCATACATGGGACCCCCACAGCTATCTGCCCAGCCCTTAGCACCCTCAGCTTTCGGGAGGTGGGAGGAGTGGGGAAAGAGAGTGGCAGACAGGCTCCTCTTCATGTCTGCATCTCCCACCTGCTTTCTGTGAGCCACGTTGGTCATCCCCGCACCAGGTTTGCATAGTAGCCATGACAGCTTGTACTGGAGCCGCATGGTGGGTTGGAAAGGCGTTTATCAATCCAAAACACTCCAGTCATTGGCATATTTTATGGGATTCCAAAACCATGGAGAGTGGAGGAACGTTCTTCCCCAAAGCTTCCCTCAGGAGACAGAGAGGAAAAAAAAAAAAAAAAAAAAGAGGAATGAGAGAGACGAAAAGGCTTTTTTACTCCCCAAATTGGAACCACACTTCAGATGAAAATAATGTGTCTTGAAGGCAGTGATAAGATAGAAGAGAAAATTGCTCTAGAAATGTTCATGACGGTGTCTCCCTCTTATCTCTTTGTGCCCCTGTCAGTTGGAGACACAGTGTTTTCTGCTGATTGAGAAAACCCAGAATATGGAACAAAAGCTGTCTTTAAAGCGTGGTCTCTGAGAACATTAGCCCGTTTTTTTAACGTCTTTAATTTCACGGCTTCAACATGTACGGTTGTTTGACAATTTCATGAGGCAGCTGTGGGGAGAAAACAAAACGTGGCTGCCAATTAGCGCTGTCTCACTTGTCTGTCCAACTGCTCCGTCTTTTCTGAAGCCTTACATGCATTTTTCCAAGCCACTTGGCTTCTTCGGTGCTGGATATTTAATTTGCCTGGAACATTCTCACAGATCAGCATTTCATGAGAGCCTCGTGGAAGGCCTGTCTGACGGTGTGGTGCTTGGCTGGAGGGCAGCACCTGTACCTTCCTGGTCAGTTCTCATCAGAGAAAAGGTGTCACTTGCTGTCTTTCATATGTTGAAGTCCTAACCCTCAGGACCTCAGAACTTGCCCTTATTTGGAAATAGGGTCTTTGCAGAAGTAATCAAGTTAAGATGAGGTCATCAAGATGAGCTCTAATCCAAAGACCAGTTTCCTTATAAAAAGTAAAATTAGGCCGGGCGTGGTGGCTCACGCCTGTAATCCCAGCACTTTGGGAGGCCGAGGTGGGCGGATCACAAGGTCAGGAGATCGAGACCATCCTGGCTAACATGGTGAAACCCTGTCTCTACTAAAAATACAAAAAATTAGCCGGGCGTGGTGGCGGGTACCTGTAGTCCCAGCTACACGGGAGGCTGAGGCAGGAGAATGGCGGCGTGAACCCGGGAGGCGGAGCTTGCAGTGAGCCGAGATCGCACCACTGCACTCCAGCCTGGGCGACAGAGCGAGACTCTGTCTAAAAAAAAAAAAAAAAAAAAAAGTAAAATTTGGGCCAGGCACTGTACCTCACACTGTAATCCCAGCACTTTGGGAGGCCGAGACGGGTGGATTACTTGAGGTCAGGGGTTCAAGACCAGCCTGGCCAACATGGTGAAACCCTGTCTCTACTAAAAATACAAAAATTAGCTGGGTGTGGTGGCAGCCTCCTGTAATTCCATCTACTTGGGAGGCTGAGGCAAGAGACTCGCTTGAACCTGGGAGGCGAAGGTTGCAGTGAGCCAAGATCATGCCACTGCACTCCAGCCTGGGGGACAGAGGGAGACTCTGTCTCAAAAAAAAAAAAAAAAGTAAAATTTTGACACAGTTATACACATAAAGGGAAGCTGATGTGCAGAGACACAGGGAGAAGATGCCATCTATAAGCCAAAGAGAGAGTCGGGGAGCAGCTGCCTCCCTCAGAAACCGTGGAAGGAACCAACCCTGCTGACACCTTGATCTTGGACTTCTGGCCTCCAGAGTGGTGACAGAAGAAATTTCTGTTGTGTAAGCTACTCAGTTATTGTTACTTTGTTATGGCAGCCACAGGAAACCAAACAGTTATTGAAAAAGCCCCTGTGGTCTGGAGAGTGCAGAAGGCTGCCTCAGTTTCCCCAGTGTGGCTGAGCATGACCTTGGTTTAAGAGAGATGAGGTTGAAACAGGGTGAGCTTTACTCGGCCAAGATTTCTCATGCTTCTTCTAGCATCCACCCCACCCACCTGACTCATACCTGTTGGGATGCAGCAGGCCGGGAGACTGGGGAGGGGACAGCAGCCTTCCCTCTGGTACTGCTCATTCAGCACCAGATCCTCCAGACTGTGGGGCCCTGCTCTGGCTATCCCCAATGCCCTGGATGAATCCAACATCTTCCCCTGGCCAGCACATCCCTGACTGCCTGGCTGTTGTCTTCCCAGGGGCTCTGGAGCTAATCTGGTAAACATTTCCTTTACATATTTAAGGCTAACCACTTTACCCAAGACAGCCTGGCTTTCTAGAACATTCTTTCACACTCAGAATAATTGTCTGGACACTGGTCCCTCAGAGGCCAGTGTGAGAGCATCTTCTCCCGTATCCACTGCCCAAGAGGAGGTGCCACTCAGCTGAGGGGCTTGAGTGGTCTGTCTTTTAGGGCTGATTTGGGCTGAACAGTATCCTCCAAAAGATATGTTCAAGTCCTAATCGCTGGTACCTGTAAATGTGACTTACTTGGTAAAAGGGTCTTTGCAGCTGTAATGAAGATGATGTAGGCTGGGCACAGTGGCTCACGCCTGTAATCCCAGCACTTTGGGAGGCCAAGGTGGTCAGATCACTTGAGGTCAGGAGTTCCAGACTAGCCTGGCCACATGGTAAAACCCCATCTCTACCAAAAATATAAAAAATTAGCTGGATGTGGTGGCGCAAGCCTGTAATCCCAGCTACTCAGGAGGCTGAAGCAGGAGAATCGCTTGAACCTGGGAGGCGGAGGTTGCAGTGAGCTGAGATCATACCACTACACTCCAGCCTGGGCAACAGAGTGAGACTTTGTTTCAAAAAAAAAAAAAAAGAAAGAAAGAAAGAAAGAAAAAGATGATGTAAAAGGCAAATACATCTTGGGACCCTGAAATCACTAAGCCAAAGGCTGGGAACTGCAAAGATTTAAAAAAAAAAAAAAAAAAAAAAAAGCTACACACCTCTCTCACAATTTTCCCACACGAAAATTCGGTAGACAAAGGACAAACAGAACTCAAAGTCACCCTCTGCTCACCTGAGGCAAACGCATATCTGCTTCCTTGCCGCCATCGTTTCACTGAGCCAGGCTGGACGCTGGTATAAGTGACCATTCCGTTACACTACTCTCACAGGTAAATGGTGTATGCAGTAATCAGGTGGCTAATCAGAGGCTAAAAGAATGCAACTGTTTCTCTCTTATCTGCCTATAATCAGGAAGCCCCTTGCTTCAAGTTGTCCCACCTTTCCAGATCGAATCAACATACATCTTACACATATTGATTGATGTCTCATGTCTTCCTAAAATGTGTAAAACCAAGCTGTGCCCCAGCCACCTTGGGCACATGCTGTCAGGACCCCCTGAGGCTGTGTCACGGGTGCGTCCTTAACCTTGGCAAAATAAACTTTCCAAATTGATTGAGATGTCTCTCAGGTACTTCTGGGTTCACAACGAGGTCATGCTAAAGGTGGGCCCTAAATCTAACAAATAGTGTTTGGTTTTTTTGTTTTGTTTTTTTGAGACGGAGTCTCTGTTGCCCAGGCTGGAGTGCAGTGACGCGATCTCAGCTCACTGCAAACTCCACCTCCCAGGTTCAAGCGATTCTCCTGCCTCAGCCTCCTGAGTAGCTGGGATTACAGGCGTGCACCACCACGTCCAGCTAATTTTTGTATTTTTAGTAGAGACGGGGTTTCACCATGTTGGCCAGCCTTGTCTTGAACTCCTGACCTCAAGGGCTCTGCCTGCCTCGGTCTCCCAAAGTGCTGGGATTACAGGTGTGAGCCATCATGCCCGCCGGACCTAAAAGATGCTTTAGTTAATCTGTTTCGGATTGGGAGGGCCTGGAAGAAAAAGAGCTAGCTATGTTAATAGAGATTCTTTACAGATGCAAATTTTCCCCCACAAAGGACAGCTTTGCAGGGCCATTTCAAGATATGGCAAAGAAACATGTTTTGGGGTAAAGTATTTTGATTTTCTTCCTTGTCTCGTAATGTTATGCCAGAGTCAGGTTGGAAAGTAAATCACAATATATAGGGTTAAATAAAACCCATCTGATGAGAATTTTTGATTTATAGGTCATGACTCCCAGACCCCTTAGGAATTTGGGCAAGATACAAAAATCAGTTTAGTTCTCACCAGAGAACTTGAATCCCAGCAGGAGTCTGGGAGCCACTAGATGGCAGTCAAGACTGAGGCTGGACCAAGTCTAAACCAGCGGCAATGGCCACATGCCCATGGTGGGCAGAGGCAGGGCGGCCCCCTTGGGAGGGGAAAGGGAGGACGCCGCAGCCAGCTGTGTCTGTGAGGGACAAGGCAGGGGCAAAAGTCACTATTCAGGGAGGATGGAGGTTTGAAAGCCCAGGAGCTTTCACGTGAAGAAGAAACCAAGTTCAGAAATGTTCAGAGGCTTACCTGATGTCACAAATCAGTGTCTTGGACACAGAGCCCAAAACTGGCCCTGGGTCTGGTTTGCCCACCATGTACAAGAGAAATTCATCTTAGCTGGCTCTGACTTAGAAAGAGGAAGAAGGTGCCCTTGGGGAGGCCACCTGGGCTCTCCATTTTGAAGCAGGCAGCTGTCCAGAACTGCAGCTCTTCCCCACAGGGGCTACCTGGCCAGAGGCTGCTGGGTCAGGCAGTGCTCACCTGTCAGGTCAAGGAGGCCCAGGGAGGTGTGTGGGGAGCCACAGCAGCAGGTTGCAGTGGGTCCCTGGGGTGGGTGGGATGCTTATGGGTCAGATTAGGGACCTGTGTGTCCCTTCCACGGGCAGCTTTCTGCACAGCCTTCCCTCTCCATAAGTGCAGAAAGAGATCGAGGCCTCCTGGTCACTTGGAGCAGTGTTCTTTATTCAGACAGGATCCTTCTGGGTTAGTTCATCCAGATTTTTGGAAACTTTGGGAGAAGCATCCATTGTCATTTATGTGCAAGTCTGGCCACATCTAGTTTCCCTGAGCCAAAATTGCAGCCACCTTGTAAGATGCTTCACAGGCTCTTGGTACCTGATGTTGACAGCGATAAAAAGGCAAAGGGGAAGGTTAGTGAAGACTTTTTAGTTCTTAAAAAAAAACCCATAATGATGAGTAACATTTATCAATCGCAAATGATGGGCCAAGCATTTTGCGTGCATTGCCCAATTTAGTTCTCACAACCACCCTTGAGATAACAAACAAAATGAAGAAGAAACCAAGTTCAGAAAGGCTCAGAAACTTGCATGATGTCACGAATCAGAGCCTTGGAGTCAGGGCTGAAGCAGGACCTGGGCCTGGTTAGCCCACCCTGTACAAGAAATGCCCTCCAGCTGTGCAAAAGCCAAACCTTAGGACAAGAGAAGGGGAGCTAAAATTGTCGTGAGAAAGAGTTTAGAGGAAGCAATGAAACTTTAGGGATACAAAAATTGCACAAGCTCCCATTTCACTTTTCCCCAAATATTAATATCTTTCGGAACCTTAGGAAAGATTATGGGCTGGGCGCAATGGCTTACACCTGTAATCCCAGCACTTCAGGACGTCGAGGCAGGCAAATCACTTGAGGTCGGAAGTTCAATACCAGCCTGGCCAACATGGCAAAACCACATCTCTACTAAAAATACAAACATGAGCCAGGCGTGCTGGCAGGTACCTGTAATCTCAGCTACTCTGGAGGCTGAGGCAGAAGAATCGCTTGAGCCCGGGAGGCAGAGGTTGCAGTGAGCTGAGATTGTGCCATTGCACTCCAGCCTGGGCGACAAGAGCGAGACTCCATCTTGGAAAAAAAAAAAAAAAAGATTATGGGCTGGGCGTGGTGGCTCACGCCTATAATCTCAGCACTTTGGGAGGCTGAGGAGGGCAGATTGCTTGAGCCCAGGAGTTTGTGACCAACCTGTGCAACATGGCGAGACCCCATCTCTACAAAAAATATAAAAATTAGCTGGGTGTGGTGACGCGTGCCTGTGGTCCCAGCTACATGGGAGGCTGAAGCAGGAAGATTGCTTGAGCCTGGGAGGCCACAGTGAACTGTGATCACACCCCTGCACTCCAGCCTGGGGGACAGAGCAAGACCTTGTCTCAAAAAAATAAATAAATAAATAAAAGAGAGAGAGAGAGAGAGGTTATGTGAAAAAAGAGCTCCATGGCTAAAATGGGTTGGGAAGCTGTAGTTTAAGTAAAGTGCAGCGGGGTTCTTTGCGGCTGGGCTTGCTTGCCTACGTCTAGGACAGAGTGACCCCGGCTCACAGCCAGCACAGAGAGGATCCCCATCCTGCCACTTCAAGGAACTGATGGTGTTGGAAATGGATTCTTCTTAGAACCTCCTGATAAGAACCCAGCCTGGCTGACACTTTGACTTTGACCTTATAAAACCTGGATCAGAGAAACTAGCCAAGCCAACCTGGACTTCCGACCTGTGAACTAATTAATACATTTGTGTTGTTTTAAGCTGCTGAAGTTGTGGCCAATTTGTTACAGTAGCAACAGGAAATTACTATACTCACATATCATGACTTTTCTCCAATCCCATGTCCTAGACAAAGCTGTCTGATCGCTGGCCCTCCCCTCAGGGCCTGTCACTCTCTGCCTTAGTGCCAAGGTGAGGCCTGAGGGTCAAAATTCAGAGGTCCTTTTGAAGTTCTCTGTCCTCAGGGGTCTTTGAAACCTGGAGCCAGAGGAAGACAGGCAGAGAATAATTGCTTGGCCAAACGAAGTTTATTTTGAATTCCAACATAGAGATTCAAAATCTAGAAGCCAGCCAGGCATGGTGGCTCACACCTGTAATCCCAGCAGTTTGGAAGGCCAAGGCAGGAGAATCACTTGAGACCAAAAGTACAACGTCAGCCTGGGCAACACAGCGAGACCCCATCTCTACTAAAAATATAAATAAAAAAATTAGCTGGCTGTGGTGTCAGTGCCTGTAGTCCCAGCTACTCAGGAGGCTGAGACAGGAATACTGCTTGAGCCCAGGAGATCGACGCTGCAATGAGCCATGTTTGAATCACTGCACTCCAGCCTGGATGACACGGCAAGACCCTGTTTCTTTTTTTTTTCTTTTTTTTTTTTTTGAGACAGAGTCTCGCTCTGTTGCCCAGGCTGGAGTGCAGTGGCACGATCTTGGCTCACTGCAGCCTCCACCTCTGGGGTTCAGGTGATTCTTGTGCCTCAGCCTCCTGAGTAGCTGGGATTACAGGCTCATGCCACCACACCTGGCGAATTTTTGTATTTTCTGTATTTTTAGTAGAGACACGGTTTCACCTTGTTGGTCAGACTGGTCTTGAACTGCTGACCTTAAGTGATCTGCCCGCCTCAGCCTCCCAAAGTGCTGGGATTACAGGTGTGAGCCACTGCACCCGGTTTTTTTTTTTTTCAAGACGGAGTTTCATTCTGTCCCTTAGGCTGGAATGCAGTGGCATGATCTCAGCTCACTGCAACCTCTACCTCCTGGGTTCAGGCGATTCTTTTTTTTTTTTTTTTTTTTTTGAGACGGAGTCTGGCTCTGTCGCCCAGGCTGGAGTGCAGTGGCGCAATCTCGGCTCACTGCAAGCTCTGCCTCCCGGGTTCACGCCATTCTCCTGCCTCAGCCTCCCGAGTAGCTGGGACTACAGGCGCCCGCCACCACGCCCGGCTAATTTTTTGTATTTTTTAGTACAGACAGGGTTTCACCATGTTAGCTAGGATGGTCTCGATCTCCTGACCTCGTGATCCGCCCGCCTCGGCCTCCCAAAGTGCTGGGATTACAGGCGTGAGCCACCTCGCCCGGCCTGAGACTCCATCTCAACAACAACAACAACAACAAAAGATATGTACATGTCAATGTATGTACATTATGCTTCAAAAGTAAATTAGAAAAAAATAATTATTTAGAAAGAAATAATTGGGTATCGTGAACAATCATTTGCTGTTTAGAGGAAAGGTGTTCCAGCTTTACAGATAAAGCACAATTTCTCCCCAGCATCCAAGTGACACACACTTCAACAGGCAGGGTTGGCCTTGGGGTTCAATGGCAATTGACAGATACTGCTCTATTGCAGCTGTGCGCCATCCCTGGTGGATCCTGATCATATAGGAAGTTCATCAATGTGTCACCAACTGAGAAAGGATGGGAAAGACTGGGATTTGATGCAGGTCTGACCGAAGCAAGATGGCTGGAGCCGAGGACCTTTTGAGCCTGTAATCGCAGCCACTCCAGAGGCTCAGGCAGGAGTCTGGAAGCTCGAAGCCACAAGGAGCTATGTATGTATGTATGTATGTATGTATGTATGTATGTATGTATGTATGTATATATGTGTTTGTTTATTTATTTATTTATTTTGAGGTGGAGTCTCACTCTGTCGCCCAGGCTGGAGTGCAGTCGTGTGATCTCAGCTCACTGCAACCTCCCCCTTCCAGGTTCAAGCCATTCTCCTGCCTCAGCTTCCCCAGTAGCTGGGATTACAGGTGTGCAGCACCCTACCCAGCTAATTTTTTGTATTTTTAGTAGAGACGGGTTTTACCATGTTGGCCAGGCTGGTCTTGAACTCCTGACCTCAAATGATCCACCCGCCTCAGCCTCCCAAAGTGCTGGGATTAGGGGCGTGAGCCATCACACCCAGCCCTCAGTGAGCTATGATCCCACCACTGCTCTCCAGCCTGGGCAACAGAGCAAGATCTTGTCTCAAAAACTAAATAAACAGGCCAGACATGGTGGCTCATGCCTGTAATCCAGCACTTTGGGAGGCTGAGGCGGGCAGATCACCTGAGGTCGGGAGTTCGAGACCAGCCTGAACAACATGGAGAAACCTCGTCTCTACTAAAAATACAAAATTAGCCGGGCGTGGTGGCGCAGGCCTGTAATCCCAGCTACTCAGGAGGCTGAGGCAGGAGAATCACTTGAACCCGAGAGGCGGAGGTTGCAGTGAGCCGAGATGGTGCCACTGCACTCCAGCCTGGGCAACAAAGGCAAAATTCCATCTCAATAAATAAATAAATAAATAAAATAAAGTAAAAAAAATGAAACTGTCCCCACTTAAAATTTTTAAAAGAGCATAGATAGCAGTAAAATGTAGTAAAATAATTAGTAGTGATGTTTTGAGCATCTACTATCTTTTTATGTAATTGATGTAACTCTAAGTTTACATAATTTATTTTTAAATAATGGTCCCATGGAACAATTGGTTTGCCAACGTCCTGAAACTTGAACAGCCTTGGGAGCCTGTCCGAGCTGGCGCCAGAACCTCACTGTTTAGACCAAATCTGAGAAAAACAAAGGCCAGAGCCACCCTGAGCAGGGGGTTTGGGCAGGAGCCAAGTCATTGAGATGTCAAGGGGGAAGAATGGGATTTTCCTAAGTAATGCTCTTCACTGAGACAGCACAGCTCCTGGGAGTGTCATGAACAAAACAGGCTCTTAGCAAGTGCTGGCCCACGGGACAGGCGCTAGCCCTTCCCTCGGTTCCATGCCCGCTGGTTCTTTATGTATGATCTCAATATCTTGTATCTTTATGCCCTGATTCACAGCTTCCGTCGTTTTTCGTGTCTTTCTTGTTAGTTTCTATTTGGTTTCCATGTCCTCTGCATGGACTTCGGTGTCTAAATGTTAGTGTGAAATTTTAAGGTCCCAGATGTCCCATTCTGTCTGTGAGTGGTTCTCAACCTTGGCTGCACCTTGAGATCACCTGGGAGGCTCTTAAAAATCCTGAAGCCTGGGCCAGGCACAGTGGCTCACGCCTGTAATCCCAGCACTTTGGGAGGCCGAGGTGGGCAGATCACTTGAGGTCAGCAGTTCGACACCAGCCTGGCCAACATGGAGAAACCCCATCACTACTAAAAATACAAAAATTAGCCGGGCATGGTGGTGGGTGCCTGTAATCCCAGCTACTCGGGAGGCTGAGGCAGGAGAATTGCTTGAAGCTGGGAGGCAGAGATTGCACTGAGCTGAGACTACGCTACTGGACTCCAGCCTGGTCAACAAGAGCGAAACTCCGTCTCAAAAAAAAAAAAATCCTAAGGCCTGGGCCCCATCCCTACCCCTAGATTCAGAATTAATTGCTTTTAGGTGCAGCCATCACAGGGCTGTTGATAAGCTCCCCAGGTGAATCTAATGTGGAGCTCGGCTTGAGGTGTGATTCACATTCGTTAATGAATCCAAACATTCATCCATCATCAAACGCTGAGTGGGCTTCACTCACTCATGAAACACTGACGAGGTTCCTCCCATGTGCCAAGTCCGTGATACGACCCAGGCATTGGAGAAATGGAGTGAAGAACACTGTCCCAGCCCTTGATGAGCTCACAGTGAAAGTGTAATGGGGAAGGCAAACAGGCCACCAAATAGAAGTCTTTTTTTCTTTTTTTTTGAGATGGAGTCTTGCTCTGTCGCCCAGGCTGGAGTGCAGTGGTGCTATCTTGGCTCACTGCAACCTCCACCTCCCGGATTCAAGTGATTCTCCTGCCTCAGTCTCCCCAGTAGCTGGGATTACAGGTGTGCGCCACCAAACCCGGCTAATTTTTGTATTTTTAGTAGAGACAGGGTTTCACCATGTTGGCCAGGCTAGTCTCGAACTCCTGACTTCAAGTTATCCGCCCACCTCGGCCTCCCAAAGTGTTGAGATTACAGGCGTGAGTCACCGTGCCCAGCCAATAACAGTCTTGGTGGTTCCCTTTCCCACATCCATTGCAAAAAGTACCCCCATGTTTCTCCACCCGTGTGTGCATCCCTTTGTCCTGCGTGAGCAGGAGAGCTGAACCTCACAGTAGCTTGGCTGCCACCCAAACCCTGCCTTGGGGCCGTTTGTTTCTTTTAGACATGGTCTGAAAAATAAAAATAAGGTCCAAAATCCTCAGCAAAGTCCATTCAGATCCCCACGGCAACTGAAGTCCTTTCTCTGACAAATACAGATTATGGACCAAGCGAAGGAAGGGGAGAGAATGGGATGATGAGAACAGGTGCCGTGTGACCAATTCGGGTCTAAACTTCACAGTCGGAGGCTAAGGGGCAGGCTGTGAGAGACGGGCAGCAAAAGAGGAAGAAAGAATTGGACCATCAGTGGCCACACTGGCTCCCGCCCATTATCCCAACATTTTGGGACACGAACAAGCGGGAGAATCGCTTGAAGTCAAGAGTTTGGGACCAGTCTGGGCAACATAGTGAGATCCTGTCTCTAGAAAATATTTTAAAATTAGCCAGGTGCTGTGGTGCACACCTGTGGTCCTAGCTACTCCGGAGGCTGAGGCGGGAGGATCAGTTGAGCCCAGGAGGTCAAGATTCGAGTGATCCATGATCACGACACTGCACTCCAGCCTGGGTGACAGAGTGAGAACCTGTCTCTAAAAAAATAATAATAATTTGACTATAAAGGGCTATTTTGTGTGAAAGCCTGGCTTGATAGATGCCATTAGTATGACTTTTTTTTTTAAATTCAGGCAAAACTTACATAACATAAAATTAGCCCTCTTGGGCCAGGCACGGTGGCTCACACCTGTAATCCCAGCACTTTGGGAGGCTAAGGTAGGAGGATTGATGATTGAGCCCAGGAGCTCGAGGCTGCAGTGAGCTGAGATTGCACCTCTGCACTCCAGCCTGAGTGACAGAGTAAGACTCTGTCTCTGTATAAAAAACATTAACCATCTTTTTCTCTTTTTTGGGGGGGTGAGGGGGACGGAGTCTCACCCTATTGCCAGGCCGGAGTGCAGTGGCATGATCTTGGCTCACCATAACCTCCAACTCCCTGGTTCAAGCCATTCTCCTGCCTCAGCCTCCTGAGTAGCCGGAATTACAGGCACGCGCCACCACACCCGGCTAATTTTTGTATTTTAGTAGAGACGGGGTTTCACCATGTTGGCCAGGCTCTTCTTGATCTCCTGACCTCGTGATCTGCCCACCTCAGCCTCTCAAAGTGCTGGGATTACAGGTGTGAGCCACTGCACCCAGCCTCTCCTTTTTATAGCTGAATAAGCTTCTGTTTTGTGTCTATACTGCATTTTATCTTTTTATTCATTGATGGACATTTGGGTTGTTTCCGCCTTTTGGTTATTACATATATATTACATGTATTTGTTTCTTTTTTTTTTCTGAGACATAGTCTCACTCTGTCGCCCAGGCCTGAGTGCAGTGGCTCAATCTCGGCTCACTGGAACCTCTGCCTCTCTGGTTCAAGTGATTCTCCTGCCTCAGCCTCCTGACTAGCTGGGACAACAGGCACACACCACCATGCCCAGCTAATTTTTGTAATTTAGTAGAGACAGGGTTTCACCATGTTGCCCAGGCTGGTCTTGAACTCTTGGCCTCATGTGATCCACCCGCCTTGGCTTCCCAAAGTCCTGGGATTACAGGTGTGAGCCACTGTGCCCAGCTGTTTCTATTGTTTTTAATTCCTTTTTTTTTCTTTTGAGATGGAATCTCACTGTGTCACCCAGGCTGGAGCGCAGTGGTGCGATCTCGGCTCACTGCCACCTCCATCTCCAGAGTTCAAGCAATTCTCCTGCCTCAGCCTCCCAAATAGCTAAAACTACAGGCACACGCCACCACGCCCAGCTAATTTTTGTGTTTGTAGTAGAGATGGCGTTTAGTCATGTTGGCCAGGCTGGTCTCGAACTTCTGGCCTCGCTGGTCTCGAACTTCTGGCCTCAGCAATCCTACCGCCTTGGCCTCCCAAAGTGCTGAGATTGCAGGTGTGAGCCACCATGCCTGGCCTATTGTTTTCAATTCTTTTGGACAGATTCCTAGGAAGTATGAGTACTTATACGGCAAGTCTAAGCACGGGAAACACACACACATTCACGCAGGCACTTGCACACATAGGTAACACACACACCTGAGATTCCCACAGACGGGGGTTTAGGAAACTGTCACTGCTCCTACACCATTGTGAACACACAGCAGGCTCAGAGGCTGGAGTGAAACAAGCCCTTCGAGCTCCCAACACACAGGCTTTTTGTAGTAAAAGCAGAAGTTTCCCCCAGAATGGTCAAATAAATGACAGTACATTCCGAAGACAGAATACAAAGCAGCCATTAAGAGTATTTCCCAAGACAAATGACCTTGGGCCATGAGAAAAGGCAGAACGCAGAAGTGTACTGTGCGGCACCATCACTATTTTGTTAAAAAATCCATATGCATAGATGAAGAACTGGCAGGGAATGCATGATAGAACTGTGGGTTTTATTTTCCTTCCTTGTAATTTTGTGTTTTACCAGTTTTCCACATTGAAAATGTTGGGAGGATTCAATAAGTTAATGTGTCTGAAAGATTTAGAACAGGGCTTGCCACATGGGACATGCTATACAGACGTTGGCTCTCACTATAATGATTTCTGTTTATCATTGGAAAAATTTTAAAGACAAATGATCTTCTTTCTTTCTGTCCTTCCTCTGCCTCTGAGAGGACAAAGAGAGTTTGACAGGAGCTGGTTCCACAAATTGTAGGGTCACACTTTCTGTCCCTGGTGCCTGCTCTGGATGGGGTGAGAACTGCCCCCCCGCCCCCCCAACCGCCCACCACCACACAAGATCCTCACCCAATCTTTTTATTTTTATTTTTAAAAATTTATTTATTTTAAACATGGAGTCTTGCTCTGTCGCCCAGGCTGGAGTCCAGTGGCATGATCTTGGCTCACTGCAACCTCTGCCTCCTGGGTTCAAGCGATTCTCCTGCCTCAGCCTCCCAAGTAGCTGAGATTATAGACATGGGCCACCACACCCAGCTAATTTTTGTATTTTTAGTAGAGACAGAGTTTTGCCATGTTGGCCAGGCTGGTCTCAAACTCCTAACCTCAGGTGATCTGCCCATCTCGGCCTCCAAGAGTGCTGGGATTACAGGCGTGAGCCACCGCGCCCACCATTTTTTTTTTTTTTTTTTTTTTTTTTTGAGATGGAGTCTCGCTCTGTCGCCCAGGCTGGAGTGCATTGGCGCGATCTCGGCTCACTGCAAGCTCCATCTCCCGGGTTCACACCATTCTCCTGCCTCAGCCTCCCGAGTAGCTGGGACTACAGGCGCCTGCCACCACGCCCGGCTAATTTTTTGTATTTGTAGTAGAGATGGGGTTTCACCGTGTTGGCCAGGATGGTCTCTATCTCCTCACCTCGTGATCCGCCCGCCTCAGCCTGCCAAAGTGCTGGGATTACAGGAGTGAGCCACCGCACCTGGCCCCCAGCTTTTATTTTGATTTTTGAGACAGGGTCTTGCGCTATCACCCAAGCTGGAGTGCAGTGGCACAACCCTGGCTCCTTGCAGCCTCGACCTCCCGCCTCTGCCTCCTGAGTAGCTGGGACTACAGGTACATGCCACCAAGTCCAGCTATTTTTTTTTTTTTTTGGTAGAGATGGGGTCTCATTATGTTGCCCAGGCTGGTCTCAAACTCCTGGGTTTAAGTAATCCTCCTGCTTCAGGCTCCCAAAGTGCTGGGATTACAGGCGTGAGCCACCATGCCCAGCTTATCCCCACCCAATCTAAACAATCTGTAAAGAGGGCTCTGAAGTGTTCCCAGAGAATTGCTGCTGCAACAGGTATAGCCGGATCCAGAGTGAGCCCTGAGGATGGCATTAGTCCCAGGGAGGTATTGTGTTTCCAGGTATCCAAGGGCTCAGCTCGGTGAAAAGCATCCAAGTGCAGGTTTCTTCCCTCAACACCCGGGACTCCGGGGGGAGGAAGATCAGTAGGGACAGAAGCGGGTGAACATCTGCCCCCGCCTCCCATCCCGCCTTTCAGGTGTTGGGAAGGCACCTGGACCCCAGGTGTCCCAGACACTGTGCCTGCGCGGCTTCGCCACGAGGGGGCGCTCCCGGCACCGCGAGGAGCTCCTTCGTGGGCCTGAAAAAGAAGGAAAATGATGTTCTCATAGCGAGGGCAGGGAGGCATCCCTGACACCGGGTAGTGCCAACAGGGCTGAAGACAAGGATGAGGAGCGCGCTTGGAACAATTTTCCTGTGCCTGGGCTCGCAATAGGCCTTGGGGGAGCTGGGGAGGCCTGGCGCCTTCTGCAGACAACATTTGCTCTCCCTGCTGGAGCCCCGGCTTGGGCTGCTGAGGGCGCGGGAAGGCAGGACGCAGAGACCTGGGGTGTCCCTGCCAGCTCCCCGGCCCGGCTTTCCGGGGGCTCCCTGAAGGCAGCCAGCGAGGGGCGGGCAGGCTGCGCTTGTAGGGTTCACAGGAAAGCGTGGGGCCCGGGGTACCCGCTGGGAATGGAGGCCTGTGGGCTGGGGCTCCGGGGGCTTCCTGCGGGAGACCAAAGAGTGTGACGGGAGGGCTCGGGCCTGAGTGTGAGTGTGCACCAGCCCGTGTGACTGCGTGTGCGGCCGGGAACGCGGTGTGTTCTGAGCAGCCACGGAAGGCCTTGATCGTGCGGGGGAAATGTTTCTGCCCTGGGCTTTCTGAGGCAAAACAATCTCATCCCTGCTCTCAGACACTAGGGCCCACGCCCAGAGCTTGTGAGCACACATGCACGCACACACACAGACACGCAGGGAGACAGACACACGCAGAGAGCCATGTGTATACTTGCACACACAGACACGTGCACACACACAGATGCACAGACATATACATGTGCACTGGCAGACAGAAGCACAGACACATGTGCACACGTGCATAGACACACATACATGGATGCATGTGTGCACACATACACATAAACACACACGCAGACACAGACATGCATAGGCACACATGTACACACATACCCACACACACAAAGCACACAGATGCACACACAGGTACACACACATGCACACAGGTGCATGTAGACACACACACTCAAATACACATAGATGAGAGCATACAGACGCATGCACACGTGTGCACACATGCCTCTCTACTGGTTAGAGATAATGTGACAAGATACTCCAGGATTCACAAAAAAATGCAGATGGTGGCACGAGCCAGACTCCCAGGCGCCTGCTTACCTGCAGTCACCTCCACCAAGTGGTGACTGAGGCAGCCAGCCAGTGATCTACCGGCTGACAGGAAGGGCCCTCAGGCTAACTGCTCCTGAGTGGGGCCAGCTGTGCTTTTCAGGAGGCTGGGCAAAGGCAGGGAGGCCAGTCCCTGAGAGGCCTGGGCTGGGCCAGGCTGAGTGTGCTGGAGATTCTGGCACAGCCGAGGGCAATCCAGGCGGCCACGGGGGAGGTGGTGGAGAGGGAGGCTGCCCCGCTCCTCCTGCTGGCCTGCAGAGCTATGGCCCTGGCCTGGCTCTGCTCTGTGACCTCTCGACCTTGGAAAGAGAGCTGCGAGTTGTCTGTTTCCACCCTGGGTGCTGTGGGTGGCCCGGCTTGGAGGACAGTCTCCTCTGCGTCCATCCAGAGCTCCCACTCACCTGCTTCCCTGGGAGTTTCCCAGCCGCGTCCCCTCTGCTCTCCAGCCCCTGAGAGTCCCTAGCACTGCCCCTCTCCCAGGCTCTGTCTGTGTGTTCACACACACCACCTACCCCAGAGTCCTCCTTCTCCTCTCTCAGTCTCCCCAGCCTCTGAACATGGCTGTCATCTATCCCAGTGGTTTGTACTTTTTTCCCTCACAAAATTTGCCCTATCTTCTCTCTTTCTCCCTATCTCACGTGGGGAAGGCCTTCTGGAAGGAATCGCACCATTCCTCTCCTAGTCCATCGGGAGAGGGTGAACGTGGATTTGACAGATCACGATTTCCCCTGCACATCCTGCGGGAAGGAAGCCCCAGCATGCTCTGCAGGAACGAAGCCCCTGCAGGTTCTGACTCCAGGATGGAGCTGGGATCCTAGGGCAGGGAGAGAGTGGAGGAAGCGAAGGCAGAGAGAGAGAAAAAGAACTAGGGGGTTGTTGGTAGAAAGGAAAGGTGGCCAGAGAGGAGGGCCTCCTAGTCGGATGTGGATTCGAGGGGCATGACAGATGAGTGCTGGGGAAGTGAAGTAACACCTGGGCAGGCCCAGGGCAAAACCCCCTCCCTATCTCCACACCACTCTGTCCCAGATGCTGCAAAGGTAACCAGGGCATCAAATGCAAGCCTGACTCCAGCCTGCGGACACAAATCCTTGCTCCACTGTCCTCCTAGGAGACTCAGGAACCCTGGGGGCTCCCCCAGTCCTCGACCATTGTCTGGAGTTCCCTAGGTTCCCTGTGTCCTGAGGCAGGAGAAGAAGATATAGACGGTGGCCCGACACCATTCGCAGGAACCTGAGTGAGCAGAAAGGGCAGAATGGTGGACAGAGTCCAACCCACATGGCTAGGACCACCCAGCCCCTGGGGCTGCCCACTCCAGGCAGCCAGCTGCTGGGTGAGAAGGTGCCCCAGGCACCTAAGGAGAGGCCCACTGGCCACCGAGAGGGAGGCTCAGACTTGCCCCACAGGCCTCCCTGAGTCCCCGTGGCTGAGTTTCCCTTTGGCTCGCAGGAGGAAGCCTCAGCGCCCTGACCCATGCTTGCTCGGACTGTCTTCCCTGTGACGCTGGCCCCTGAGCAGGCCCCGCGCTCAGTCCCGCGGCCAAGTCCACACCACAAGTCAGAGCAGAGTCGATTTGAACACAGGCCTCTCTGGGCTCCAAAGCCCAATCTCTGCCCCGCTATATGATACCGACCATGACGGAAGTGGTGGTGGCTGTGCGGTGACTACCTTGTGCCCGACTGTGCCAGGTGCCCCCCTGTATCACTCCCCTGGCCAGTGAGCCTGGCGCTATTGCATCGCTGTGTATGGATGAGAAAACATAGTCACATTTCCAGATGGAGGACTGGAAAACAAGTATTTTAGGTGGAGAGAAGAGGAGGGAGGAGGAACCGTGAAGGCATTCACTCAGCGACACCCACAGGGTGCAATGGGCTAGGGACTGTGCTAGGCGTGGGGTCTACAGGACAGAAGCCACAGGGGTCCCCAAGCCGAGGAGCTTCTGACACTAAAGGGCATGGTGTGGCTGATGCAAGACAGGCTGGCGGCAGGGGACAGGAGCTGCCAGTGGGGAGGACTCACCTGGCACATTGAGGACTTGGACCTGTGCTGTGAGCCCCCCGAGGAGCCACCAGAGCAGGGGAGGGACGGCCAGCAGAGGGACAGCTTCCTCCCCACGCCCCTCCACCTCGGCAGCGTGGAGACAGCACGTTCCTTCTCTAATGGGAAGAACAAAACTGGTATTTACAATAAACGTTCAATAAAGCCCTGAGCGTCCCCATTCTGACTCTGGAAAAAAGCACAATCTATCCCGGGGGTGGGGACTGTGATATAAGGACTAGAATTAAGGCTCTGTGTCTGTGCTGCCTTTAGGACGGGTCTGCGGTCCTCTGACAACCCCATGGAAGGAGCGAGTGGGAGGTGAGATCCTTCCATGTAGAGGGCCCCACTCTGCCCAGTCCTCATCCTGGCCCCTCTGTGATCCAAGAGACAGTCGTCCAGAGCCAAGTGCCAGCCACAGCCAGGCAGGAGCCCTGATGTCAGGGAGTGCCAGGCTTCCCAAGGGGAGGACAGGCTTCCAGTCGTCAGCCCCAGGAGCCCTGTCCCTGCACCTGCCGGGGCTCACCCCAGCTGGCCTTGTCTTGCAGGTAACCTCTGCCCTCCCAACCAACCTGCTGCAGTGCTAAGCACCCTTCTCATGGTTTGTCATCTCTGCAGGAGCATCTGGAAAGGGCTCTTGCCCTTGCGGGATGGGAGAATTAGCCTTGGGAGAGCCTCACCATCACGGTGGCCATGGATTATCCCCAATCCCTGTGGTTTTTTTTGTTTTTTTGTTTTTTGTTTTTTTGCGTGAGACACTGGAGTGCAGTGGCACAATCTTGGCTCACTGCAACCTCCACCTCCCAGGTTCAAGCGATTCTCCTGCCTCAGCTTCCCGAGTAGCTGGGATTACAGGCACACATGACCATGCCCGGCTAATTTTGTATTTTGAGTAGAGACGGGGTTTCACCATGTTGGTCAGACCAGTCTTGAACTCCTGGCCTCAGGTGGTCCACCCGCCTCAGCCTCCCAAAGTGCTGGGATTACAGGCATGAGCCATTGCGCCCGGCCCCTGATGTTCTTTTTCTGCAGAAAACACCACCTTCTGCCCCCAGGCAGCCTACCTTTCCTCCTGGACGTGGCTCTAGTGTGTCTCGTAAGCAAGTTAAGGGGGAGAGGTCCTGAGCCCAGAGTCAGAGGCCTGGGTTGGAGCCCTGGCTTCCCCCAAACCCAGCAAACACACGCAAGCCACTTGGCTCCATTTTACAGCTGAGGAAACAGAAGTCTGAGATGAATAACTGCTTCCCTGTGGCACTGGTGATGCTCAAACAAGAACTTCTGCAAAGCGGTTTATACGGTGTTTAAAGGCCACACCACGTTTGGGAGTATTAGTACTCACAAGGGAAATGAAGTCATTCCTGGGGGTTACCTGTCTATTAATTTGCCAATTTGCTGAGATTTTCAATGTCAGTTTTACCTGTGTGCAGATGCTACACAGAAAGGACTCAGCCAGGTGAGGTCCCACCTACTAGGGAGGATTGCTTAAGCCCAGGAGTCCAAGCTAGACCCTCTCTCTAAAAAAAAAAAAAAGAAGAAGAAGAAAGGAAAGAATAGAGAGGCTTTCTCAAAGCCAGATCAAGCCAGAGTTTGCAGGGGCTTGTTTTTTACAATTAAAAAAAAAAAGCGTCAGTGCAGTGGCCCTGTTGTCTCAATGTCAGACCCACCTGGAGCCTTTCAAAAATCCCGGCCCCCGGCTGCACCCCATGCACCCCAGCTGTGAGATCAGGATCTGTGAAGAGGGGTCCCGGAGCCGGTATTGTTGAAGCTCCCAGAGAATCCCAGGGTGCAGTGAGGGCTGAGAAACCCCTGCACTGGGGACTCCCTAACGCGATAATTTTCTTTCTTTTCTTTCCTTTTTTTTTTGAGATGGAGTTTTGCTCTGTCACCCAGGCTGGAGTGCAATGGCACGATCTCGGCTCACTGCAACCTCTGCCTCCTGGGTTCAAGCGATTCTCCTGCCTCAGCTTCCTGAGTAGCTGGGATTACAGGCGCCCGCCACCACGCCTGGCTGATTTCTGTATTTTTAGTAGAGACGGGGTTTCACCATGTTGGTCAGGCTGATCTTGAACTCCTGATCTCGTGATCCACCCGCCTCGGGCTCCTAAAGTGCTAGGATTACAGGCATGAGCCACCGCACCCGGCCAAGCGGATGATTTTCAACTCTGGCTGGCATTCACATTCTCCTCGCAGGGGAATATTACAAAACACTGATGTTAGAAACTCACCCCAGAGAGCTGGATTTACTTGTTTTGGGGCAAAAGCTACCAGGTGGTTCACATGCAGGTAGACAGAGGACCTTCGCTCTGCAGTCCCCAGCCGAGAGTGGTCGCCCTGTGATCCATGGAGCTTTGGGATGTAAAACTTGCTTCACCTGGAGGAGCCAAGGGGGAGCTAACATTGCCTCTTGGCCAATCGGCTCCTGGTTCTGCCTCCACAGCTGCTGCTAAGTTTCTTTCCAAACCATTTCCTCCACCATCCTCTCTGCCAACGCACTGGACCTCGCACACCTGGTGTGTGACAGGGTGCAGCCTTCCAGCTCAGCGGAAAACTCTCCACTGGCAAAGTGGAAGGGCCGGGGCTGGAGGGTGCATTTCCTGAATGGGGACCTGCAAAAGAAACCTGGGGTTGTTCCTTTGTCCACCACAGTCGAGAGGTCAGCCTGGAATTGGGGGACACATAAAGATTGAGCCCAGAATGCCTCACCGCCTATGCATATATACCATGATGGGGCATGATTGTTCAGGGTAGACACCTTCTCCCCGGAGAGACAGTGAGGAATGCGGGTTTGTCCTCCTGGAGAGGTCCTGCTGGGTGGCTGGACATAGCGTGGTTACTGTCTCCAGGTGGACGGAGCTCTCCCACGAAGGGGACACACATCCAGTGGCCTCCAGGTCCAGGGAGGACCGAGGCTTGCAGCAAGGCCACAGGGCCTGTATTTCACTTCCTGACCATCCAGACGACAGCATCCCAGGATGGTCCTCGTGAACTGTTGGATTTGCTCTCCCTGAATGAATGGTTAAATGCCAGGCACGGTGGAGCCCCCGTAATTCCTGGATGAAGGTTACAGGACTGCCTTTGGGACCTCCTGCTGGGGCCGTGCTGGCCGGAGCCTGCACCAGAGGCTCAGAATGGAGGCGGATGGGTTCTGAATGGACGTCATCACTCCCTCCCTGTTGACCTCAGACTTTGGATGGTTTGTTTTTTTTTTTTTAAATACATCAAATGGGATAATAACTGTTCTACTTAACAGGATTTTGTGAGGCTCCAACATGACAATGTGAGCGAATTGGCTTTGAAAAGCATTTCCAAGGTGTATAAACACAAGGGTTTCTATATAGGGCAAAGTCCCCCTGGCTCAGTGGTTCTATGAAGCTGTGTGCACAGCCCATGATCCCCTGTGGAATTGAGGATTGTGGAATTAATTGCCTTTGGAAGCTCAATTTGCTGTGTGAGCACACAGTCAAGAGGAATGGGGGAGCCTGGCCTTTGCCTTTTACGGCAGTCTGGGAACTTGAAATACTCAAACCCATCATTCTCAAAAAGCTTTTTATAGAGTCCTTCAGAAGCTTACGTCTCTGCAGCTCCACATATCACAGGTATGCCACTAGACGGAGCTTGTTAAATCATGAGCAAATGCAGGGGCTAATTGAATGCTTCTGACACTTGTTACCATCTGCCGAGGCTGGAGTGAAGCCGGAAAGTTCTGTGTGTTTTATGAAAGCCCTTGAGTCACCGCCATCCCGCGGGGTTGAGCCCTCGTGGTCTGAGCCCCAGAACTAGAGAAACGCCGTGGGAGGATGGATTCGATCCTTAACTGACTTGCATTTTAAGACACAAGCCATGGGGATTATTACAAAATTACTCCAGTTAATTAAAAAAGAGAAAAGCTTTGAAGTAATTTACTAGTGTTTATGTATTTTGTCCCAGAGTGGTCTCCGCAGATCTGCTAGACTCAGGCACTGTGCAGCTTTCTCTTATCACTGGCTGCAACAAGGACACTTCGAGATTAATTATTGATATAGATATTTTTTTTTGTCATCAGATAAATCCCTCAGCACCTCTGAAGAATCTTGGTTAGTCAGACTTGGAAAATGGATCTATGGGTTTCTCCAAAGTAGCCTTTCTTCTCCTCCTTCAATAAACATGTGAGGCCAGGCATTCTAGACACCTGATGAAAATGGCTAAGAAAGTAGTCTTACCACTATGTCAAACCTGAATCTGACCAAGCTGCTTGGTCCAATTTCCAATCCATGGAAACCTTCTGGCAGTGCAGGAGATGGAGGCACGTGCTAAACCCCACCACGGGGTGTAAGATTTGGGCTGCGGGATTCTCCACAGAACCAGTGATCCTCCTTTTCAAGAGATAAACTGCAAGGGAAACTGGCAGATTAAAAGAAACCTAAGAAACATACCAACCAATTACAATGTTTTTTTTATTTGTTTGTTTGTTGGCAGAATCTCAGTCTGTTGCCCAGGCTGGTGTGCAGTGGTGTGATCTTGGCTCACTGCAACCTCTGCCTCCAGGGTTTAAGCGATCTTCCTGCCTCAGCCTCCTGAGTAGCCAAGATCACATCTGGCTAATTTTTTGTATTTTTAGTAGAGACGGGGTTTCACCGTGTTAGCCAGGCTGGCCTCAAACTCCTGACCTCAAGTGTTCTGCCCACCTTGGCTTCCCAAAGTTCTGGGATTACAGGTGTGAGCCACCATGCCCAGCTGAATGTTTGAAATTTGTTTGATTCCCGATTAAAAGAAAACTTTAAAAAATTAAGGTATTTAGGGAAGTTTGAACACTGACTGGATATTTGATGCTATGGAGAAACAAAGATTAATTTCTTGAAAGTATGATAATGATGTTGTGGTTTTTTGTTTTTTAAGATTCCTTCTTATATATTTCTGTATTGTTTTATTTAGTATGAGTGTGTATTACTTTTGCAATTAAAATAAGAGAATAAGATTTTTTTTTAAAAAAAAAAACTAGCCTTTTTACAGCCTGGGCAACATAGTGAGACCTCATCTCTACAAAAAACTTTTAAAAAATTAACCAGGCATGGTGGTGCACACCTGTAGTCCAAGCTACTGGGGAGGCTGTGGCAGGAGGATGACTTGGGCCCAGGAGGTCAAGGCTGCAGTGAGCTAGGATGGTGCCACTGCACTTCAGCCTGGGTGACAGAGTGAGACCCTGTCTCAAAAATATAAAAATAAAAAACACAACTAAATTTTTATATTAAACCAGGTACCGAATGGCATCGTAGGTTTGCAAATAAATGCTGAAATATTTATGAAAAAAGAGATTTCTTCTCTTTCAGAGATACATACTGAAATATCTATGAATGATGTTGAAGATTTGCTCAACTATAATCCGATGGCAGAGAGGGACTGGTAGAATAAAACCAAATTCACCCATGGTTGATAATTGTTAAAGCTAGGTAATGAGTACATGGATTTTCATTATAGTATCCCTCTGAGCAAATATTTGAAATTTTCTATAGTAAAAAGGATTTTTAAACAAGTGATTTTCCTCAAGCCAGAATGTTGGATGGAACATCACTGAAGTCTTGAAAGCAGCAGGAAGGCCGGGCATGGCAGCTCACGCCTATAATCCCAGCCTTTTGAGAGGCCAAGGCGGATGATCACTTGAGCCCAGGAATTCGAGACCAGCCCGGGCAACACGGTGAGACCCAGTCTCTGCAAAAAAAAAAATTAGCCAGTCACAGTGGCCCATGCCTGTCAAGTCCCAGCTACTTGGGAGGCTGAGGTGGGAGAATCACTTGAGCCCAGGAAATTGAGGCTGCAGAGAGCTATGATCATGCCACTGCACTCCAGGCTGGGTGACAGAGTGAGATCCTGTTTTATTTTTTTAAAAAAGAAAGCAGCAAGACCCTCTCTTCTCCCTACGGTCCACTGCATTTGCACACCACTGATCCCTAAAACCCAGCCCCGCAGTGCTGCCCCACTATCCACGGTGCCTTCGTCGGAGGGGGATGGCATGAAAGTTTCCAGTTGCCTGGCAATGGCTGGCAGCAAATCGATCTCCTGCTCTGTAGCACAGTAGTCGAATATTGATTATCTGGGTGATTTGAGGATTCAACTCTCTGGACGAACACATTTTTTTTTGGCTGGGGAATTGATTAGGACCATGACAGGGGGTAAGCTGAGGGAAGAGGCATTGCAGAGAAGGGCTGGGATGGGGCGAGGAGACAGGTGAGGAAGGAGTGTGGCCAGGGAGGGGGTGAGGAGAAGCTGCCTGATGTCAGACAAGGCAAGAATGTTTCTGAGAACTCAGCCCTTGCCCTCCACTCTCCGAGACCTTTTAGAAGCACTTACTTTTGATCTAGCACCTCTGCAGCTGGACGGCGCCTTGGGATGGATGGATTCCTAAGGATGGGTGACTGCACAGCATTCTGAGTGTGCCAGGATGATCTCTGTTACCAGCTAGTTCGAACTTTATTTTATTTGAGATAAGGTCTCACTCTGTCGCCGAGGCTGGAGTGCAGTGGTACTACCACAGCTCACTGCAGCCTTGACATCCTGGGCTCAAGCTATCCTACCACCCTAGCCTCTCAAGTAGCTGGGAGCACAGGTGTGCACCACCATACCATGCTAATTTTTTTTTTTTTTTTTTTTTGTAGAGACGGAGTCTCACTATGTTGTCCAGGCTGATCTCGAACTCCCGGGTTCCAGCAATCCTCCCACCTCAGCCTCCTGAGTAGCTGTGGCCATGCAGGTGCCACCACTCCCAGCTATTTAAAACATTTTTTTTCTTTTCTTTTTTTTTTTTTTTAGAAATAGAGTCTAACCATGTTGCCCAGGCTGGTCTCAAACTCCTGGGCTCAAGTGATCCTCATGCCTCAGCCTCCCAAAGTGCTGGGATTACAGGTGTGAGCCACCATGCCCAGCCTGGTTACACATATTAAGGAGGCCAAGCCTCCAGCATTGGGCCTGGATTTGGCCAATTGGCTCGAACAGCTGAACTAGCTTTGCTCTATGTATAACCATATTGATAATTAATAAGGTAAGGCTGTTTGCTGGGGAGCCTGGGCAAGATAATGAATGTGGCTCCATGTAAGGGACCCCCCATTCCTGGCAAATCTACTCCAAGTTTATTTTCTTCTTGTGGGAGGATCAGTAGTGTTAATTGCTGCCGATTTAATATTCAAAAGGACAGCTAGGGAGAATGTGGGAAGAAAGGGAAGCCTGCTCCCTTGAATTAGTCAACTATTATTGCTTAACAAATAATTCCAAAACTCAATGGCATGCAAAAGTGAGCATTTATTTCTTACTCATTTGCCTGTGGGTCAATGAGGGTTTGGCTGATCTTTTCTAGGCCCAGCTGGAGTAGGCTTCATGCTGCAAGCAGGTCCAGGCCTGCTCTGTGGGATTCCATCCTCATTGTGATGTAGGACAGGCGAACCCCAACGTTGAGGCTTAGCCCAGGAGGGTTCTTGTCTTTGCCCAGGAGATAATTCAAGGGCAGGCCGGTGGTGCTAAACAGCAATCTTTTCTGGAACGGTACTGCTCTTTGCAGAGCAGGGGTGACTCATAGGCAGTGTGCCCAGAGTCGGCAACATATGAGCTCTTGGTAACTGTATTTATACCCACTTATACCCACTTTCAATCACATGTCAGTTAAGGGGTTGGTTAATGCAGAGTGAGGGGGCAGATTATTTAGAACTCTCCAGGAAAGGGGCAGTACCTTCCAGGTCACTGCCATGGAAAAGTGATAACTTCCAGGTCATTGCTATGGCATTTGTAAACTGTGATGGAGCTGGTGGGAGTGCCTTATGCTATTGAGCGACGAGGGCAGCCAAGAATCACCCTGGTCATCATCTGCTGGTTTTCACTGGTTTCTTTACTTTATCCTGTCTGGACGAAATCCTGTTTGTTTTGGTCAGCATGGTTATGGCCAGAAAACAAATCCTACCAGTCTTTTACCTCAGTTGGACTTGTGGTTAGTCAAGGCACATCCTATTCATAGCAGAAGGCAGATGGGCAAGAGGGCAAGCCGTCCACATCAGCACTTCAATCTACTGCACTGATCACGTCTGCTAACATTTCATTGGACAAATCAAGTCCCAAGCTCAAACTCAATATTAGTGGAACAGGCTGGGCGCAGTGGCTCATGCCTGTAATCCCAGCACTTTGGGAGACCGAGGTGGGTGGATCACTTGAGGTCAGGAGTTCCAGACCACCCTGGCCGACATGGTGAAACCCTGTCCCTACTAAAAATACAAAAGTTATTTTGTATTTTGTATTTTTTTTTTGAGACAGAGTCTCACTCTGTCACCCAGGCTGGAGTGCAGTGGCATGATCTCAGCTCACTGCAACCTCCCAGACTGGAGTGCACTGGTGCAATATCAGCTCACTGCCACCTCTGCTTCCCAGGTTCAAGAGATTCTCCTGTCTCAGCTTCCCGAATAGCTGGGCCTACAGACACGCGCCACCACGCACAGCTATTTTTTTATTTTTAGTAGAGACAGGGTTTCACCATGTTGGTCAGGCTGGTCTCGAACTCCTGACCTCAGGTGATCCACCCACCTCGGCCCCCTAAAGTGCTGGGATTACAGGAGTGAGCCACCTTGCCTGGCCGTTATTTTGCATTTTTACTAAATACAAAAGTTATTTTGCATTTTTACTAAATACAAAAGTTATTTTGCATTTTTACTAAATACAAAAGTTATTTTGTGTTTTTTGGACTTTTTTTTATTATTATTATACTTTAAGTTTTAGGGTACATGTGCACATTGTGCAGGTTAGTTACGTATGTATACATGTGCTATGCTGGTGTGCTGTACCCACTAACTCGTCATCTAGCATTAGGTATACCTCTCAATGCTATCCCTCCCCCCTCCCCCCTTTGTATTTTTACTAAATACAAAATTTTGTAGCTGGGCATGGTGGCAGGCACCGGTAATCTCAGCTACTCTGGAGGCTGAGGCAGAAGAATTGCTTGAACTGAGGAGGCAGAGGTTGCAGTGAGCCGAGGTTGCTCCATTGCACTCCAGCCTGAGTGACAGAGCGAGACTCCATCTTGAATAATAATAATAATAATAATAATAATAATAATAATTTAAAAATATCAGTGGAGCAGGGAAGTACCCTCTGCCCACAGTGCACACAGAGTATCTGCTGAATAGTAATTTAATCTATCACAACTGGATACGGTTTGGATCTGTGTCCCCACCAAATCTCATGTCAAATTGTAATCCCCAGTGTTGGAGGTGGGTCCTGATGGCAGGTGATTGGCTCATGAGCGCGGTTTCTCATGAATGGTTTGGCGCCGTCCTCTTGGTGCTGTTCTCGTGAGATCTTGTCGTTTTAAAGTGTGTGGCATCCCCCTCCTTGCTCCTGCTCCTGCCATGTAAGATGTCTGCTCTTACAAGACATCTGCTCTTGCCCTCTGCCATGAGTCAAAGCTCCCCGAGGCCTCCCCAGAAGCAGACGCTGCCATGCTTCCTGTAGAGCCTGCAGAACCGTGAGCCAATTCAACCTCTTTTTCTTTATAAATGACCCAGTCTCAGGTATTTCTTCATAGCAGCGCAAGAACGGACTAATACACAACATCTGAAAGGCAGTCTGTGTTTTTTTTTTTTGTTTGTTTTGTTTTTTGTTTTTGTTTTTTAAATTTTGAGACGGAATCTAGCTCTGTCTCCAGGCTGGAGTGCAATGGTGTGATATTGGCTCACTGCAATCTCTGCCTCCTGGTTTCAAGCGATTCTTCTGCCTCAGCCTCCCGAGTAGCTGGGATTACAGGCATGCACCCCCATGCCCGGCTAATTTCTTTATTTTTAGTAGAAACAGGGTTTCACCATGTTGGCCAGGATGGTCTCGATCTCCTGACCTCGTGATCCACCCACCTCAGCCTCCTAAAGTGCTGGGATTACAGCTGTGAGCTACCGGGCCCGCGCCGGCAGTCTGTATTCCAGCTTGAATCGCCCCAAGAGAAGCCTTGATAGGAGAAGAATAAACAACAGTGTACACATCTTAGGGTAGCACTGGCATAGGCAGGCTCTCCTGCCCTCAATGGTTCCCAGAAATCGGTGGCAGAAAGCAGACAACTGATGTCAGAACCTGTAGCTGCTGGCTGCCATCACGGGGACCAAGGGAAACCCTGGAGGCTGGAGAGATGTGCCTGCAGCTCTTTTAAGCTGAGCAGTTTTTCAGCCTCAAAAGCTCTTTCCACGTGTGTGCCTCTGTGTGCATCTCCCCCTCCATTAATAGACTCCCAAGGGAGGGAGGGATAAGTCAGGCCTCCATCACTACCAGGCATAGGAGGGCAAACGGATTGCCAAGTCTGTCAAAGAGGCATCGAAGATCCAGTTGTGTTTGCACAGAAATCTCTGGCGCGTAATAAAGGCTGGGAAGCGCTAGGAGACTGGAATTAAAACACAGGCTGGCTGGTTACTAAATACAATGTGATCAGGTAGGTGTTAGCAGCTGTTTAAATTCAAGAGCAGAGAATTGCGTGTAATTCTATCTTGTGTAGCAACTACACAGGGCTCTGGCTGGGAACTGACACACTGTAACTGGGAAGGCAAGTGCATCTCACAGATTCCTAGGTTGGTGCAAATAGCAGGTGGGCCCAGAGAGCAGCTGGCAGGTTCCCATGGCTGAACATCAAACAGTGGGAGATGCTACCCCCTCTCCTTCCTGGAAGAAAGTGAGGAGACATGGCCTCAAGCTGGTGCGCAGAGGAGCCATGCTCCTTCTCTGCTTTCCACCTGCCCTGACGCTTTTTCTCCAAATGCAGGCTCAGAGATGAGATGGCAGCATTTCTGGAAATGGTGGAAAAGGCCCCCTGAAGAACAGAACAATGAACTAGCCTAGAAATATATTTAGGCCAAGAGAAGTGTATAAGAGTATTCTAGGCTGGAGGGAAAGCAAAAGGAAGCAAGAACTAAAAAATCTGAAAACAGCAAGGTGGTATTTATATCTGTCAAATATTGCCACAATAACGCTGTGTACCAAACCTCTTAATTTAGTGACTTCATACCACAATCATTTACTCATGCTCAGGTCTGTGGGTGGGCTAGGGTGACTGTGCTCCTGGTGTATCATTTTTTTGAGATGGAGTCTCACTCTGTCACCAGGCTGGAGTGCAGTGGTGCAATCTCAGCTCACTGCAACCTCCGCCTCCTGGGTTCAAGAGATCCTCCTGTAAGCCGGGCGCAGTGGCTCATGCCTGTAATCCCAGCACTTTGGGAGGCTGAGGCGGGTGGATCACGAGGTCAGGAGATCAAGCCCATCCTGACCAACAAGGTGAAACCCTGTCTCTACTAAAAATACAAAAAATTAGCCAGGCTTGGTGGCGGGCACCTGTAGTCTCAGCTACTTGGGAGGCTGAGGCAGGAGAATGGCGTGAACCCGGGGGCGGAGCTTGCAGTGAGTCGAGGTCGCGCCACTGCACTCCAGCCTGGACAACAGAGTGAGACTCTGTCTCAAAAAAAAAAAAAAAAAAAAAAAAAAAGGAGATCCTCCTGCCTCAGCCTCTTGAGTATCTGGGACTACAGGCACCCGACACCACACCCAGCTAATTTTTGTATTTTTAGTAGAGACAGGGTTTCACTATGTTAGCCAGGATGGTCTTGATCTCTTGACCTCGTAATCTGCCTGCGTCTGCCTCCCAAAGTGCTGGGATTACCGGCATGACCCACTGCACCCAGTGTCTTTTTTTTTTTTTGAGACAGAGTCTTGCTCTGTTGCCCAGCCTGGAATGCAGTGGTGCGATCTCGGCTCACTGCAACCTCCACCTAACAGGTTCAAGCGATTCTTCCACCTCAGCCTCCCGAGTAACTGGGATTACAGGTGCACACCACCACGCCTGGCTAATTTTTGTATTTTTAGTAGAAACGGGGTTTCACCACGTTGGCCAGGCTGGTGTCGAACTCCTGACCTCAAGTGATCCTCCTGCCTCGGCCTCCCAAAGTGCTGGGATTACAGGCGTGAACCACCATGCTTGGCCTTCCTTGTGTATCATGTGGGGATCCAGGCACAGCCACTACTCCTGGGAAGCCCTCCTCCTGGTGACCGGAGAGGTGCAAGAGGCAAGCTCAAATGCATGGTGCACCTCAGGCCTCTGCTGTGTCAGGCCTGCTCACACCCCATTGTCCAAAGCAAGTCCCATGACTAAGCCTGAAGTCAAGGGGCAGGGAAGTACATCTTGCCTCTGGTTGGGAGAACTGAAAATTCACATGATAAAAGGTGCAAATGCAGGGAGGCGATGAGTTAGGGCCAGTACTTTCATCTACCGCAGTATCTGGGGGGCATCTGCAAGCAATTAAGCCATTTCCTGGAGTATTGTGTGCAAGACACAGGGTGAGAAGAAGGCATTGATGAGACAGGCAAAGTGCCACAACTGAAGACTGCGGGTACCGCACCGAGCCTGTGCTAAGGAGCTTGGGCTTTCCTGACAGGTGATAGGGAGCCTGGGAGGGCTTTTGAGCTGCGGTGTGGCACGAAGAGGTTTGTGTTTTGAAAAGTTACCCTGGGCCGGTGCGATGGCTCACGCCTGTAATCCCAGCACTTTGGGAGGCTGAGGCGGGTGGATCACAAGGTCAAGAGATTGAGACCATCCTGGCCAACATGGTGAAACCCTGTCTCTACTAAAAATACAAAAATTAGCTGGGCCCGGTGGCACACGCCTGTAGTCCCAGCTACTCAGGAGGCTGAGGCCGGAGAATCGCTTGAACCTGGGAGGCAGAGGTTGCAGTGAGCTGAGATGGTGCCACTGCACTCCAGCCTGGCGACAGAGCGAGACTCCGTCTCAAAAAAAGAAAAAAGAAAAGAAAAGTTACCCTATGACTGTGTAGGAGGGATTGAAGGTGACAAGACGGGTTGTGATCCGGGGGGAGACACAAAAGTTCTCGTGTGTGTGTGTGTGTGTGTGTGTGTGTCCCTCTATTTTTTTTTTTTTTTTTTTTTTTTTTTGAGACAGAATCTCGTTCTGTCTCCCAGGCTGGAGTGCAGTGGCGCGATCTCGGCTCACTGCAAGCTCCGCCTCCCGGGTTCACGCCATTGTCCTGCCCCAGCCTCCTGAGTACCTGGGACTACAGGCACCCGCCACCACGCCCGGCTAATTTTTTGTATTTTTAGTAGAGATGGGGTTTCACCATGTTAGCCAGGATGGTCTCGATCTCCTGACCTTGTGATCCACCCACCTTGGCCTCCCAAAGTGCTGGGATTACAGGCGTGAGCCACTGCGCTTGGCCGTGTCCCTCTATTTGAACAGGTTTGAACCAGCCTGTGATCACAAGAAAGGGGAAGGCAGAAGGCACAGATCTGAGAAACGTTTTGGCAGTAATGGCAGGACATGGCCAATGCCGGATTTGGCAGATCAGGCCACATGAGCAGCCAGGTTAGGACACCGGGGCTTCAAGCTTTGGAACTGCAGGCTCCAAACCCCTCTGGAGACTTTGGTAGGAGATGTGGCTCTGCAGAGAAAGAGCAGGAACGTGCATTTCAGTGTGGACTTGCCCAGGCATTGCTGACATCCTTCTAGGGAGGCAAAGGTTGGAAGAGGAGCGCCTCACGGCAGGACCCTCTTCGGTTTATCCATTGATGGACCCACAAGGTCTCACACTCTGCCTGGTGACTCACAGGCATTCATGAAACGAGCGGTGGTTTGAGATCTCTCTGGGCATCTGAGTCTGGAATTCAGGGAGAACCCTGGCTGGGAGTCACCATTTGAGGGGTGTTTAGGTCCAGGTGGTCTCTGCAGCATGTGGGGACCAACTTCTCCGTAAGAGTCCTTTATAGACTGGTGATCATTACAGCCACCACAGCTAGGGGTTGTTTTTCTGTCTGAATCTTTTCTTCTCTACGTTGAAGAATTCCTGCCCCCTGACCCTCTGCAATCTGTTGCCTCCCACCTTCCCGGCCCCTCACCGCCTCCCCTTCCCACACCTTATGTTCTTCTTCACAGCAGGCTCTCCGCCCACCCATCTCTCAAGCCCTGCACTGTCTCCTGTCCCTGTGCCTTTACTCATGAGATTTTCTCAGCTCTGAAGCCCTTGCTCTCATTTTTGTCCTGATATGCTACTCACCCTTCAAGGCCAGCCTCCAATGCTGCCTGCTCTGTAACGCCTTCAGCACCTCCACCCATCCACGCGGCCTTCAGCACCTCCACCCATCCACGCGGCCTTCAGCACCTCCACCCATCCACGCGGCCTTCAGCACCTCCACCCATCCAAGCGGCCTTCAGCACCTCCAGCCATCCACGTGGCAGGGGGTGCTCCCTTCCCATCACGCTCACCTCGCCTGCACCTCCTGCCCTGCCAGGCTCCAAATCAAGATGCAATATTAAGGCTGGTCGTGGTGGCTCACACCTGTAACCCCAGCAATTTGGGAGGCCGAGGTGGGCGGATCACTTGAGGTCAGGAGATCGAGACCAGCCTGGCCAACATGGTGAAACCTCATCTCTACTAAAAATACAAAAAATTAGCCAGGCGTAGTGACAGGTGCCTGTAATCCCAGCTACTCAGGAGGCTAAGGCAGGAGAATCACTTGAACCTGGGAGGCAGAGGCTGCAGTGAGCTGAGATTGCTCCACTGCACTCCAGCCTGGGCGACGGAACGAGACCCCATCTCAAAAAAAAAAAAAATGCTATATTAAGTGTTGCTTTGGCCAGGTATGGTGGCTCATGCCTGCAATCCCCACACTTTGGGAAGCCAAGGCAGGAAGATGGCTCGAACCCAGGAGTTTGAGAGTAGCCTGGGCAAGATGGAGAAACCCTGTCTCTACAAAAAAATTAAAAATTAGCTGAGCATGGTGGCACATGCCTGTAATCCCAGCTACTTGGGAGGCTGAGGCAAGAGGATCCCTTGAGCTCAGGAGTTCAAGGCAGCAGTGAGCTACGACTGCACCTCTGCACTCCAGCCTGGGCTTCAAGGTGAGCTCTGTCTCTAAATAAAATAAAATAAAATCAACAAGTGCTGCTTTGATATCTTTGAGCCCCACAAAGCCCCGAATGGGCCTAGTAGCTGTGAGGCCTCCTGTTCTCACCAGGCACGCCCCCCCACCCAGCAGGAAAGGCTGCTTACCTGGTTCCCGCATCAGCTAGATTGGCTACGCCCCACGTGTCTTCAATCTAACGGTCTCACCTCCCTGCCAGCCAGTAGCATTATTCAAACAAGCCAATCAGAGGGCAGCTCACCCTTTTGTTACTACAAAGGCTGCCCCTCACAGCCCCTCTGGTTCACTCTGCGCTGGGGTGTACCCTCATGTGGTCCTGCATGGCCCACAGTGTCTTCCTCCTCCAGAAGTATCTGCTAGTAATAAGCTGGTGTCTCATCAGTCCAGTATTGGTGCCATGTGTCTGGCCACCTTCTACTGTGTAGTGTGGAGGATTCCCACAGGGTGAAGAGGAAGGGATCAGGGCATCTCCCTAGCTGCTCCAGTCAGACCTTGGCCTTGGTTAGGTGCATTTTTGCCCTGTCTCCTCTTTCCCTCAAGGTCAGGGATTGCGTGGCCCCATCCTGGCAGCCCCAGCACCTTGCTTGGCCCATGGAGGGGACTCGGGATCTGTCTTCTTAGTTGGTGACTTCTGCTCTCTCACCCCCACCCCCACCCCTAGCTGCTCCCAGCGTCCCTCCTCCAAGTTCCCCACATCTCTCTAAGACTCATTACGCCAAAGAAACGCTTGCAATTTGGAGCTATATTTTGCTTTCTAAGTCTTCATTGTGCACGTCTAGACTGAGTTGGGGGATTTTGGACAAACATTTATTAACCACCGTGAGTCCTTGCAAAGATTTCCTGCAGAATCAATACCCCGAGGCCATTTAAATATTGTCTGAAACCAAGCCAGTCCCCCGCTCATCTCCCTTGCTCGGCTCCAAATGATGTTTAATTTTTCTATAAATTAACTCGCACAATGTCACACCACATTACTGCACCTTGGAACATTCCTATTCCGATCTGCGAGCAGCTGACACGCCAGGCGATGGCACGATTTCCTCCAGGAACGTTTCTCTGTAATGTGACTGATTACAATATAGCTGGCTGCAGGAGAAGCCGCGGCGCTCCAGCCGGCTGAGGGTGAGCCAACACAACCCAGAGATAATGAATAATGGTTTGTGGCAAAACTGATAATGCGCCCACTATTATATTGACTGGGGCTGCGGCTTCAGTTAATCGTGCTAAATTGCTAGGCTGGAGCTGTGTTCCGCCGGGCTTGGCCGCTGCCTTCCTCTTTTGAAAATTTCCATTTGTCTGAAGTTGGGTTCTTGTCTTTTCCTCCTGCCCTTCTATTCAAATGAGCTGGCTATTTTTGCCGGCGGCCGCCTGTGGGAGTGAGAGTTTGAAAGGCATAAGAGCTTGGACTCCATCTGTCGGCCTGTGTGCACACCTTCCCATCTGAGTGCACACCACGCACCCGCACAGCACTGGGTGCTAGGAATGTGGACGGGCAGCTGTTGTGCACTCCCCACCTGCCCTAGAGGCTTGTTGTCCAGGGGAGAGATGGACATCGCACCAGTGATTCCAGCGCTGCCCGTTAAGGGCTCTGTGTCAGCTGAGGTCAGACCAGGAGTCGCTTTAAATCTTGCCTCCTGCGCTTTCCAGCCATGTGACTTTGAGCATCTCTCCTTGTCTGTAAAGAGATGATGCTCATGAGCCCATTGCAGAGTGTGATGGTGTTAGATGGATCCCATCATAGACCGCTGAGCTGTGCTTGGCACATAGTGAGTGTCTCCCAAATGGTTCTTATCCTGGTGGCAGAGGCCTGTGCAGATGGCTACAGGTTGCAGAGGACGGAGAGACTGGCTCCCTGGAAGGTGAGGTGATGCTGGAGTTGAGTGTTGTAGTGAGGAGAGGTGCAGAAGGGTGAGCCTGGGGGACGGCACAGAGGCCTGGCACGTCCAGAGAGGGCAGGGGAAGGCTGGGCCGGAGGGTTGGATGGTGTGTCTTGGGGAGAGGCAGCAGGTGCTTGCTGGCCTCTGATTTCAGCCGAGACAATGGGGACCCCAGGGACAGTCCTTGTTCACCTCCAAGTACTGCCCTGAACTGTCTCCACCTTCAGCCCACACTCAGGGCAGTCCCAAAATGCAGAGGGGCCAACGTCCCCTGGGACAACCCTGGAACACGGAGGCCTGGAGTCGCCGCATCCAGGCCCGTGTGTGTTGGGGTGGGAGGTGATGCTGAGGCACATCCCAAGCAGCTCCTAGCGAGTCCCCAGCAGTCTGAGCCTCAGGCTCCTAACACAACCTTTACTGGCTTGTCCTTCATTTCTGCTTCCTGGGGTCACCCTCAAATGAACGATCCCCATCCATGCCCTTGCTTCCAGCTAAGGGAGAAAGGTGCACACCTCGAGAGCCTCCTCCCACCGAGCTTGCCCTCCCTCAGCCAGATCCTGAGAAGAGGAAATTCAGGACCCAGCCCTTCTCTGTGACACCTACAGTGGCTGGTGTGGGGCGTGAGAAGCCCTGTTTAAGAGGGTCACTGGGCAAAAGAGTGAAGCCATTCCTGCCTACCTTTCCACTCCCATCCCCAAAGCAAAGCCTGGCTGGGAGGTGACAAGGCAATCCCAGGTGGCAGCGGCTGGGCGAGGGGCAGCAGTGGGAGTGGGGGAAGTCAGGGAAGGGGTGGTCCCACTCTGGGAAAATTCACACAGAGAGGAAGTAGATGTCTGCAGAAAGCCTTGGTACAGGAGAGGGGGTGACTGCTCGCAGAGGCACCCAGTCACATGGACCCGGGTTCAAATCCCACCTCCACTGCTTACGAGCTGTGTGGCCTTACTCAAGTCACTGCCTCCTCTGTGCCTGTTTGTAAAATGAGAGGTTAATAATGGCATCTTTCTCACCTGGGCACATGAGTTCAGAATGAGCTCAAGTCTGCAGTACCAAGATCAGGTCTCAGCACCAGGTAAATGTTCGAGACTCGTGAGCTGGTACTGCTGATAAAATGACGCCATGACTGTGGCATAAGGACCCCGGTGGGGGCTGGCTGAGCCCCTCTCAGCCTCTGCCGCCTCATCTCTGCACAGCACAGTGGGGCAGGAGGCCCTGGGCCAGGCCCCCACGTGGGGCCTCACCCACAGGAGCCCCTTTGAGTTCGGCAGGGGGCACAGGGCTTACCTCCAGTCTCTGAGACCTGCCCTGCAGAGTAATGGCTCGGAGTGAAGAACCAGCTGGTGAGCTGCAGACATTTTCCTGAGTCTTTGGGGACTGTTTATCACCGCCACAGCCCAGAGCAAACCACTTTTTATAGCCAGTTCTGAGGGAGGGTTTGCAAAGGGGGGCCCAGAGCCTCCTGATCCCAGGGCTGGGCCTGGAGGGGGCTGACTCCCCAGGGGTTACCCCCACTCCGAAGATCTCTATCCTGGGCTCCCTTTGGGGGCCTCTTCACCCTCTTCCCTGCCCCACACTCCCCATCCAGGCCGCTTGGTGCCCCCAATGGTCAAGGCATGATTCTGCTCCTCAGCCACGTTTCATTAAATGGACAATCAAATGTGAATTGGTGTGTGCACTTTTTTGTAACGCTTTTTATATAAGTAAATGGCTAAATCGGGAAAACATCTTTGGGCAGACCATCTGTCTCAATTTGAGCTTTGAAAAATGTGGTCACCTCGCAATGTTCCCGTGTCAGACTCTAAAAACAAGAAACTGGGCAGGCAAGCGAACATCACTCACACTCCGAACTCGACTGTCTGCTTTGCTTCGGGAATCACTGAAGCTTTCCTTCCGGCCACAGCTGCTGGGGCTGGGGCTGCCCGGAAGAGGGGCCAGCTGGGGGAGGCGCTGGGGCCTTTGCAGGGGTTGGGGGCAGATGAGAAGTGGCCCACCTGCCCCTGGAGCCTCAGTGGATCCATAGTGCGCACACACAGTTGCATTGATGCTCTGCCTTTTTATAATTTTTCACATCTCTCTGGCTCTCACGATGGTCAAACAGGGCTTGGTCTGTTTGGCAGCCCACGGCAAAGCCATCTCTAAGTGGCACCCCACCCCCCAGCCCACCTGGTCCTCATGATGGAGAAATCCAGGTCACAGCTGGGCAGGCTCCAGAGAGGAGTGAGGCCGCTTGGCACTAAAGAGAATGGAGGGTGGAGGAGGAGGCAGTGGGTGGCTGAGTGGAGGAGAGAAGCCCACGTGCACAGGTGCAACAGTGGAAAAAGACCCCCGGGCCGGGTGTGACGGTGCATCCCTCGGGAGGCTAAGGTGGGAGGATCTCTAGCCCAGGAAGTCGAGGCTGCAGTGAGCCATGATTGCACCACTGCACTCCAGCCTGCGTGACAGATCGAAACCCCCATCTCTTAAAAAAAAAAGCCAATTAAAACTAAAGACAACCCCTGGCTGAGAATGCTGTAGAGGCAATTCAAGGACAGAGCTCGTGCTGAACAAAACATGCCTTTAAATTTTTAACTCCTATAACCGATTTCTCTTGTTTATCATATTGTTTGAGGCTCCGTGAAGGCCCAGGCAGGAAAATAGAAAGCACTTCAGGTACTGAACCCAGAGAGAATTTAATGGAGAGAGTGTTGGGAAAGCCAGCCTTGGGCGTGCAGTCTCTCAACCCGAATAGTCACATGAGAATGGGCCGTGGGCCCAGATCACTTCCTTACAAATAAAGAAAGAGCTCTCCCAGCCCGTGCTGGGCATCTGTCTTCGGGGATACCTTTCCCTGTGCTTGACTTGATGGGCCTTCTGTTCTGCCTGAGTGTGTGCATCCTGTGGCACCCACCACCCACTGCTCTATCTGTTCCCAGTGGGGGGTTGGGGTGAGAGGGGTGCACGCAGACCCTCTCCCTGGAGTGCTAGGCCACGTGGAGCGGCGGGGGCTGACACTCACTATTGCAGCTGATCATGCTCCACCTGCTGTCTAGGTGAGTCTAGCATGGTTCCATCCTGTGCCTGTGTGAGTCGTGTCTTTCTTGGCACCGTCCTCACCCACAAGCCACGCAGGGGGCTGACGTCCCAGGACTGCTGCTCCTGGTGGCAGGACCCGCCACTCAATAGGGCTCTTCCACTGAAGGTGGTAACAGGTATCACTTGCTTAACACTTAATGATGGCATGGATGATAAGGGGGCAGGGATGGGAAGCTGCTACCACGCTGAGGGATGGAGGGACAAAGGGAAGATGTGGAGCTACCAGGACCTCAGGACTGGGGTCACTTGTGGAGAGCCATGGGTGGGGTCACAGCCATGCAGAGATGTAGCCCAAGACAGAGAGGGAGAGCATGAACTCCCCAGAATGCCTACCCTCCAGTCTCCCACCAGTGCCTCCCATGGACTGGAGGCAGTCTGGGCCTAGAAATAGCCTGCAGAGGTCAGACCCGACCACAGCTGCAGCAGGTGAGGAGGGACCGGGGCAAACAGGCCCACCATGAGCCAGCGAATGCACACACTGCATCCTCAGAATAACACACAAAATGTGCTGAAATGGTTTCCGACGGCTGCTGTCACTACTTACACAAACATGGTGGCTTAGACAACAGTTATTCTCTTACAGTTCTGGAGATCAGAAATCCAAAATCACTTTCACTGACTGGGTGCAGTGGCTCACGCCTGTAATCCCAGCACTTTAGGAGGCCGAGGTGGGTGGATCACTTGAGGCCAGGAGTTCAAGATCAGCCTGAGCAACACGGTGAAACCTTGTCTCTACTGAAAAAAAAATTAGCTGGGTGTGGTGGTGTGCACCTGTAGTCCCAGCTACTTGAGAGGCTGAGGTGGGAGGGTCACTTGAGCCCAGGACTTTGAGATCAGCCTAGGCAATATAGCGAAACCCCATCTCTACAAATAATACACACAAAAAAATAGCTGGGCTTGGTGGTGTACGCCTGTTGTCCCAGCTACTCAGGAGGCTGAGGCAGGAGGATCACTTGAGCCCAGGAGGTGGAGGCTGCAGTGAGCTAACATTTTATTTTTGAGACCCTTTCCCCAAATAAAAATAAAAAACCACGTTCACGGTGCTGGAATCCAGGTGCTGGTAGGCGGCACTCTCTGCGGAGGCTCTAGGGGAGGCTCTTGTTTCCTTGCTTTTCCAGCTTCTAGAGCTACTACGTTCCTTGCAGTCCTTGGCTTGTGGCCTCTTCCTTCATCTTGAAAGCCAGCAGTGTAGCATCTTCAAATCTTTCTGCCAAAGTCCTCACATCACCTTCTTTTACCCTTGTAGTCAAATCTCCCTCTGACTCCCTCTCCTAAGGACACTTGTGATTACATTTGGGGCCCATCCGGGAAAGCCAGGATCCTCTCTCCACCTCAAGCCTTAATCACTTCTGCCCAGGCCCTCTTGCCATAGAAGGTTACATTCACAGCTTCCAGGGATTAGGAGCTGGATATCTTTGGGGGCCATAATTCAGGCTTTCATGGGTACAAAAGTGGACACTTCCTGTAATAGTTAGCTATTGCTGTGTAACAAATTACCCCAACATGTGGCAGCCCAAAACAACAAACTTTTTAAATCTCATGCAGTTTTCATGGGTCAGTTATTTCAGAGTAGCTTAGCTGTGTGGTTATATCTCAAGAGGTTGCAATCAAGCTGTCAGCCAGGGCTGACATCACCAGAAGGTTTGACCAGGCTGGAGAATCCACTCCAAGATGGCTCCTCACACAGCTGTTGCAGGAGGCTTCAGGTCCTCACCACGTGGGCTTCTCCATGAGGCCACTTGAGGTTCCTCACAGCATGGCTGCTGGCTGGCTTCCCCCAGACTGAGAATTCTGAGAAGGAAAGCTGGCAAGAAGCCACGGTACCTTTTATGACCTTGCCTGCATTAATTTGTTAGGGCTGCCAAAGTACCACAGGCTGGGTGGCTTACACAACAGAAATGTCTTTTTTCACGATCCTGGAGGCGAGACATTGCAATCAAGGTATTAGCAAGATTGGTTTCATCTGAGGCCTCTTTCAGAAGGCTTTCTTTCTTTCTTTCTTTCTTTCTTTCTTTCTTTCTTTCTTTCTTTCTTTCTCTCTTTCCTTTCTTTCTTTCTCTCTTTCTTTCTTTTTCTTGTTTCTTTTCTTTTTTTTTTTTTGAGGCAAAGTCTCACTCTGTCACTTAGGCTGGAGTGCAGTGGCATGATCTCAGCTCACTGAAACCTCCACCTCCAGGATTCAAGCAATTCTCCTGCCTCAGCTTCCTGAGAAGCTGGGACTACAGGTGTGTGCCACCACGCCTGGCTAAGTTTTGTAATTTTAGTAGAGATGGGGTTTCACCATGTTGGCCAGGCTGGTCTCGAACTTCTGACCTCAGGTGATCCATCTGCCTTGGCCTCCCAAAGTGCTGAGATTACAGGGGTGAGCCACCATGCCTGGCTTCAGAAGGCTTTCTGAGTCTCCCTTAGAGATGGCTGTCTTCTCCCTGTATCCTCACGTGGTCTTCCCTCTGTCTATGCTCGTGTCCTAATTTCCTCTTCTTATGAGGACATCAGTTAGATTGGATTAGGGCCCACCCATGTGACATTATATTACCATAATTATCACTTTAAAGGTCTTATCTCCAAATACAGTCACATTCTGAAGTACTGGGGGTTAGGACTTCAATATATGAATTTGTCAGGGGACATTATTTAGCTCCTAACAGCCTCAGAAGTGACATACTTCTGCCATATTCTCTGGGTCAGATAGACCAATCCTACTACAATAACGGAGCGACTACTTCAGGATGTGGACGCCAGGAGGTGGGCTCAATGGGGTCTTCTTGGAGGCCTCTCCCTTTATGCCCAGAAGAATTTTTTTTTTTTAAATGGAGTCTCACTCTGTCACCCAGGCTGGAGTGCAGTGGTGTGACCTCAGCTCACCACAACCTCTGCTTCCTGGGTTCAAGCGATTCTCCTGTCTCAGCCTCCCGAGTAGCTGGGATTACAGGCATGCGCCATGATGCCTGGCTAATTTTTGTATTTTTAGTAGAGATGGGGTTTCGTCATGTTGGCCAGGCTGGTCTCGAACTCTTAACCTCAGGTGATCTGCCCGCCTCGGCCTCCCAAAGTGCTGGGATTACAGACGTGAGCCACCACACCCGCCAAGAGAAATTCTTACTAGTTCTTGCATATATTTCTAGGGCTACTGTATATATGCTCAGCCACATATGTACAAGAAGTGCACATGTATACAAGTGAGGTGTATAAACATGGTGCCCTGTACCTTGCTTTCTTCACTTAGTAAGCCCACAAGGAGCGGCCTCATTCTTTTTTGGATTCCACTGTATGAATTGCTGCCATTTAATTAACTGATCCCCTGAATATTTATGGGTTTTTTTTTTTTCGAGCTGGAGTTTTGCTCTTGTTGCCCAGGCTGGGGTGCAATGGCACAATATCAGCTCACCGCAACCTCTGCCTCCCAGGTTCAAGTGATTCTCCTGCCTCAGCCTCCCAAGTAGCTGGGATTACAGACACTCACCACCACGCCCGGCTAATTTTTGTATTTTTAGTAGAGACAAGGTTTCACCATGTTGGCCAGGCTGGTCTCGAACTCCTGACCTCAGGTGGTCCACCTGCCCTCTGCCTCCCAAAGTGCTGGGATTACAGGCTTGAGCCATGGCGCATGGCGAAGTTTATATTCTTTGCAATATTTTGCCATTGCACATAATGATGCAACAAATATTCATCTACTGGTATCATTCCTCGTGTGTGCTAGTATATTTGCAGGGTAAGTACCTGCTGTGAAATTGCTGGGTCAAAGGCTGTAAGTCTTTAACAGATGCTGTCAGATGGTGAAGTTGGTCTCTTGAAGGTTTTTCCAGTTTACACTCTTGTGAACATGGTGCAGACAGCCTGTCCCTGCAGTCTCACTGACAGCATGTGGTCATCCTTTCACTCTCGCTGATCTGCTGAAGTGGTATCTTGGCCGGGCATGGTGGCTCACACCTGTAATCCCAGCACTTTGGGAGGCTGAGGCAGGAGAATCACTTGAGCCCAGGAGTTCGAGGCCAGCTTGGGCAACATGGTGAAACCCTGTCTCTACAAAAAATACAAAAATGAGCTGAGTGTGGTGGCATGAGCCTGTAGTCCCAGCTACTCGGGAGGCTGAGGCGGGATGATCGTTTGAGCCCGGGAGGTAGAGGCTGCAGTGAGCCGTGATTGCGCCGCTGCACTCCAGCCTGGGTGACAGGGTGAGCTCCTGTCTAAAACAACAACAGAAACAACATCTCGGTGTAGCTTTAAAAAAAATTATTGAGGTAAAATTTGCATAACATAAATTTAACCATCTTTAAGGTGAACAATTCAGTGGCATTAAGTACATTCACAGTGTTGTGCAATCACCTCTATTTAGTTCTAAAACATTTTCGTCACCCCAAAATAAAGTCCCCTACTCTGCCTGTAGTCCCAGCACTTTGGGAGGCAGAGACAGGAGGATCGCTTGAGCCCAGGAGTTTGAGACCAGCCTGGCAATATAGGGAGACCCCGTCTCTATGAAAAATGAAAAAAATTAGCCAGGCATAGTGGTGCATACCTGTAGACCAAGCTACTTGGAAGGCTGAGGCAGAACGATTGCTTGAGCCTGGGAGGTCGAGGCCTCAGTGAGCCATGATTGTGCCACTGCGCTCCAGCCTGGGTGACAGAGTGAGATCCTGCCTCAAAAACAAAAAAACAAGCAAACAAAAAAGAGTCCACACCCGTGAAGCATCATTGCATTTCGCCCTCTGCCAGCCCTTGGCAACCACCCATCTGCTTTCTGTCTCTGTGGACTTGCCTATTCTGGACATTTCATGGAAATCATGCAATATGCGGCTCTTTGTAAATGGCTTCCTTCACTGAGCACCATGTTTCAGAGCTTCACCTGTTTGTGGTGTGTGTTCCTTCCCTTTCATGGCTGGGTAATATTCCACTGTATGACACACGGCATTGTGTTTATCTGGTCATCTGCTGATAAACCCTAAGACCACTTCCATTTCAGTGTGGTTTCAATTTGCATTTCCCTGATTATGAGGGAGGTTGAGTTTCTTTTCATGTGTCAGGTGCTCTTTAGGGCCCTTTCCAAACCAGAGGCAGGATGAGCTGGAGACAGGATGAAGCTCAGGGATGCACTGCAGCTGCACTGAAGTGCCTCATCCCCATCCTTCGGGTTCCAGGGCCTTTGGGTGTCAGAGGAGAGTGGCCTCCCTCAGGAACAGCCAAGTCTGGGCACCTGAGCCTGGTGGAGCCAGGAGGGCCCTGGAGTTAATGCAAAGAGTCACCACTTAGTGAGCATTTCCTGTGCGCCTGGCATTCTTGTTGGCACTGCATATATTATTATTAACTCCTTGAACCCTTGCAGCAACTCCAGGCTGATTTATTACACCCTTTACAGTTGAGGAAACTGATACCCGAGATGTTGTGTAACGTGCTCTTAAACGGGGGGGGCACAGCAGGTACAGAAGTCATCAGCAGGACTGTTGGATGTAGGCGCCAAGGTTGTGCCCAACACACCCTGTGAGGCCTCCCTCTCAAAAGGCTGCCCCTGGCAACTTACCCTGCCCTCCTCTTCCTCAGCACCTTCCCCTCCAGGCCCCTAGAGAGGAACAGGATTTGTCCTCTTCATACTTCTTGTATCGGCAATCTATTGCTGCTTAACAAAGTGCTCGAAAACTTAATAGCTTCAATCAACACTTGTTATCTCAGTTTCTGAAGGTCAGGAATGCGGGAGTGGCTCAGCTGGGGTAGGTTCTGGCTCAAGTTCCCTCTCTGTAGTCAAATTGTCAGGCTGTAGTCAAATTGTCAGCCAAGGCTACAGTCATCTGAAGGTTTGACTGGGACTGGAGAAACCATTTCCAAGATGGCTCCCTCACATAGCTGTGGACTGGAGGCCTCATTTCCTCTCTGGCTGCTGGCAGAAGGTCTTAGTTCCTTGCCATGTGGATCTCTCTCAAAGGCTAATTGAGTGTCCTCAGAACATGGTGGCTGACTTCCCCAAAGGGAGTGATCTAAGAGGAAGTTGCAGTGCCTTTTATGACCTAGTCTCAGGAGTGACAGATGATAATTTCTGCCATATTCTATTTGTTAGAAGTTCCTAAGTTCAGCCCATTCTCAAAAGGAGGGAATTAAACTTCCTTGAAGTGAGGAGTGTAGAAGCATTTGTGGACATACATTTGCTCCTTTTTCTTGTTCTGGGTCCTGGATCTCTTTGGCCAAGTGTCTGGGGTTTGGTTATGTGCAGAGGTGATGACCATGGCTTGGGGGCGGTGGGTTGGGGTATCAGGCCCTGTGATGGGGTAAGACAGGTGAGCATTGCCTCACTTATCTGGAATTGGGAGTGGTTGGCACATCTTTGTTCATCTCAACACATCCTCTTATTTTGTTTTCTATTAAAGGAAGCAGAAGTCCTTGACAGACAGATGGAGGCCACTCCCTCTCCCAACCCCCTCCTCTGAAGATGGCTGGGACAGAGTCACAGGAAAGGGTGGGGGAGAATTAATAGTGTAAACCTGGGGTTTTGAACCTGGCATGCAAGATCCCCAAGGGATTTTTGGATAGAATTTAGGGAGGGCATGCATTTGGATAGAAGAAAAAAATAATTCTCTGTTTTCACAAACCTCTGTCTCATATTTACCATTTCCTCTAATTATAAATGCAGTTGACAAAACACAATAGTATTAGACACACTCTTGACTTTCTCACCAAAAAACAATTACAGATTTTTTCATTCCATCACAGCTGTTGCAGAAATCTTGCAATATCATTTACGCTGATCACTATTACAAAATGACTGTGGTTATAAGGCCATCCACTGGGTTGTACGATTTATGCTTTAGTAAACAAGTACATCTTTCTACATCACAAACTGGGCTTTTAAATATTTTAATAACTGTATTTCCATATGGTTGGCTTTCTTGTGATTGTATGAATTTGTTCTATGCATTTAAAAACTAAGAAGGGACCAAAGACGTCACTAGGCTGCAAAGAGGTCTGGGGTAAGAAAAGATTGAAAACTTCCTGGGTGGAGGAAGAGTTTGGGGAGATACTGAAACCAATGAAAATCAGGAGATTTGACCATTAAGAGCTGCTGGTGACCTTTGACAAGGCAAAGGTGACAGAGGAAATGAAGTGATGGATTTAGGAAACCACTGCCCAGTAAAGGAAGGTGAGGCTTCACACTCACGGAAGGTTTCCTGCTTCATGGTCACTGGTTGTAAATGGTTCATTCCTGCTATCCCTCATTGTGGGTCCAGGAGTCCACCCACCCACCACCACCCCCTCTCCCTCTCACCTTCCACCCCCCACTGCTTGATTTCCTCACTCCATTCTCCAAACTTGTTACACCCATTTGCCCACCATTTTCTTTCCCAGCAATGACCTTTTCCCCTTGCCTACCAGGAGACTTGTACTCATCCTTTAAAACATCACTCTCATAGGGCTGATGATGACCCTGTGCTCACTCACCGCTCCCATGACTGCCTTCTCCATGGGCACATTGTCATGGTTATTTCACAACCACACCATTTCCCTCAGGAGGCTGAGAGCTCCTTCTGTGCCCCAGTTTACTCATTTTTTGAAATTCCAACTCCTGGCACATCGTCTGACAGTTACAGAGCAAATGTTATAAAAATATGGAGTTGTTGGAGCAGTAAATAACACAATACCTGTCTATGTCGAAACAGCCTATAAAAGGCAGCTTGCTCTTCCCTTTCCCCAAATCAATGTACCCTCTTTAATTCATATATTACGCATGTAGAAGTTGAGAAAAATCAGAGAAGCCTAGTTGGGTAGTTTCTTTGAAACCATCTGATATAGTTTGGCTCTGTGTCCCCACCCAAATCTCACCTCGAATTGTAATCCCCATTATCCCCACGTGTGAAGGGCAGGGCCAGGTGGAGGTCATTGGATCATGGGGGTGGTTCCCCCATGCTATGCTCCTGAGAGTGAGTGAATCTCACGAGATCTAATGGTTTTGTAAGTGTCTGGCATTCCCCCTGCTTGTGCTCACTCTGTCCCGCCGCCCTGTGAAGAAGGTGCCTGCTTCTCCTTTGCCTTCCGCCATGATTGTAAATTTCCTGAGGCCTCCCCAGCAGTGCAGAACTGTGAGTCAATTAAACCTCTTTCCTTCATAAATTACCCAGTGTCAGGTAGTTCTTCATAGCAGCGTGAGAATGGACTAATACACCATCCATAATAAGTGACTAATCTCTCTAATTCTTAGCGTCTGCCTCTGTTAGATCAGGGTAATAACGATCCACACTAAGTTGATGTGAGGATTGAAAGAGACAATGTGGGCAAAGTGCTTGGTGCATAGTAAGTGCTCAGTAAAGGGGAGTTCTTATTCTTACTTTTACAAGGCAACATGAAATCTCTGGCAGAAGGGGCTATAAATTGTGTTCTGTGGGAGTTCAGAGGAGAGGGGAAGCACATCTGATGGAGGGCTGGGGAAGATGTGAAAGCAGCAATGGGTCAAGGAGCATAGCTAGGAGCTGCCTGGTGGAAACAGGAAGGCCATTTCCAGGGAGAGACAGGCATGTGGTCGGGTTTGGTCTGGTGTGTCGGGTTCTGGGGGAATAAGCACCAACTTTTCCATCACCCTCAAGCATTTCATTCATACATGATGAAAATGCTGATTGCAAATTTTCTCTTTGCATGCATTCCAGAAGGCAGCAAGAAATTTGACTAGGCAAATTCTATTTTGTTAGCTATGTTGCTGTGGGTATTTTTAAAGTTCTCTTAAAAATCATCCAACAGTCTATAATTCAGCCTCTTGCCTTTGTCAGATAGAGCTCTACCCAGTTAGTCTAAATTGGGGTGGCTTTTGGAAGATGAAAGCTGCCAACCACTTACGGGGACCACCTACTCTTCCTGTTCCCTCTTCAGAGATTACCTGGGAAGCACACAGATGACACCAACCTCTCTCCAGGTGTAGGACTTTGTGGAAAGCGCTAGTCTCTCCAGGCAAATTGCTAGTAGGCTCCAATATTTGTCTTCATCCTTTCACAGACTTCTATGAGCCACCGATGGCTCCAGGTACCAGGGATACAAAAGTGTTCACAGTTTGAACCTTGCCTCTGGTGCTGATGGCCTGAAACTGGCTCCACTCCTTGGGGCAAAGGTCCCCTTCTTCCCTTCCTCCTTGCCCACTGCCACCATCCACATTTCCTATCCCTGTAGGAAGCATAGGCAATTTTAGTGCTCATTAGACCACGGAATGTGGTGGTTAAGAGCATGGAGTCAGTAGTCGGCTGTAGTCCTGGCTTCTCCCCCCATTTTAGCTGTGGGACCTTGAACAAGTCTCTTAGCCCTTGTATTAGGCCATGCTTGCATTGCTATAAAGAAATACCTGAGACTGGATAATTCATCAGAGAAAAGAGGTTTAATTGGCTCATGGTTCTGCAGGCCATAGAAGCATGGCACCTGCTTTACTTCTGGGGAGGCCTCAAGGAGCTTTTAATCATGGCAGAAGGTGAAGTGGGAGCGGATACTTCACATGGCCAGAGCAGGAGCAAGGGAGGCAGGTGCCACATACTTTCACACAACCAGATCTGATGTGAACTTAGAATGAGAGCTCACTTTTCACCAAGGGGGTGGCCCAAGCCATTTATGAGAGCTCCACCCCTATGATTTAAATACCTCCCACCAGGTCCCACCCCCAACATTGGGGATTACATTTTGAAATGAGATTTGGAGAGGAGAAATATTCAAATTATATTATTCCACCCCATCCCCCACCCCAATCTCATGTCCTTCTCACCTTTCTAAATACAATCATGCCCTCCCAATGGTCTCCTAAAGTCTTAGCTCGTTTTAGCATTAACTCAAAAGTCCGAAGACTAAGGTCTCATCTGAGACAAGGCAAGTCCCTTCCACCTATGAGGCTGAGGCTGCAAAATCAAAACCAAGTTAGTTACTTCTTTTTTTTTTTTTTTTTTTTTGAGACAGAGTCTCACTCTGTCACCCAGGCTGGAGTGCAGTGGCAGCATCTCGGCTCACTGTATCTTCCACCTCCCCTCCTGGATTCAAGTGATTCTCATGCCTCAGCTTCCTGAGTAGCTGGGACTACAGGCATGTGCCACCACATCTGGCTAATTTTTTGTATTTTTAGTAGAAACAGGGTTTCACCATGTTGGTCAGGCTGGTCTCGAACTCCTGACCTCAGGTGATCCACCCGCCTCAGCCTCCCAAAGTGCTGGGATTACAGGCGTGAGCTACCCATGCCCGACCACAAGTTAGTTACTTTTAAGATCCAGTGGGGATATAGGCATTAGATCAACATTTTGAAAGGGAGAAATCAGCAAAACAAAAGCTTTCAAACCCCATGCAAGTTTGAAACCCAGCAGGCAGTCATTAAATTTTAAAGCTCCAAAATAATCTCTTTTGATTCCATGTCACACGTCCAGGGCACACGGGTGCAGGAGACAAGCTCTTAAGGCCTTAGGCAGCTCTGCCCTTGTGGCTTTGCAGAGTATAGTCCCCATGGCTGCTCTCACAGGTTGTACCCTGTGGCTTTTTCAGGCACAGGGTACAAGCTGCCAGTGGATTTACCATTCTGTGGTCTGGAGGATGGTGGCCACCTTTCCACAGTATCCACTAAGCAATACCCTGATGGGGACTCTGTGTGGGACCTCCTACTCCATATTTCCCTTTGGCACTGCCCTAGTAGAGGTTCTCTGTGAAGGCTCTGCCCCTGCAGCAGGATTTTGCCTGGGCACCCAAGGTTTCTCATATAGCCTCTGAGAATTAGGCAGAGGCTGCCAAGCCTCCTTCACTCTTGCACTCTATGCACCTGCAGGCTTAACACCATGTTGTAGCCATCAAGGTTTACAGCTCGTGCCCTCCAGAGCAGCAGCCCCAGCTGTACCTGGGCCCCTTTGAGCCATGGCCGGAGGTGAGACAGCCAAGATATGGGGAGCAGTGTCGTGAGGCTACGTAGGACCTGGCCCATGAGACCATTGTTTCTTCCTAGGCCTCCCAGGCCTATGATGTGGGGGCTGCTGTGAAGGTCTCTGAAATGCCTTTAAGGCCTTTTGCACATTGTCTTGGCTATCAATACTTGGCTCCTTTTTTTTTTTTTTTCTTGAGATGGAATCTCACTCTGTGTCCTGGGCCGGAGTGCAGTGGCGCGATCTTGGCTCACTGCAACCTCCACCGCCCAGGTTCAAGTGATTCTCCTGCCTCAGCCTCCTGAGTAGCTGGGATTACAGTTGCCCACCACGACGCCCAGCTAATTTTTTGTATTTTTAGTAGAGACGGGATTTCATCATGTTGGCCAGGCTGGTCTTGAACTTCTCACCTTGTGATTTGCCTGCCTTGGCCTCCTAAAGTGCTGGGATTACAGGCGTGAGCCACCGCACCCAGCCAGTCTCCTTTTCAGTTATGCAAATCTCTCTAGCAAGCAGTTGCTACATAGTCTGCTTTAATTTCTCTTCTGAAAAAGCTTTTTGTCTTTTTTTTCTCTGCCGCATGGCCAGGCTACAAATTTTCTAAACTTTTAGGCTATACTTTCTGTTTAAATATAAATTCCAACTCTAAGTCATTTCTTTGCTCCTGCATCTAAGACTAGGCTGTTAGAAGCAGCCAGGCCACATATTAAATGCTTTTTTTGCTTAGAAATTTCTTCTGCTAGATACCCTAGATCATCACTCTGAAGTTTAAATTTCCACAGATCCCTAGGCATGGACACAGTGCAGCCAAGCTTTTGCTAAGGCATAACATGGATGATCTTTGCTCCAGTTCCCAATAATTTCCTCATTTTCATTTGAGACCTTAGTAGCCTGGACTTCACTGTCCATATCACTATCAGCATTTTGTTCACAACCATTTAACCAGTCTCTAAAAAATTTCAAACTTTCTCTCATCTTCCTGTCTTCTTTTGAGCCCTCCAGACTCTTCTAACCTCTGCCCATTTCCCAGTTTCAAAGTTGCTTCCACAGTTTCAGGTATTTTTATAGCAATACCACACTTCTCATAGCAATTTTTTTTTGTATTAGGCCATTTTTGCATTGCTCTAAAGAAATAGCTGAGACTGGGTAATTTATAAAGAAAGAGGTTTAATTGGCTCATGGTTCTGCAGGCTGTATAGGAAACGGTAATGGGATCTGCTCAGCTTCTGGGGAGGCTTCAGGGAGCTTTTACTTATAGCAGAAGGCAAAGGGGGAGCAGGCATCTCCCATGGTAGAGGAGGAACAAGACAGAGAGTGGTGGGGGAAGTGCCACATTCTTTTAAAGACCAGATCTTATAAGAGCTCACTCACCAACACAAGGACAGCACCAATGGTGCTGTCCAATAGGATGGTGCTAAACCATTTATGAGAAATCTTCCCCCATGATCCAATCACTTCCCCCTAGGCCCCACCTCTAACACTGAGGATTACATTTCAACATAAGATTTGGGTGGGGACAAATATCCAAACTATATTTAGCCCCCACACCTCAGTTTCCCCACCTGTAAAATGGATATAATAATGGCACCAGCTTCACAAGATGACTATGAGCATTTGTTGAACTAACAATTATAAATTTCTTAGAGTAGAGCCTGAGCCAGGGGAGCACCACCTAAACGTTTATTAGATTATATTCATTTATTATTCATTCATTCATTCATTCATTATTTATTAATAGTACCCCACTCTTTCACTCATTACTTTTTCAGTTATTCTTCATGCAATTATTATTGTTCATTTATTCCCTTGGCATTGAGTGCTTGCTGAAATCCAGGCCCTGTCTTCAATAATACAGCCACGAACAAGGAGGCCAGGCTCCTGCCCGGGAGCTTCAGCAAGGGACATTCACACACATGCAATTTGCACCACCCTGCAAAAAGCATCACTCCCACCTTTTTACATTTGAGGAGCTGGGGCTTTGTGGAGGTTGAGTAACTGGCCCGGGCCTCATAGCAAAAGGTGGCAGAGCCAGGGTCTGAGCCTTGAGGCATCCCACTTTGTTAGACGCCTAGGCCTCCTGGGTTCAACTGACATGTTCCCCTCAAGGGGCAGCCTGAGGGGGCCAGGTGCTCAGCCCACCTGCAGGCCCCAAGATTTCCAGTGTCTGCTCTGGGCTGCCTGGGGCAGATGGGAGCAACAGGAAGGAACAGTGGCTGCAGGGGGCCTGGAGTGACCCATGGAGCTGTGCTGAGGCTGCTGATTTCACAAGGCAGCTAGGAAAGTCAACCGCAGAACATGCTTCTGGAGCAGCCTGTTGGGCATTGATGATGGAAACACCCGGCAGTGCGAGATCCGCTGCCCTTTGGTATTCAGCACCCCCACTGCATTGCGGGAGCCAGCAGCCGTCAGGTTAACGTCAGGGACTGAATGTTTTCATACCCCCCAAACTCCTATGCTGAAACCTAATCCCCAACGTGATGTTATTCGGAGGTGGGGCCTTTAGGAGGTGATTAGGTCATTCGGCACAGCCGTCATGAATGGGATTAGTGCCCTTACAAAGAGGCCCCAGAGGCTGGGCATGGTGATTCATGCTTGTAAACCCACAACTTTGGGAGGCCAAGGTGGGAAGATCACTTCAGCCCGTGAGTTCAAGACCATCCTGGGCAACATGGTGAAAACCCATCTCTACAAAAAAAAAATTAGCCAGGCATGGTGGTGCACACCTGTAGTCCAGGTTACTCAGGAGGCTGAGGCAGGAGGATTCCTTGAGCTTGGGAGGTTGAGGCTGCAGTGAGCTGTGTTCGCACTACTGCACTCCAGCCTCTGCAATCAAGCAAGACCCTGTCTCAAAAAAAAAAAAAAAATGGCCCAGAGAGCTCCCTCTTTCCTTCTACTGTGTGAGGACAAAGTGAGGACATCTATGAACCAGGAAGGCCACCTTTCTCCCTGTACTAAGTTGAAAAGTACCCTCAAAAATTCTTGTCCATGGCTGGGCATGGTGGCTCACGCCTATAATCCCAGCACTTTGGGAGGCCAAGGTGGGCGGATCGCCTGAGGTCAGGAGTTTGAGACCAGCCTGGCCAACATGGTGAAACCCCATCTCTACTAAAAATATAAAAAAAAAATTAGCCAGACGTGGTGGTAGGCACCTGTAATCCCAGCTACCTGGGAGGCTAAGGCAGGAGAATCGCTTGAACCCTGGAGGCGGAGGTTGCAGTGAGCTGAGATTGTGTCACTGCACTCTAGCCTGGGCAACAAGAGCAAAACTCTGTCTCAAAAAAAAAAAAAAAGATTTTGAATAAAACTATACCGAATTCATGGATTAATCTGGGGAGAATTGACATCTTTAGGATATTCAGTCTTCTCAAGTATAAATATGGTATATTCCTCCACTTATTTAGAAAAAACTTTAAATACAATTTGCAGTGTTTCAGTGTTTTCACTGGGTTTATTCCCAGGTACCTTATAATATTGTAGCCATTATGAGTGGAATTTCCTTTTCTCTTTAATTTTACTTTCTAATTGGTGAGTGTTTATATAGAGAAACATTCCTGATTTTTGTGTAGTATTCTTGTATCCAACAATCTTGCTGACCTTTTATATGGTTTAATAGTTTGTAAATTATTTTTGGCTTTGAATAGCGACTTTTATTCTCCTTTTTTAGTCCTCTACAGTCACATGGCAGAGATTCTTAGTTGTCCCCTATTATCCATTCTCCCCTCCTCTACAGTAATAGTCTGATGTTTTCTGCCACTAAATATGTTCTTTTTTCCTCTGACACCAAATGTGTGATGTCTTTTCCAACAACAAATGTGTCGTTTCAACACCAACCAATTATCTCCTTCTCCAGCCCCAACTGAGTGTCTGTCTTGGGCCGGTTGGGCTGCTGTAACAAGACACCATAGACTTTGTGGCTTATAAACAACAGGAACTTATTTCTCACAGTTCTGGAAGCTGGGAAGTCCAAGATCAAGGCTCTGGCAGATTCAGTGTCTGGTAAGGGCCCGCTTCCTAGTTCATCTTCCTGCTGTGTCCTCACACGGTAGAAAGGATGCGGGGTCATTTAGGACTCTTTTGTAAGCACACTAACCCCATTCATGAGGGTTCTGCCCTTGACCTAATCACCTCCCAAAAGGCCCTCCTAATAGCATCACTTTGGGGCTTAGAATTTCAACATGTGATTTTGGGGGGACACAAACATTCAGTTCACTGCAATGTCCAGCAATTCAATTCAATTCTGACACTAACTACTACTTGGAGATAGAACAGATCCTACAAGTTAATGGCCTAGTCCCACAAGATTGCCCCCACCAGACACCAGCTGCAAATGGCCCCAGACTACCTGTACTTCTGCTTGTTGGCTACAAATTTGGTTCCCATGACTCCTACCCATGGTTGAATAATTCTCTAGAATGACTCAGGACTCAGAAGAAAGTGCTCTATTTATGATAACAGCTTTACTATAAAGGTACATTTCAAAAACAGACAAATGGAAGTCATGCATAGGGCAAGGTTTGGGAGGGAGAGGGGAGCAGAGCTGCCATGACCTTTCAGGGTTTGTCACGCTTCAGCACCTTGATGTATCAACCTCAAAGCTCCATGAGCCCTGCTATTCAAGAATTTTTATCAGGCTGGCTATGGTGGCTCATGCCTATAATCCTAGCAGTTTTGGGAGCCTAGGTGGGAGGATCCCTTGAGCCTAGGAGTTTGAGACCATCCTGGGCAAGATGACAAGACCCAACTCTACAAAAAAAAAAAAAAAAAAAAAAAAAAAAATTAGCCAGGATGATGGTGCACACCTGCAGTCCCAGCTACTTGGGAGACTGAAGCAGAAGAGGACTTGAGCCCAGGAGGTGAAGGCTGCAGTGAGCTATGATGTTGCCACTACACTCCAGCCTGAGTGATAAAATGAGACTGTCTCTACAGAAAAAAAAAGAGTTTTTATCAAAGTTCCATTTTTGCAGGCATAATTGATTAAATCATTGGTTATTGGTGAACATACTCAGTCTCCAGTCCCCTCTCCCTGCCACAGAGGTAGGGTTTGGGGCTGAAAAGTCCATCCCCCTAACCATGTACGTGGTCTCTCTGGTGACTAGCCCCCATCCTGAAGTCATTTGGGACCCCATCAGGAATTACCTCATTAGCATAAACTCAGGTGTGGTCAATGGGAGTCATTTGAATAAAAAAAGATACTCCTATCACTCAGGAAATTCTAACGGTTTCAGGAGCTCTGTGCCTGGAACTGTGCACAGAGACCAAATATATATTTTTTATTATGCCACAAATAGAAATTCCCATTTTTAGCTGGACATATGACTGCCTAGTTTAAAGACTATACTTTCCCACTTCCCTGTGGCTAAGATGACCACAGAAGTCATGTACTGTCAAGAGAGCGTGGGGGACTGTTGTGCGCAGCTTTCAGAATGTGTCCTTAACGGAAGTGTCAAGAGACTTTTGAACCAGAGTGACTCCATCTTGGATAGGGGCTGGGAAAATGAGTTTGAGGCCTGCTGGGCTGCATTCCCTGGAGGTTAGGCATTCTTAGTCACAGGATGAGATGAGACAGGAGGTTATAAGATGCAGTTCTCAAAGACCCAGCTGAGAAAACAGGATTCAGTAAAAGAGCTGGCCCAAACCTGCCAAATCCAAGATGGCAACCCAAGTGACCTCTCCTTGTCCTTACTGCTCATTATACCCTAATTATAATAGATTAGAATGCTAAAAGACACTCCTACCAGGGCCATGACAGTTTACAGATGCCATGGCAACATCCAGAAATTACCCTAAAAGTCTAAAAGGAAAAGAAACCTCCATTCTGAGAATTCCCCACACCTTTCCCGGAAAACTCATGAATAATCTATCCCTTGTTTAGCATATGATCAATAAATACCATAAAAACAGCCAACCAGCTGGGCGCGGTGGCTCATGCCTGTAATCCCAGCATTCTGGGAGGCTGAGGCAGGCGGATCACTCTAGGCTAGGAGTTCAAGACCAGCCTGGCCAACATGGTGAAACCCCGTCTCTACTAAAAATACAAAAATTAGCCGGGCGTGGTGGCCGGCGCCTGTAATCCCAGCAACTCGGGAGGCTGAGGCAGGGGAATTGCTTGAACCCGGGAGGCAGAGGTTGCAGTGAGCCATTGTGCCACTGCACTCCAGCCTGGGCGACAGAGAGAGACTCCATCTCAAAAAAACAAAACAAAACAAAAAAACAGCCAACCAGCAGCCCTGAGGGCTGGAGTAGCCTATGGAGTAGGCATTTTTCCATTCCTAATTTTTCTATTCTTAATAAACGTGCTTTCACTTTACTCTGTGAACTCATCCTGAATTCTTTCTTGCAGGAGGTCCGAGAACCCTCTCTTGGGGTCTGGATTAGGACCCATTTCCAGTAACAAAAGGGGCAGGTTCTTCCTCACTTTCTCCACTCCACTGCCAGGAATGGGGCATGGTGGCAGGCCATGGTGGACTATAGGATGAGGGCAGCACTCCATGATACATGGAGGCCTAGACGGACCATGATGGATGGTGGACCATAGGATGAGGGCAGGTCTGCACGATAGATCTATTGTATTGTTTTATGACACATACAGTCTAGGTCTCTGCATGATCTCATGAAGATCAAGTGCCAGCCCCGGGCCACCTCCAGATACTCATGTGAAAAAGAAATATCCATTTCAGTTTTTTTTTAAAATAGCTTTATTAAAAACTTTAATTGGATCACTTGAGGTCAGGAGTTTGAGACCAGCCTGGCCAATATGGCAAAACCCCATCTCTACTAAAAATATTCTTTAAAAAATATTAGCCAGGTATGGTGGCGTGCACCTATAGTCCCAGCTACTCGGAAGGCTGAGGCATGAGAATCGCTTGAACCCGGGAGGTGGAGAATGCAGTGTTAAATGTCTCCTGGGAAGCAAAATCGTTTCCCTCCCTCACTTTGTTTAAGTCACTATCAATTCTCAGTGGTGTCAATTAAATCAAGACAAATAAAAAAAATTTTTTTTTTTTTTGAGACTAAGTCTCTTTCTGTCACCCAGGCTGGAGTACAGTGGTGCGATCTTGGCTCACTGCAACCTCTGCTTCTGGAATTCAAATGATTCTCCTGCCTCAGCCTCCCGAGTAGCTGGGATTACAGGTGTGCGCCACCACGCCCAGCTAATTTTTGTATTTTTAGTAGAGACAGGGTTTCAGCATGTTGGTCAAGCTGGTCTTGAACTCCTGACCTCAAGGGATCTGCCCACCTTGGCCTCCCAAAGTGCTGGGATTACAGGCGTGAGCCACCACACCTGGCCCTTAAATGAAGCCAAATATTTATCCAAAGTAATTTTTGCTGTTATAATTGTTTCTTATGTCGGCCGAAAATTTCTGTAAAATATTAAATTAAAATGATGAAGCAGACATACTTATTTTGTTATTGTCTTTTTTTTTTTTTAAGAGATGGGGTCTCACTATGTTACCCAGGCTGGTCTCAAACTCCTGGTCTCAAGTGATCTTCCCACCTTGGCCTCTCAAAGTGCTGGGATTACAGGTGTGAGCCACCGCCTGGCCTCAACTCTAATCTTTATTTATTTTGAGACGAAGTCTCACTCTGTCACCCAGGCTAGAGTGCAATGGCACACCAGGGTTCAAGTGATTCTCTCGTCTCAGCCTCCTGAGTAGCTGAGATTACAGGCATGCATCACCATGCCTGGCTAATTTTTTATATTTTTAGTAGAGGGGGATTTCACCATGTTGGCCAGGCTGGTCTCGAACTCCTGACCTCAAGTGATCCACCCGCCTTGGTCTCCCAAAGTGCTGGGATTACAGGCGTGAGCCACTGCACCCAGCCTAAAGAAAATAATTCTAATGTCTTACCATTAAGTGTGATGCTTTAAAGAATGTGACAGAATTTAAAAAGTTTATTGATTTGTTTCAAATTCTACATTGAAACTAACTTTTAAAATATATAATAGTGGTACACATGTGGGGGGTACATTATGATGCTTTTTTTTTTGGTAGGGTTTTGGTAGATGTTTCATATTGGTTTAAGAACGTTTCTATCTATTCTTGTTTGCTGAGAATTTTTAAAAATCACAATTGGGTATTACATTTTATTAAACACCCTTTTTGCATCTAATAGGATGAGCATATGGACTTTCTCCTTTAATGTTTCAATGTGGTGGATTTCTTTAGCAGATATTTTAGTGTTCGACTGTCTTTAAATTCCTGAGTTAAAGTCTTCATGTTCATAATGAAGTGTTTATGTCCAGATTGCCTGATTTGCTTTGCTAATTTTGATTTGAGATTTGTGTGTCTGTGTTCATATTTTTCTTGCAGGCATCATTCTTGCCTGCTTCTGGCATTAATTTATGTCACCCTTTTAAAAGCAGTTAGGGAGCCCCTCCTGCCCCTATCCCAAGAAACTTCTATGGAACAATTTGTATGTGATAGGAGTTATTTGCTCCTTAAAGATTGGGTAAGACTCATCTGTAATGCTGTCTGACTTGGTACTTTTGTTGCAAATGGGTTTGTGACTACTGATTTAATGTTTGAATGCTTACAGATTTTCTGCTACTTTTTTAAGATAGTGTTGATAATTTCTACTTTTCTATGCATTTTTCTATTTCATCTGTTTTAAAATTTTTTGCCACAAATTTTTTTAATAGTCCTGTTTTTGTTTTTCTAAAGAATTCTGCTGTATATTCCTTCCTTTGTATTCATGATATTTATATGTGATTTCCCTTTTTTCATAATCTTTATTTCCAAAAGTTCTTCTACTTTGTCTTCTTGAAGAATTAACTTTACATTTGTTAATTCTATCTTTTGTACATTTTCTGTTTCATACATTTTTGTCTTTATCTTTATTATTTTTTTTTCCTTCCATTCTTTTTTTATTTTGGGGGTATTTTTTCTCATTTTTTTGTGTTGAATGCTTGCCTTATTAATTTTCACTATTACTTGCTACTGAATGTTTTTTGTTTGTTTGTTTGTTTGTTTTTTGAGATAGAGTCTTGTTCTGTCGCTCAGGCTGGAGTGCAGTGGCATGATCTCAGCTCACTGCAACCTTCAGCTCCTAGGTTCCAGTGATTCTCCTGTCTCAGCCTCCTGAGTAGCTGGGATTGCAGGCACCCGCCACCACGCCCAGCTAATTTTTGTATTTTTAGTAGAGATGGGGTTTCACCATGTTGGCCAGACTCATCTCAAACTCCTGACCTCAGGTGATCTGCCTGCTTCAGCCTTCCAAAGTGCTGGGATTACAGGAGCGAGCCACCACGCCCGGCCTGTAATGAGTGTTTTAAATTATTCTTTTTCGCAATTTCTAAAAAATGGAGACAGGGTCTCGCTGTGTTGCCCAGGCTTGTCTGAAACTCCTGGCCTCAAGTGATCCTCCTGCCTTGGCCTCCCAAAGCAACTGTGTCCAGCCTCATTATTCTTATCGCCTTTAGCTGTATCCCACGCGAGGGTACGCCATTCTTTCACTGCCATTTACTTCTAAATGTTTGATACTTGTATTATGATTTATCTTTTGGATTATTTAGAAGTATGCTTTTTAGCTTCCAAGTATTTGAGATTTCTCATTTTATTATTTAGCATCAGAAGAGGCAGTCTGTATATCAGTTCTCTGGTGTTTATTGAAATTTCTTTTGTAGCCTAATATCTAATTGTTTTCAGTGTCAGGCGTGTGTTTGAAAAGAATATTTAGTTCCGAAGGGTGCAGCAGTTCATGCCTATAATCTCAACACTGGGAGGCCGAGGCTGGAGGACTGCTTGAGCCCAGGAGTTTGAGACCAGCCTGGGCAACATAGCAAAACTTTGTCTCTATAAAATAAAATAAAACAGCCGGGTGTGGTAGCACATGCCTATGGTTCCAGCTACTCAGGAGGCTGAGTGGGGAGAATTGCTCGAGTCCAGGAGGTCGAGGCTGCAGTAAGCCATGATTGAGCCACTGCATTCCACCCTGGGTGACAGAGCAAGGCCCTGCTTAAAGAAAAAAAAAAAAAGAATATTTAGTTTCTATGTATGTCTAAATCAAGCTTGTTAGTTGTGTGGTTTAAATCTTCTATATTCCTACTAATTTAAGCTACAGTTTTGTAACAAAGATGTTAAAATTTTCCACTATAATTGCAAGGTGGTTTCTCCTTCAGTTTTGTTTCTATAGTTGAGACCAAATGGTTAGATGCGCAGAGGCTCAGGATTAGTACAGTTCTTGAAGAATTATTTATTTTATAATTGACTAGCAACTTGCTTTTTATCTTAATGACTCATTTGTCTGGTATTAATATTGCTATACCAGCTTTCTGTTGTATACATATTTCTTTCAACTTTTATTTTTAATCTTTCTGTGTTGTTCGGGTTTAGTTGTATCTTTAAACTTTTGATGGCCAGGTGTGGTGGCTCATACCCGTAATCCCAGCACTCTGGGAGGCCAAGGCAGGTGGATCACGAGGTCAGGAGTTCAAGACAAGCCTGGCCAACATGGTGAAACCCTGTCTCTACTAAAAATACGAAAATTAGCCGGGCATGGTGACACGCTCCTGTAGTCCCAGCTCCTCGGGAAGCTGAGGCAGGAGAATTGCTTGAACCCAGGAGGCAGAGGTTGCAGCGAGCCAAGATCGCACCATTGCACTTGAGCCTGGGTGACAAAATGAGACTCTGTTTCAAAAAAAAACAAAAAACAAAAAAACTTTTGGATAGATGGATTTTTTTTTCATTCTAGGAGTCTCAGTCAATTAATAGGCAAGTTTAATACATTTACTATTATTGTAATTACTCATATATTTGGACTTACTTCTGTTAACTTACCTATCAGTCTTTTCTCTAATTTTGTCCTCCCATCTTGCACGTTATTATTGGCTAGCTTTTTTTCTTTTCTTTTTTTTCAAGACAGAGTTTCACTTTGTCACCCAAGCTGGAGTCCAGTGGTGCGATCTCGGCTCACTGCATCCTCAACTTCCCAGGCTCCAGTGATCTTCCCACCTCAGTCCCCCAAGTAGCTGAGATTACAGGCATGTGCCACCACACATGGCTAATTTTAATATGTTTAATAGAGACAAGACCTTGCCATGTTGCCCAGGCTGGTCTTGAACTCCTGGACTCAAGTGATTTGCCCATTATTGGCTAATATTTTATTTTTACTTTTTTTCTTCCAGTTTTGTAGTCAATTATCACATTTTATTCGTCCCCTGAATCTTGATGTTGTAATGAGGCTATACTGCCCCCATGTGGTACGGACTGCCCAGGAACTTTATTCTGAACTAGTAGTCTGCAAACTTGCTGTAAAGGGCCAGTTAGTAAATATTTTAGACTTTGAGGGTCTATAGTCTTTTTTCTTTTTCTTTTCTTCTTTTTTCTTTTTGTAGAGATGAACCCTCACTATGTTGCCTAGGCTGGTTTCAAACTCCTGAGTTCAAGTGATCCTCCTGCCTCAGCCTCCCAAAGTGCTTGGATTACAGGCATAAGCCACCATACCCGGCCAATTTCACTTTGTTTTTAATCTTCTGGGCTAATTGTCATGATCATTATTAATATTAGTATTATTTATAGCAATGCTTGTTAGGTTAACTATCATTTAAATTCTCCTGGATTTAATTTCCACTCCAAGGGAAGCAAACTTCTTAATAGTTCATTCAGTGAGGATCCATGAATGGTAAATTCTCTGCCTTTGTCTGAAAATGTCTCCATTTTAGCCCTCCCTTTTGGATGATAGTTTAGCTGGGCATATAATTCTAGGTTAACAGATACACTTCTTCAGTGCTTTGAAGATATTAAAGGCTTGTCTTCTGGCATCCATGGACAATGCTGAGAATTCTATTAATCAAAGTGTTATTTCTTTTTAGGCAAGTAGTTTTATCTCTTTGGTTTCTTTTTTTGTTTGTTTGTTTTGTTTTGTTTTTTCATTTGTTTATTTTTGAGATGGAGTCTTGCCTTCTCGCCCAGGCTAGAGTGCAGTGGTGTGATCTCAGCTCACTGCAACCTCCGCCTCCCACGTTCAAGCGATTCTCCTGCTTCAGCCTCCCGAGTAGCTGGGATTACAGGCACACGCCACCACACCCGGCTAATTTTTGTATTTTTAGTAGAGACAGTGTTTCACTATGTTGGCCAGGCTGGTCTTGAACTCCTGACCTCAGGTGATCTGCCAGCCTCAGCCTCCCAAAGTGCTGCGATTACAGGCGTGAACCACCACACCCAGCTGGTTTCTTCTAAGATCTCTATGTCTTTGATGTTCTCTAGTTTCTCCACAGTGTATCCAGATGTGTATTTACTTTTTATTTACCCTGTTTGGATAATGTGATACTTTGATGACTTGTTCCTTCAGTTATGGAAAAATCCTGTCATTTTGCATTTTGAATTTGCCTCTCCCCACCTCACGTTGTCTTTAATCTCTTCTAAATCTATAAAACACATGCTCAACCTACTCATTCTGTCTTCCACATTTCCTTATTGTGCTTTCATATTTTCATACTTTTCATCTCTTTATATCTCTGTGCTACATTTTAGATGATTTCCTTTTATTTATCTTCTATTTCTGTAATTCTCTCTTCGATGTGCTCTTCTCTGCTATTTATCTCAGAAATTTAATTTATAATTTCAATGAAAATATTTTTTACATCTAGATCTATTTGATTAGTTTCCAGGTCTGCTTACTCTATTTTCAAAATGTTTTTTCTTTATGATTTTGATTCCTTCTTTTTCTTCTCATGTCATTTTAAACACATTTCAAAGGCATGTCTGCCTTGTCACATGTGGAAAGAAAAAATATTCAGTTATTGGTGCGCCAATTCCCCTTTTGTTATGTTTGTTTATTTATGTATGTATTTATTTATTGAGTCAGGGTCTCACTCTGTCACCAAGGCTGGAGTATAGTGGTATAATCATAGCTCACTGCAGCCCCAAACCCCTGGGCTCAAGTGATCCTCCTACCTCAGCCTCCTGAATAGCTGAGACTACAGACACACACCACCATGTCAGACTAATTTTTTTTTTTTTTTTGTAGGGACAAGGTCTTGCTATGTTGCCCAAGCTGGTCTCAAACTCCTGATCTCAGACAATCCTCCTGCCTTGGCTTCCCAAAGTGCAGGGATTACAGGTGTGAGCCATCAGGCTCAGCCTCCTTTTGTTAGTTCTAATGTCTCTCTTTCAAGGTGGTTTGTTTATTATATGCTTTGTCTATTTTTGGAGGGGGCTTATATTGAAAGCATTTGCCCCCACTCCTGTGGAAGTTCAGTGTTCTCTAGTTTGTGTAACTGTCCCTGAAGGGCACTTTCATCTTTGCTTCTGCCAAGGCTCACGTATGTCAACGGTTCTGGACCAGTTTTGATATTATTTTCTTGACTCAGACCTCCTGAGCTCTCACATAGTATAAAATCACACTCTGCCCCAATTTTTGGCACAGGATTTGGGTTTTGATATCTGACAACTGGCTTCTTTTTTGCTATCCAAAGCCCCAAGTCCCCGGTCCAAAAGGCGAAGTTTTTCTACTCCCCTTTTCACCATCTTAAGGGCAGCAATCTACAGCTCCAGGCTTTGAACTGGGGCTCCATTCCCACCACATTACCTCAAGTAAGCTCCAAATGTTACCTCCTGTTCCCACCGTGGAACCTCAGTCCCACCCGAAACCTTGAGGATTGCCAGTCTCTGCTGTCCTGCTGTGACCTGGAACTCTACTTCCCATCCTGAGGATTTATCTTTCCTTCTTTTGAGTATTTGTTTTGAGTAGTTGTTTTTTTGTTGTTGTTCTTTCCTCTTTGTGTTTGAAGAAGGAGAAAAGCCCAGGTCCACTTGGTCTGCGTGGTGATTGGAAGCTCTTCTTCCCCTCCAGTCACCTGGGTTCACCTGGTTCTGTTTGTCTGTGTGGTTTTTTTGTTTTGTTTTGTTTTTGTTTTGAGATGGAGACTCACTCTCAGGCTGGAATGCAGTGGCACAATCTCAGCTCACTGCAACTTCTGCCTCCCAGGTTCAAGCAATTCTCCTGTCTCAGCCTTCTGAGTATCTGGGATTACAGGCACGCGCCACCACGCCCAGCTATTTTTTGTATTTTTAGTAAAGACGGGGTTTCACCATGTTGGCCAGGCTGGTCTCAAACTCCTGACCTCAAGTGATCCACCCACCTCAGCCTCCCAAAGTGCTGGGATTACAGGTGTGAGCCACCGTGCCTGGCCTGTTTGTTTGTGTTTTTTGAGACAGGATCTATCTCTGTTGCCCAGGCTAGAGTGCAGTGGCGCCATCTCAGCTCACTGCAGCTTTAATCTCCCAGGCTCAAGCGATCCTCTTGCCTCAGCCCCCTGAGTAGCTGGGACCACAGGCATGTGCCACCACACCCGGCTTAATTTCATTTTATTTGTTGTAGAGACAAAAGTCTTACTATGTTGCCCAGCCTGGTCTTGAACTCCTGGCCTCAAGCTATCTTCCCACCTGGGCCTCACATAAGTGCTGGGATTACAGCGTGAGCCACTGTGCCTGGTCTTACTTGGTGGAACAAAAACACAAACATCATTCGAAGAGCCCTTATAGAGAGGAGACCAGAGGGAAGGGCAAGGCCAGAAAGAGAGAGGGAGACTGAACAATGATGAAAGAATGGGGCTGCGGGGCCTCAGGGGCAGTTTCTACAGGGATGAATTTGGAGAGACCAGCTTTGGGATCAGAGAAGGGCTTACTTACATTAACAGCCCAGGGGATGGGAGAGTGTGTGATCTGAGAGGCAGCTTTGAAGAGTAGACGCTGTGTGCCTATCTCTAGTTACCTCTCTCTCTCTTTTTTTTTTTTTTTTTTTTTGAGATGGAGTCTCGCTCTGTCACCCAGGCTGGAGTGCAGTGGCACAATCTCAGCTTACTGCAACCTCCACCTCCTGGGTTCAAGGGATTCTCCTGCCTCAGTCTCCTAGGCAGCTGGGATTACAGGTGCACGCCACCATGCCCCACTGATTTTTGTATTTTTAGTACAGACGGGGTTTCACCGTGTTGGCCAGGCTGGTCTCGAACTCCTGACCTCAAGTGATCTGCCTGCCTTGGCCTCCCAAAGTGTTGGGATTACGGGCATGAGCCACCACGCACGGCTATCTCTTTTCAGCTGTCACATGACCTCATGGGAATCACAACTGTGGTTGCCATAGGTCAGCACCTGGGAGTCACCTGCCCCCGGCAGGGGTCCGGCCTGCAGGCCATGTGGGCCCCCACGGGCAGTGCACTGAGCCCCACAGCTCTAGATGTCAGGACAGAAAGAGGACGCTGGAGGGGGAGCTTCGCAGAGAGCCACTGGCAGTTGGGAGAAGCCATCAATCTCTGGTAAAATGGAAGCCTGCCTGCTTCCGGTCGCCAATCAACCAGAGGAGACAGAAGAGGCGGCTGTCACCAAGCTGCCACCGCTCCGGAATCACGGCTGAGTAATTGCTCGGTGCTTCAAGTCCTGGACTGGGGGCTCTCCAAGCAATATTTCATGTGTGAGATATTGAGCCCTCATCGAGAAGAAGAAATATGGTTGTTAAACAGGCAGCTAATGGTGCACCATCTATCTGATGGCAAGTCGGGGAGGCTCATTAAGCTGGCCAGCTCAGCCTCTGAAGGGGAATGCAAAATTAGCCAGAGGAGGGAATAAGTTAGGAAATCAAAGGGGAAGGGCCAGGCGCAGTGGCTCACGCCTGTAATCCCAGCACTTTGGGAGGCTGAGGCGGGCGGATCACTTGAGGTCAGGAATTCGAGACCAGCCTGGCCAACATGGTGAAACTCTGTCTCTACTAAAGGTACAAAAATTAGCCTGGAGTGGGAGCGTGTGCCTGTAATCCCAGCTACTGGGGAGGCTGAGGCAGGAGAATTGCTTGAATCTGGGAAGCGATTGCAGATCGCTGGTTGCAGTGAGCTCATACGCACCAATGTACTCCAGCTTGGACAACAGAGCAAGACTCCATCTCAAAAAAAATAAAAATAAAAAAATATATAAATAAGCAAACAAATAAATAAATAAAGGGGAAGGGGCAGAGAATGCTGATCGTACAAATTGGTGTGGTTCCAAAACACTGAAGGGAAGGAATTGCAAGTTTGCTTTCTTCCCTGCTCCTCAGAGGGAGTATTTTGACTCTGCAGCACGGACTTCTGAGAGGAATCTCCAGTAAGTGCATCTGAGACCCCTCCACAAATTTAGCAACTTCCATTGTTAAATTCTCGCCTTACAACCATCCCCGAACCCAGAAAGCTACTCTGCAAAAACCTGCACAATCAACCCAGCCTCTGGATAATCAGAAAATCAAGAACAACCTCACCTTCATCAGGGAAAAGCTAGGAAACTACCTGCCCTGGGAAATCTATATGTAAATTCAGATTTGCAGCCTTCCCTAGCACGGTGGCGTTTCTGATCTCCAGCCAGACGCCAAGCTAAGATGACACAGAGCCAGCAGCAGATTGCAGTTCAGAGCTGAGGGGTTTCTGTTGGGGTCGGGTGAGGGGAAGGGGTGTCCAGGCTGCTTCTGAAAGTCATAGAAAGTCAAATGGTCTCTACATTGTCCTAGGGAGCCCAAACCTACAGCTCATATTCTAGTTCTTAAAATTGTAATTTGCAGTTGAAAAAAAAATAAAAGGAGGCTGCTGGTGGGGGAAATCGATCATTTTGAAATATTATAAAGCAAACTTTCTCTTTTTTTATTTCACACAGGGTCATGCTCTGTCGCCCAGGCTGGAGTGCAGTGGTGCGATCACGGCTCACTGCAGCCTCAACCTCCCTGGCTCAAGTGATGCTCCCACCTCAGCCTTCCGAGTAGCTGGGACCACAGGTGCACACCACCACACCCAGCTAATATTTTTTACTTTTTTGTAGAGATGGGGCCTCACCATGTTTCCCAGGCTGGTCTCAAATTCCTGGGCTCAAGGGATCCTCCCACCTCGGCCTCCCAAAGTGCTGGGATTATCAGGCAAGAGCCACCACGCCCAGCCAAAGCAACCTTTTTTTTTTTTTTTTGAGACAGAGTCTCGCCCTGTCCCCCAGGCTGGAGTGCACTGGCGCGATCTCGGCTCACTGCAAGCTCCACCTCCTGGGTTCACGCCATTCTCCTGCCTCAGCCTCCTGAGTAGCTGGAACAACAGGCGCCCGCCACCACACCTGGCTAATTTTTTGTATTTTTAGTAGAGACGGGGTTTCACCGTGTTAGCCAGGATGGTCTCGATCTCCTGACCTCGTGATCCTCCTGCCTGGGCCTCCCAAAGTGCTGGGATTACAGGCGAGAGCCACTGCATCCAGCCCTTTTTTTTTTTTTTTTTTTGAGACAGCGTCATGCTCTGTCGCCCAGGCTGGAGTGCAGTGGCACAATCATGGCTCACTGCAACCTCCGCCTCCCGGGTCAAGCAAATCTCCTGCCTCAGCCTACCAAGTAGCTGGGATTACAGGCATGCACCACCATGCCAGGCTAATTTTTGTATTATTAGTAGAGATGGGGTTTCACCATGTTGGCCAGGCTGGTCTCGAACTCCTGACCTCAGGTGATCTGCCCGCCTCAGCCTCCCAAAGTGCTGGGATTACAGGCGTGGGCCACCACAGTTGGCCTTATGGTACTTTAAGGTAGCCTGTCAAACTGAAATAACCAAAAGGATCAAAATCCAGTTTAAAAGAGTTGATTTAAGCGAAAAGCTGAGAATAGCCGTTCAGGTACACAGACTCCACAGGAATAGGGTCAGTGCTCTGAAGTTAAAAGTTAAGGTCTTAGCTGGGCACAGTGGCTCACGACTGTAATCCCAGCACTTTGGGAGGCCCTGGCAGATGGATCCTTTGAGCCCAGGAGTTTGAGACCAGCCTGGGCAAGATGATGGGATCCCCATCTCTAAAAAAAAGTTAAAAAATTAGCCGGGTGTGGTGGTGCACACCTGTGGTCCCAGCTAGTAGGGAGGCTGAGGTGAGAGATCACTTAAGGCCAGGCAGTCAAGGCTGCAGTGAGCTGTGATTGTGCCACTGCACTCCAGCCTGGGCAACAGAGCAAGACTCTGTCTCAAAAAAAAAAAAAAAAGTTAAAGTCTTGCTTGTATAGTCAGAAAACAAAGAAATTTAGTAGGAATATAGCACTTTGTATAGTCTAGTTTATGAGTTACGATTTATTTTTATTTTATTTATTTATTTATTTATTTATTTATTTTTGAGATGGAGTTTCGCTCTTGTTGCCCAAGCTGGAGTGCAATGGTACGATCTCAACTCACTGCAACCTCCACCTCCTGGGTTCAAGTAATTCTCCTGCCTCAGCCTCCTGAGTAGCTGGGACTACAGGCGCCCACCACCACACCCGGCTAATTCTTTGTATTTTTAGTAGAGACGGGGTTTCACCATGTTAGCCAGGACGGTCTTGAACTCCTGACCTCGTGATCCGCCCACCTCGGCCTCCCAAAGTGCTGGGATTACAGGTGTGAGCCACCGCACCTGGCTTAGTTACAACAATTTAATCAGTCACAATGTATTTTCTGTACAACTTGTTTTTATTTCCTTTCCAATTTAAGAGTCTATTTAATGTTCTTAGACAATGTGATAGTCATGAAGTCTTTGCATAAGAAAGGAAAGGGGGAAGTTAATCTATGATGAAGACCAACAGTGAAGAGGGAAGGGGTCTTCCCTGCCACACTTTAGTCACAACATTTTCAAAACAATGTAGGTGAGGAAAAATGCTCATCTATAATCAGAGAAACAAAGGTTATAGCTGCCTGTTTATGTGACTCATGTCCTATAATCACAATCCCTTAGGGCTCAAAATATTTTAAAATTTCAACAGCTTAGATTTTTTTTTTCCTCGCTCTGTCACCCAGGCTGGAGTACAGTGGTGCAATCTCAACTCACTGCAGCCTCTGTCTCCTGGGTTCAAGCAATTCTTCTGCCTCAGCCTCCCTAGTAGCTGGGATTACAGGTGCCCGCCACCACACCCAGCTAATTTTTGCATTTTTAATAGAGACAGGGTTTCACCTCTTACTTGTTGACTCCATACGTGGGTGGCAAGAGAGAGTGAGCTGGTGCCATATGTTGCTATTGCAATTTCAGTGAAAATGTATTACTATTGGCTGGGCTCAGTGGCTCACACCAGTAACCTCAGCACTTCGGGAGGCTGAGGCAGGCGGATCACTTGAGGCCAGGAGTTTGAGACCAGCTTGGCCAACATGGCGAAACCCTGTCTCTACTAAAAATATAAAAATCAGCTGGGCGTGTTGGCGGGCGCCTGTAAGCCCAGCTACTAGGGAGGCTGAGGCGGGAGAATTGCTTGAACCTGGGAGACAGAGGCTGCGGTGAGTTGAGATTGTACCACTGTACTCCAGCCTAGGCAACAAAGAGCAAAACTCCATCTCAAAAACAAAAAATTAGCTGGGCGTGGTGGCACGCACCTGTAGTCCCAGCTACTTGGGAGGTTGAGGCATGGGAATTGCTTGAACCGAGGAAGCAGAGGTTGCAGTGAGCCGAGATTGCACCTCTGCACTCCGGCCTGGGTGTCAGAGTGAGACCCGGTCTCAAAAAAGAAAGAAAGAGGAGCGGGGAGGGGAGAGAGGGGAGGGTTAAAATTAAGTAAAACTAAAAATTCAGTTGCTTAGTTGCACTAGCCACATTTTAAGTGCTCGGCGGTCACGTGCAGCTAGTGGCTACATATTAGACACACACACACACACACACACACACAAAGAGAGAGACAGCCAAGTGAAAGGCCTTTCATAAAGTAGACTCGAAGTCACACAGCATCATTTCAACCTCATTCGGTTCGTCAGACAGTCACCAGCCCAACCAGGTTGAAGGGGAGGGGAAATAGACACCAGCTCCTGAAGGAAAAGCATGCAGACATGGAAATATTGCTGGGGCCATTTTTGGAAACCAGCCACCCCTCCTCTGTGCATCTCCCGACCCTACACCCCACTCTCTTGCACCCATATTCCTGGCCTGGGATGAATCCTCAGCTGAACACGTTACAGGGGCCAGCACTTGGCAGCTTGCCTGGAAAGGGCCTGCCGTCAGTGGGGTGCTGGGCACCAGGGCTGAGGACCGTTGTATTGTATGATTCACTCACTAGGTTTACTGTCTATTTTCTCCCACTAGGATGTCGGCTTCTCAAAAGAGATTATTAATCTCTTTGGTCACTGCTCTGTCTCCAGGGCCTCGAATAGGGCGAGATACATCGTAAGCATTTGATAAATATTTGCCGAATGAATGAATGAACCCAAGTCAGGCGTCCCCCACCTGGGAGGTCTCCGGGAGAGTGATGGCATGGTGACTCATTACGTTCCCGTCTTTGTTCTTCCGCAGCCAACCAGGCCAGGGCACAGTTTGGGATAGGATAAAGCCTAAGCTCCTTGTGTAACTGAACTATGGACCCTGGGGGTGGCGAGAATGCTGCTGCGGGTGGAGGGTCAGCCTGGGTGCAATTCTGGAAGCAAAGGACATACAGTGTGGGTGGTCTCCTTAGTAATGGGATCTGCTCCCCAGGAAGCACCGAGGCCAGGGCTGCCCCAGGGTTCTGTGCCAGCCTCAGGGAACAGCCTGAGGCCAAACCCAGTGTGCCGATGAGGGTGGGGGGCACTGCTCCTTCTAATAATGTCAGGCAGGGATCCATCTGAGCAATACTTCACACCCCTTCTGCCATCACTGATCTAGCCCATCTCTGATAACTGATACTGGGTTTTGGAGGGGGTGGGGTGTGGACGGCGGTCACCCCCAAAAGACCTATAAAGATCCTCATCACTGCATCGTAAGGGAGGCAATATGGAGGAAACCCCGCCCCGCAGGTCCAGAGCCCTGTTCCCCTCTCCTTCTCCCGGGGTTCGGTCTACACTTGTAGGACATGCTCCTTGGGATCGCTGTGGCCCATGGATAGAGGGTTAGGTTTCTTGTTGGGGAGGGTTCTTGTGTTTTTTTGTTTTGCTTTGTTTTGTTTGAGACAGGATCTCGCTGCATTGGCCAGCCTGGAATGCAGTGGCAGGACCATGGCTCACTGCAGCCTCTACCTCCCAGGCTCAAAATATCCTCCCGCTTCAGCCTCCCAAGTAGCCAGGACCACAGGTGCATGCCACCATGCCTGGCCAAATCTTATATTTTCTGTAGAGATGGGGGTCTCAGGGTTTTGCTATGTTGCCCAGGCTGGTCTCAAACTCCTGGACTCAAGGGATCTTCCCATCTCTGCCTCCCAAAGCGCTGGGATTACAGGCATGAGCCACCATGCCTGCCCTTGTTTTATCTTGTTTTGTTTTGTTGGGTATATTTTTTCCTTTCCAACATTTATTTTAGGGTCAGGAGGTACATGTGCAGTTTACTTCCATGAGTAAATTGCATGTCTCTGGGGTACGGATAGGTCGTTTGTCTGTCTTTCTTTCTTTCTTTTCTTTCTTTTCTTTCTTTTCTTTCTTTTCTTTCTTTCTTTCTTTCTTTCTTTCTTTCTTTCTTTCTTTCTTTCTTTCTTTCTGATGGAATCTCACTCTATTCCCCCAGCTGGAGTGCAATGGCACGATCTCAGCTCACTACAGTCTCCACCTCCCTGGTTCAAGTGATTCTCCTGCCTCAGCCTCCCGAGTAGCTGGGACTACAGGTGCATGCCACCATGCCCGGCTAATTTTTGTATTTTTAGTAGAGACGGGGTTTCACTATGTTGGCCAGGCTGGTCTCGAACTCCTGACCTCGTGATCCACCTGCCTCGGCCTCCCAAGTGCTGGGATTACAGGCATGAGCCACTGTGCCCAGCCGATAGGTCATTTTTCAATCCTCGCCGTCTTCCCACCCGCCACCCTCAAATAGACCCTGGTGTCTGTTGGTCTCTTCTTTGTGTCCAGGTGTACTCAATGTTTAGCTCCCACTTATAAGTGAGAACATGGTTTTCTGTTCCTGCATTCGTTCACTTAGGATTCAGTGCTTTTTTTTTTTTTTTTTTTTGAGACGGAGTCTCACTCTGTCTCCCAGGCTGGAGTGCAGTGGTGAGATCTCAGCTCACTGCAAGCTCTGCCTCCCGGGTTCACGCCATTCTCCTGCCTCAGCCTCCCGAGTAGCTGCGACTACAGGTGCCTGCCACAACGCCCGCCATCGCACCCAGCTAACTTTTTGTATTTTTAGTAGACACGGGGTTTCACCGTGTTAGCCAGGATGGTCTCGATCTCCTGACCTTGTGATCCGCCCACCTCGGCTTCCCAAAGTGCTGGGATTACAGGTGTGAGCCACCTCGCCCAGCTGGATTAAGTGCTTTTTAACTTTATTATTTATTTATTTATTTATTTACTTACTTATTATTATTATTATTTTGAGACAGATCTCACTCTGTCACCCAGGTTGGGAGTGCAGTGGCCCAATCTTGGCTCACTGCAATCTTTGCCTCCCAGGTTCAAGCAATTCTCCTGCCTCAGCCTCCCAAGTAGCTGGGATTACAGGTGCCCTCCACCATACCCAGCTAATTTTTTTTGTATTTTTACTAGAGACGGGGTTTCACCATGTTGGCCAGGCTGGTTTCGAACTCCTGACCTCAAGTGATCCTCCCACCTCGGCCTCCCAAAGTGCTAGGATTGTAGGTGTGAGCCACTGCACCTGGCCTAGATTAAGTATTTTTAAATTTGCAGATTATATAACAGATTATATAACTGCCTGGCCTTGGGCAGGTCACGAAACCTCAGTGTCCATCTACCTCCCCATCTGTGAAGCAGAGATCATGACAGCATCTGTGGTGAATTCTGGAAACTCTATGGTCAGAGGGTACAGGTTCCACAAGGCAGCCCCCACTTCAGACCCCAGCCACAACAATGAGGGTCCCAGGACCACCCTCACTTTAGACCAGCTTGCTATGAATTTGGGGGCCCGCACAACCACCGTCTCATTTGATAATTTTCTAGAATGACCTACAGAACTCAGGAGAGTGCTATACTTAACAATTATAGTTACCGCAAAAGGTTACAAATTAATGGCCTGGCGCAATAGCTCACACCTGTAATCCCAGCACTTTGGGAGGCTGAGGCAGCCGGATCACAAGGTCAGGAGTTCAAGACCAGTCTGGCCAACATGGTGAAACCCCACCTCTCCTAAAAATACAAAAATTAGCCAGGCACGGTGGCGCACGCCTATAATCCCAGCTATTGAGGAGGCTGAGGCAGGAGAATTGCTTGAACCCAGGAGGTGGAGGTTGCAATGAGCCGAGATCAAACTACTGCACTCCAGCCCAGGTGATAGAGCAAGACTCTGTCTCAGAATATATAAATAAATAAATAAATAAATAAATAAGTTACAAATTAGGACCAGCCATGGGACAAGATGCACAGGCCAAAGTCTGATGGGATCTAAACGCGGAGCCTCTGGCCATCTTCTCCCCAGGGAACCCTGGGCGGTCTTCCCACCTCCTGGCCCTAATGCCTGACAACATTCAAGAGTGCTTCCTGCCAGGGAAGCTCACCTGAGGCTTTGGGGTCCAGAGCTTTTCCTGGGGCTCCATCACACGCTAACCATGTGACTCACCTATCCTCTTCAGTCCCTCTGGAGGTCGGCACTGATACGGGATGTCCTGAGGCCCCCATCATAAACCGCATTGCTGGACCCTCCAGGGGCCAAAGCCCTTGGGCAACAAAGACACTCCTGTCAGGAGGGACATGGTGTGGCCTAGAGATCACCCTCCTCCGCGGTAACCAGGTCAGAGGCCAGGCATTCTTTGGGTCAGTTACCTCTCCTGCACGCAGTGTCTAGCTCCTAGGGCTGTGAGGGTTCTGCGAGCTAATCCCTCAAAGTGTTTGTTGCAGTGAATGCTTGATACATGTGAGTTGCCATCATATCACAGCACTGTATTTAGAAAGGGCACTGTCTCAGGCTGTTAGAGCAGGGCTGAGTTTTGGCTGGAGAGATGATGCTATAGATACCAGGGACCCTGCCCTGTCAGGTGCAGGATTTACAGCAGGATGAAGGAGAACCGCCCCGGTCTCTTGAGCCCCCTCACCCTCTCCCAGAACCCTAGAAGGGAGAGTTTCCAAGAGCACAGCGTTCCCAGCCAGTGGACCCTCAGAAAATAGAAGTTGACCGAGAGTCTAAGATGGGCTTGAGCAAGGCAGTTTATCAGGGCTTTCAGCTGGAGCAGCAAGGGGGACAGTACAGGAAGAGACCTGCAGCTGGCTCCCCAAAGCTGGTCGGACTGTTGATTTATTTTCCTTCCGGCCTCCTCCAGATGACATCATTGCATGTTTAGGGTGGTCTGTCCATCATGACTGCACAGTCTCTGTCACGCTTCTTCACGCGACGCATGTCTCATTAGCATCTCAACTTTCCATCCGGGGTATGATGTTTACCATTAAAATGAAGCAAAGGTACAGTTAGGGCGGGCTAGGACCTTGCTGGGGATGTGCATTTGGGGATTGTGGAGAGTCCCTACTGTTAACAGCCACGACATTTGTGGTTTAAGCACTCTGTGTGTTTTAGATTTACTTGGCCTATTTTTGTGAAAGGAAGCGTTTGTGGTTACAGGGCTGCATGGCTGAGTATGGCTGCAGTCAGCATGGTGTGTAAGGAAAACAGGGACCCTTCCCCCGTCCCTGTTCTGCTTTCCCCAGCTGTCTCAAAAAGGGCACTTACAGCGGGGCGCCAAGCGAGGGGAACAGGCAGCTAAGGCTGAAGACCCAAACTCCCGACGGCTCACAAGCAGGGGTTTTGTTTGTTTGTTTGTTTGTTTTGAGACCGAGTTTTGCTCTTGTCGCCCAGGCTGGAGTGCAGTGGAATGATCTCGGCTCACTGCAACCTCCGCCTCCTGGGTTCGAGCGATTCTCCTGCCTCAGCCTCCCGAGTAGCTGGGGTTACAGGCACCTGCCACCACGCCTGGCTAATTTTGTATTTTTTAGTAGAGACGGGGTTTCACCATGTTGGCCAGGTGGGTCTTGAACCCCTGACCTCAAGTGATCTGCCCACCTTAGCCTCCCAAAGTGCCAGGATTACAGGCGTGAGCACAGGCAAGGGTTTTTAAAGGCAGGGATGCATTTCAGGAAAGCGAGGGGTGCATTGCAGGTAAAGTTGTAAACCCATACATGGAGGCTGTACCTCAGTGTGGCCATGGGCATGATTCTCCAGGCCTCTCAGGATGAAATTCTGAACAAAGAACGGCAGTCAGAGTGCCGCCCTCGGTTCCCCACATCTGAGGTCTATAGGATAGAGGCTGGCAGTGGGGGTTTCTGAAAAACAACTCGAGAACATATGTGAAGATGTTATCTTTAGTTTCTGTAGGAACCAAAACACCTTGTTCCTCTGGCTTGCTTGGGAGGCTCCTGTTGCTCTCATCTTGTTTGTTGCTATCTTCCTGCTTATCCGGCTGCTCATTTATTCTCCAAGGCTAGCTAGTGCCTGGAATTTCTCCTGAAGGAACTCAAGACTTTTCCTTTATTTCCATGCTGTGGTTGGGGGGTGGGTGCGGGCAGGCCCCTAGGCGGGTCCCCGCTCTGTCTCTGCATCAGGAGAACTCATGGGACCCCCTGCAGAGAGCCTTGAAATGTGTCTCCTGCAGCAGAGAAATGCAAAGCATGGACACCTGGCCCAGCCTGGAAATGCGTGAGTGAGGGGGCCAGGGGTCTGCCTCCCCCAGAAACATCTCCATGGTGAGGAAATGGCTGTGGCCATTCGGGTGGTGGAGCGGGAGCCCTACAGGCCCAGGTTTGTGTGTCAGGGCAAGGAGATGGGAGTGTTCCTTGCAGACCAGAGAGAGAATCACAAGGGGCTACCCAAGGACCCTACCAGTGGGGCCGTCTGGAAGGGGATGGGGCAGTGCCCAGAAGGATGCTCGGGGGGGCTTCTGCTGGACGTCACATGGGACTACTCAGGATTTGAGGAGCATCCCCCAGGGTCACAGGGACCCAGAGCCCAGCAGGGAACCTTCCAGGAGCCCTTGGAAGCCAAGAGGGGAAGCTGTCCAGGCGAGTGAGGACCACCCTAGCAGGTTCCCACCTCCTTCCCCCCAACCCCCTCTCTCTGCCAGGGCTGGGGCAGATCATCCGCCCCATCCCCTTCCCATTGCAGCCTCTGGACTGGAGCAGGCTGAGCTGGGGAAGGGAGAAGATTCAACCCCTAGTTCCCTTGAGAGATATGATTAAATATCATGGGCTTGTAGGGGTGGAAAACTCATTTGTTCCTACAATACTCATAAGTTCTCAGCTGGAACAGCCTCCTGGAACAAAAAGACAGATTAACAAGAGAAAGGCAGACGTGCATCAGCATGCATGCTGCCTTTTTCTTTTCTTTCTTTCTTTCTTTTTCTTTCTTTTTTTTTTTTTTTTGATATGGAGTCTCGCTCTGTTGCCCAGGCTGGAGTGCAGTGGCAGGATCTCAGCTCACTGCAACCTCTGCCTCCCAGGTTCAAGCAATTCTCCTACCTCAGCCTCCTGAGTAGCTGGGATTACAGGCGTGCGCCACCACACCCAGCTAATTTTTGTATTTTTAGTAGGGACGGGGTTTTGCCATGTTGGCCAGGCTGGTCTCGAACTCCTGACCTCAAGTGATCCGCCCACCTCGGCCTCCCAAAGTGCTGGGATTAGGCCCAGCCAGCATACACGTTGCCTATGTGCACAGGAAGCACCCAGGGAATGCCTGGTTCTCAAAGAGATGGCTTTGAATCCCAGATCATGTTGCATCTTCCACAGAGAACAGTACATCTTTGGAGAAGTCACAAGACAAAGGGAAAGGACTTTGGGTGCAGCCCCCTGGAGAGGCACAGAGCTGGCGGGTGCAGGCTGGCTGGGGAAACCTGTTCTTGTGGATGCCTCTGGAGCTGGCCTCAGGCCCACAAGGGTGCAAAGGTGTCTTCAGTGGCTCAGCTTTGCTCCGTGGTAGAAAGGGGAGTGGGACAGCTTCTGTCTCTACAAATCTATGTCCTGCTTTTAGGCAAACAGAGGGAGTGCAGAGCTTCCTGCACCTGCTTCTTCTTAACTGCCCGCAGCTCAACAGCCTGATGCCAAAAGGTGCACATTTTGGGGCGGCACATTTCTGATCTTCCACAAGCTGAATATTCTGAAGACCAAATTAAGACTGTGTTTGCAACCCAGCGTGGCCACGAGCTATTACCTAAGAGAAGGAGCTGGGGCCATGCATTTGCTAATGTTTGCATCCAGGGGTGAGGGACAATGGACCTCCTCCCATCGACACATGAAAGGGCAGGGGAGAAAAAGCAATGACGTCAGGAGCCAACAAGGCAGTTACCCAGAGAGACAGGACTGGAAAGGTTTACAGCCAAATGCTAGCGGTGGGTATTTGGGGTGCGGACGGGATTGTAATTGGCTTTATCTTATTCTGTGTGGTTTTCTCTATTTTCTCATTTTTCTACTGTGGATGTGAATGACTTATATAATTGGGAGGAAATGCTGGGTGTTTTTGTTTTATTATTTTTATTTTTATTTTTTAATTCTTTTTTGAGGCAGAGTCTTGCTCTGTCACTCAGGCTGGAGTGCGGTGGCGCGATCTCAGCTCACTGCAACCTCCACCTCCCAGGTTCAAACAGTTCTACTTCAGCCTTCTGAGTAGCTGGGATTACAGGCATGTGGACCACGCCCGGCTAATTTTTGTATTTTTGGTAGAGATGGGGTTTCGCCATGTTGGCCAGGCTGGTCTCGAACTCCTGGCCCGAAGTGATCCACCCATCTTGGTCTCCCAAAGTGCTGGGATTACAGGCATGAGCCACCACGCCCGGCCTCTGTTTTTGTTTTTTGTATAAAAAGGAAGGCACTCAGGATAGGGAGTTTTCCTTTGCAACTGAATTCTGGAGTCTTGGTATGAAACAGGCAAAGCTGGTCGACCGTCCGGCCTGCTCAGGGAGGCTTCCCCCAGAACCCCTCAAGGTGGCCTCTGGTGTGGGGACTCTGGGATTTTCTGCTTTTGAGCTGGAATTTTTTTCCCCTGCATGTGGCATCCTTCACAGAGATCAGAACAGGGCAAAGGCAATTTGAAGTAAGGAGCCCAAGATAGTGGGAGAAAAGGAGAAAAATAAAACCTCATTGTCTTTGACATTTCTGGAAGGCTCTGGGTTAATTGCAGTGCTGGGAACTATGTGTGGAAACCACAGAGCCTGCTCCTCCCCTGTGGCCAGGGCAACTTCTGGAATACCCTGTAATTAATAGTGTCCTTTCCGGTAGTGGCTTCGGTAGTGGCTTCTCAGCCTCTCATCAGGCCCATCTCCTGGAAACAAAGACCTGTTCAGAGGTGCTGGGCCTTCTGGTAATTTCCTTCCTCAATCCGTTTGTCTGGAGAAGAGTTCACTTGAAAAGGACTTCCAGTGAATTCCATTTTACGATCACAAAAGCACTGGGGGCAGTTGCCGTAGCAACCAGGGATGGGCCAGTCTATTAATTTGTAGAGGAACAATGATGGATGTCCTGACCCTCACAGGAAGCCTGAGGTCGGCATGACCATTGTTTCTCTGATTCTCCTCCCATCATCTCTGAGCAAGGGAAAAATAAACCTGTGTGGTCAGCACTGGACCAGAATAAGAGAATTATCCAGAACCTCCGAGGCCCCTGGTTCGTCAATGTCCCCTGCTCCGGCTTCTTTCCAAATATGTTTATATCCTGTCCCCGACTCTCCGAAAACAAGAGGCACAAGTGTCAGCTGTGTGTTTAAATAAATAAATCTCCATCAACCCCAAAGGACAAATCCGGAGATGCCTGGTAAAGAAAACAGCTTCCCAGGGCAAGGCCCTGGGGGAGGGTGGGGTGGGAGGCCTCTGAGGGATTTCTCAGTATCCACCTGTCTGCCTTCACAGTCTTGCAAAACTTTTTTTCTGTTTTTGAGACAAGGCCTCACTCTGTTGCTCAGGCTAGAGTGCAGCGGCGCAATCGTGGTTCACCTCAGCCTTGATCTTCTAGGCTCAGGTGATCCTCCCACCTCAGCTTCTCAAGTAGCTGGAACTACAAGTGTGCACCACCAAGCCTGGGTTTAAAAAAAAAAATTACTTATAGAGATGGTGTCTTGCCGTTGTTGCCCAAGCTGGTCTCAAACTCCTGGGCTCAAGTGATCCTCCTGCCTCAGCCTCCCAAAGTGCTGGGATTACAGGCATGTACCACCTCACCCAGTCCCCAGTCTTGCAAAACTTAATGTTGACTTTCATTTTATCTAAGGATGAAGGAAAGTCAGGGGGGTGTAGGGTTAGAGCTCAGGAAAACCTTGCCTGAGGTTGTGCTAAGAGATGGAAGGAGAGGCCGGGCACAGTGGCTCACACCTGTAATCCCAGCACTGGGAGGCTGAGGCAGGAGAATTGCTTGAACCAGGACCTGGGAGGTGGAGGTTGCAGTGAGCCGAGATTGCACCGCTGCACTCTAGCCTGGGCTACAGAGCGAGACTCTGAAGAGCTGGAAGGAGAAGCCCAGGAAGACTGGGAATCCCTTCCCCTAAGATGCTATACCAGAGAAGAACCTGGGGAGCCAGCGATTGCTCCTCTCATCTGTAAAACCTTCCATAGGAGCCCCCATGCTTGGTTCAATACAAAGCCTACAGCCTCTCCTCCACCTGCAGAGCTGAGACCGGCAGAGACCAGGGAGCATGGTATGCCTTGGACAAGAGATGGGAGGGGCAGCAACAGGGCCACCTCCCTGGCCCCAGTTCCAACTTGGCCTTTCTTTCTTTTCTGGCACTTTCCCAGGCAGACCAGAGCCATGCACTCAATTAACCCTCAACGCTGGAGAAATTGGTCTTCAGCCAGAAAAATATAAATATAAACAGGCACCGCAGCGTTTTCTTAATCTTCACAACAGTTCTATGGGCTAGGACTGCCACTGCCCAGAGGGGGACCTTTTTCAGATTTACCCAAAGGTACCACATAAAGCCAACAGCCACCCCAGTAGCCTCCGCTTTAGACAGGAAGAAACTCAGAGAGGTTAAGTAACATATATAAGATCACACAGCTGGTCAGTGGTCATTGGGATTCAAGCTAAGTCTTTCCATTTCACCGGTGGAGAAATCAAGGCTCAGAGAAGTGAATTATCTGTGCAAGTTATACAGCCAAGAGGTGACTGAGCAAGGCTTCGACCTCATCTTTGATGTCTAAGCTTGTGGTTCCCACCGTGTTATGTTGCTGATGCTCTACCCAGCAGAGTCCCCGGTCTCTGGACATTTCCCTTTAAACACCGCATCTGTTGAGGTCTTTTGCTCAGCAGAACCTTGCTTTAGGCAATGCTATAGAATGCAAAGACCAGGCTTGGATCCCAAGATCACTGACCAGCTGTGTGATTTTAGACATGTTACTTAACCTCTCTGTGTTTCTTCATTTCTAAAATGGAAGCTGTCAAGGTGGCTATCATATGGTACCTTTGGGCAAAGCTGAGAAAGGCTCCCCTCTGGGTGATTGAAGCCTGTGTGTGGGCTCCCAGTTGGGTGCATGGAGCCCAGGCTGGATTTCAGCCCCGCTCAGCATTTGGCCTTTTGCTCTTGTGTAGTGAAAACCTGCACAACTGTACAGGGCGGCCTTGGGAACTGCAGAGGGTCTTGGATGCAGTGAAAAACAAGCTTTGGAATCAAAGATGAGGGCCTGAACCCTTGCTTGGTCATATGTGCAAAATGTCTTGTGCAGCAAAGGTGCAACGAATGGGGGCGAAAACAAGAAGCAATGCCTTGAGCAGAAGCAGCTCTGATGGCCAGGGCGTGAACTAGGGCTCCAGGGCCACGCTGTCTCCACATTTCCAATCCTCATAGGACCTGCTCCTGGCTAAGGGCAAGAACAGACTTGGGAGAAGGCAGGGAGCTGCCCCATGATGGGTCCCTTCCTGGCCACCCCAGAGCCGAGCCGGAGAGTTAGACCAACCAGCTGTGTATAGCCAGCCCTGCCTGCCTTCTCCCTGCCCACCTCCACTGACGCAGGGCTGTGGTTACAGAATGCAAAAAGCCCTTGTATTCCTCTGTTCTCACATTGCTATTAAAAAACGCCGGCCGGGCGCGGTGGCTCACGCCTGTAATCCCAGCACTTTGGGAGGCCGAGGCGGGCGGATCACGAGGTCAGGAGATCGAGACCATCCTGGCTAACACGGTGAAACCCCGTCTCTACTAAAAATACAAAAAATTAGCCGGGCGTGGTAGCGGGCGCCTGTAGTCCCAGCTACTCGGGAGGCTGAGGCAGGAGAATGGCGTGAACCCCAGGGGGCGGAGCCTGCAGTGAGCCGAGATTGCGCCACTGCACTCCAGCCTGGGCGACAGCGAGACTCCGTCTCAAAAAAAAAAAACAAAAAAAAAAAAAAAAAAAAAACGCCTTGAGACTGGGTAATTCATAAAGAAAGGAGGTTTAATTGGCTCACGGTTCTGCAGGCTGTACATGAAGCATGGCGCTGGCCTCTGCTCGGCTTCTGGAGAGGCCTCAGGAAACAATCATGGTGGAAGGCGAAGGAGGAGTCGACGCCTCACATAGGGAAAGCAGGAGCTGGGCCAGGAAGGTGCTACACACTTTTATTATTATTTATTTATTTATTTTGAGATAGAGTCTTGCTCTGTCGCCCAGGCTGGAGTGCAATGGCTCGATCTCTGCTCACTGCAACCTCTGCCTCCTGGGTTCAAGCGATTCTCCTGCCTCAGCCTCCCAAGTAGCTGGGATTACAGGCGTGTGCCACCAAGCCTGGCTAATTTTTTATATTTTTAGTAGAGACAGGATTTAGCCATGTTGGCCAGGCTGGTCTCTAACTCCTGACCTCAGGTGATCTACCTGCCTCAGCCTCCTAAAGTACTGGGATTACAGACGTGAGCCACTGCACCCAGCCTGCTACACACTTTTAAACAAGCAGATCTCAGGAGAGCTCACTCTCACTGTCCTGAGGACAGCATCCAGGCAATGGTGCTAAACCATTCATGAGAAGCTGCCCTCATGATCCAGTCACCTCCCACCAGGCTCCATCTCCAACACTGGTGATTACAATTGAACATGAGATTTGGGTGGGGACACAGACCCAAACCATGTCAGCTCTCAACCTCCCACTTCAAGGTATGTAGCCCCATCCAGGCCAAGTCCCGGAGCTTGGGGCTCAGCCCTCCAGCATGCCTTATGCGTGGCCACGCCCTCCACAGACTCCAAAAAACTGGAATCAAATTCCCTCCAGAGTCAGGAAAGGCCTCCGCGCCAGTCACAGGGTGTGGCTGCAGAATCATGGCCCCCAAAGGTGCTCATGTCCTAGGCCCTGGAACCTGTGACCATATTACCTACATGGCAAAAGGGACTTTGTAGATGGGGCTAAGTTGTGACGCTGAGATGTGGAGAGTGTCCTGGACTATCCAGGTGGCCCAATCTCAGCATGTGGCGGCTCAAAGGGGAAGGGGGAGGAGAAATGATGGCGATGTCCGGCGTCTCATCACACATCCGTGTGGCAGGAGGTCACGGGTCCTGAGCACAATGGAAGCTTTGCAGGTGGAACCCTCCGAGACTCCACCCCACACACCTTACCCTGTGGCTGGTTGATTTGTATCCTTTGTTAAAATAAAACTGAAATCCTAAATTGAATAGTTTCCTGAGTTCTGTAAGCATTCTAGTGGGTTGGAACTTAGGGGGTAACAGAAACCCCTGAATGTACAGCCAGCTGATCAGAAGTGAGGTGACTGGGGACCCCGACCTTGCAGCTGAAGGGAGCGCAGTCTCCTGTCCTTCATCTGTGATGTGTGGCCCAAATCATGGTGACTCCCTGCCCTGGAGGAAGGGTGTCCCAGGGGTGGCCAGAGCGTGGCCTTCTGCAGCCTGGGGCTCAGGGCAGGGGTCCCACTTGCTTAGGTGGAAGGGTGGTCCCCAGCTTTAAGGGACAGCTGTATTTTAGGATAACAGGCTCTGAGACAGTGCAGGGGAGGAATTGGTAGGAGCAAGCTGGTCCAGGTGGCACGTAAGGGTCTCAAGGACAGTGAGGACAGGAAGAGGCGAGCCCCTAGGCTCTGCTAAACCTCACACAGGTAACCTGGGGTCACCCCACAAGCTTCTACCAAGTAGCCAGTGGTTCCCTTGACCTGAGGGCTTAAGGCATAGCAAAGCCCCGCAGAAGTGCAAATAGGGCCGAGTGCTCCAAAGTCCCCTGAGGTACTGTCTGGAACCCTGGAGCATTCGGCTGGGCCATAGCTTCCTGGAACTTCCCATTGATTTTTCTCATGCTTGGATTCCACTCTTCCCAGCCCCAAGCACAGAGAAAAATTGAAAATCAAATTTACCAAGAAGGGATAAAAGAGAAAGCTGACTTGCATTATAATGATTTCTTTTTTTTTTTTTTTTTGCCACAGCTAAAATTTCCCTTTTAAATAGCGAGCACCCCTGGGGCAGTGGAAATGGAATTCAACTTACAAAATCAGGGTTCACGCTCCAATTTTAGGGACCCCTCTACTGCACTGGGTAAAGCCAACCTGGCCTCTGAAGATCATATTTTGGAGGGTGGAGGAAGAAGCCGTTTGCATGTTACCCATCAGACAGCGGCTCTGAGGCAGCGCCCACAGCAAAACAGACGTCATTCTTCCCAGTTTCCTAAACCCTGGCGATTTCAGCTATTATATTAACAGATAAATATTTTTGCAGGAGATTCTATTTGTGCTCATGCGATTTTATTCTGTTTAATAAAGGAGAGTTGTTCAATGCGTAACAGAAAGTGACTTCATGTTTACGGCTGTTTGGGTGACGCTCCCGGGATGCACTGTGGTTGCCTCAGTCATGGCAGCGGGAGGGGGAGTTCTCGTTATTAGGAGGAATCTTGCGCCTGCCGAGGAATCAGGGATAGCTGAAGCCCCAGGCTGGGATGAGCTGCAATGAGGCAGGCCACATGGTGCAGACCTGGCTCTTGTCATCTTTTTCTTTTTCTTGAGATGGAGCCTCGCTCTTGTTGCCCAGGCTGGAATGCAACGGCGTGATCCCAGCTCACTGCTACCTCCGCCTCCTGGGTTCAAGCGATTCTCCTGCCTCAGCCTCTCAAGTAGCTGGGATTACGGGCACGCGCCACCAAGTCTGGCTAAGTTTTGTATTTTTAGTAGAGACGGGGGTTTGCCATGTTGGCCAGGCTGGTCTCGAACTCCTGACCTCAGGTGATCCCCCCGCCTCGGCCTCCCAAAATGCTAGGATTACAGACGTGAGCCACCGCGCCCAGCCTCTTGTCACCTTTTTTACCTAAATGCATTCTCAAGTTGAAGAAGGGAATCCAGGGCCACCATTTTTGGCTCAGAAAATAGAGAGTTTTTCCCTGAGTTTTCTTTTCCCCTGCCTTCCCCAAGATGAACTTGACTTCTCTGTACAGCTGCTCCAGCAGGAATTAAATTGCTCCTCTACATCCGGGGATCCCAGTTGCTATTGCCCCTCGGGTACTCGGACACTGTCCTCCAACTACCTGGTCACTGCAGAGGCCCTCTCCTCCCCATCGCTACCTCCCCCACCGACTGTGACAAGGTGGGCTGTGGGCCTCTTTCTCTACCTCAGTAGGGAAGTCTTGGCTGTTTGCAAAAGCTTGCCTGCGGCTTCTTTAACAAGAGGTGGGGGCAGATGCTTGAGCCCAGGAGTTCAAGTTTGAGGCTGCAGTGAATGAACCCTGATCGCCGCACTGCCCTCCAGCCTGGGTGATGGAGTGAGACCCTGTCTAAAAAAAACAAAACAAAACAACAACAACAACAAAAAACTATTCAAGAAAAAGCCTTTTCTGGCAATTTAGCTGTGAGTGTGTGTCAAAGTTGAGCACATACCAAAAATCAGCACACACACAAGTTCAGAATCCTCTCTGGAGAGGGGTGGGGACTCCCAGGCCCTCTATCTGAGCGTGTGGTGCAGACACCGCTGAGCTCAGGGCAGAGATGTCACTCCTAATTTGGGCTGGGGTCTTTGAGCGAATGTGGGTGGGAGTTTGTCTCTGAGGTTTCTGAGACACAGGGCTGAGTGCGAGTGTGACCTGATGTGGGGGACCAGCAACTGAAGAGTGGCAGCCATTCCGGGCAGCATCTCCGGGCAGCACTTGCAGCCTGTGGGCACCCACATGTGTGCATGCTCACGCACCTGCCCAGCCTGTGTGCATGAGCGCCCCAGGCCCACACACACTTCCCCTGCTGGGGCTACGTGGAGGAACACACACACATCAGTGTGCGCACTTTGCCAAGCGTTCGGGGAACAACGGGCAGACTGTTTCGAGGGAGTCCCACCTGGTGAGTGCTCTCAGCAGCCCCTGGGTGCCCACAACAGAGATTCTTTGCCAAGGATGCAGGCGAAGCCCTTTTCCCCAGCCCTGGCTCCCTCCATCTTCCTTCATCAGAGAGTGGCCCCACGTGGACTCCTGCGGGCTGGCCCGTCATCTCAGGCAGTTTGTAGTGGCCTGAAGTCTTGATTCCCATGAGTGACTCTAGCCTGGCCTCAGGGGCTCTGTCATTCTGGCAGCAGCAGGGGTGGGGTCTGCCCTCCCAGTCAGGAGGGTGCATTAAGAGGACTCATGGGGTGGAGATGGCCACGTCCCCTGGAACTGCCATCCCTGGGAAGAGAAGCTGGCAGACCGGACATTCTCCTTAGACTGCTGGGGAAGGGTTATCATGGGGGCTTCTGTGCAAAGGAATTAGAGGTACTAGAGTCCTCTAAGTTGTGGTCAGTAGATAGAAAAGGGCAGAATAAATGCTGCCTGTGAATTCCCTCCCAGGGTTTGGACGAAGCAGTCTCAACAAACTCTTTGGCCCTCGTCAAGCCTCAAGGTAAGGGATGGGGATGTGTCTGAACCTGGGGCCCCAGACAGAATCCCAAAGCCCAGCTTCTGATGCTCAGAGACAGAGACCAGATAGGCAGCCCTTCCTTGCTTCAGAATTCTGTCCTAACAGGGCTCTCATTTATCTGGGGACGCTCAATGCTAACAACAACAATAGTAATGGCTGTCTTTCAGGGAATCCAGCAAAAGAACCGCCACTGGCTCCTTGGGGCAGGCTCAGGAGCAGATTGATGTGCATCACTTCCCCAGGGAAGCCCCCAGCCCTCTTTGTCCCCTGCCCATGGTCCTGGAAGGCTTTGGGGCAGGAGAGCTGTCAACCACTGGGCTCCCAGGAAGCTCTCTGGCCGCCAGCCTACAACAGGCTGGGGAAGTATCAGAGGGAGCCCAGGCTCTAGTAACCTCTCAGCTGGCAGCAGACAGCGGAGGGGCGGGGGACGTCGTGATACACTGCAGATGGAGGAACGGCTCAGCAGCGGGGCCTGGAAGCATCCCTGGGACTTGCAGCAGGCTGTGAGCTGGATTCTCAGAGTTGTTTCAGCTTCCACATGGCCTTCTCCCCACTTCTAGGGCCTTGGGCCAGGGGAGGGGGCAGTAAAGGGCTCTGCCTGCTGGGAGCCGAGCAGGATGGAAGGTCTAGTCCAGTGACCAGGGGAGACACCATGACCAGGAGCGTCCTTGCACCCAGGCCCTGCTTGGGCCCCACACTGGAGAGGGCCCTGTCTGACTAGGCCTCACCTTGAGGGTGAGGGTCTGGGGCCACAAAGGCCCTACAGTCTTTTGTATACTCAGAGGGAATTATTTTCTAGGAACTTTATTGATTTTTTTTTTTTTTCTGTCTTTGAGACAGAGTCTCACTCCGTCACCCAGGCTGGAGTGCACTGACTCGATCTCGGCTCACTGCAACCTCTGCCTCCCGGGTTCAAGCAATTCTCCTGCCTCAGCCTCCCAAGCAGCTGGGACCACAGGCACCCACCACCATGCCTGGCTAATTTTTGTATTTTTAGTAGAGACGAGGTCTCACCATATTGGCCTGGCTGGTCTCGAACTCCTGACCTCAGGTGATCTACCCACCTCGGCCTTCCAAAGTGCTGGAATTACAGGGGATTACAGGGGTCAATCACCGCACCCTGCCAGGTTGTTTTCTTTTTTTTCAATTGTGGCAAAAAACACATAACATAAAACCACCATCTTAACCATTTTTAAGTGTACCCTTCAGTAGAGTTAAGTACATTCACGTTGCGATGCAGCCCATCTCCAGGACCCTTTATCTCGCAAAACTGAAACTCTGTCCCCATTAAATCACTCCCCACTCCCCCTCCCTCCAGCTCCTGGCAACCACCATTCTACTGTCTGTCTCTAATTTTAACTATTCTAAGAATCTCATATAAGTGGAATTATATAGTATTTGTCCTTTTGTGACCAGCTTAATTTATTTAACATAATGTCTCCAAGGTTCTCCGGTGTTATGGCCTGTATCAAAAATTCCTTCCTTGGTGCCAGGCATGGTGGCTCAGGCCTGTAATCCCAGCACTTTGGGAGGCCGAGGCAGGCGGATGGATCACTTCGAGGCAGGTGGATGGATCAGTTTGAGACCAGCCTGGCCAACATGGTGAAACCCCGTATCTACTAAAAATACAAAAATTAGCCGGGTGTGGTGGCACATGCCTGTAATCCCAGCTACTCAGGAGGCTGAGGCACGAGAATCACTTGAGCTTGAGAGGCAGAGGTTGCAGTGAGCCAAGATTGTGCCATTGCACTCCAGCCTGGGTGACAGAGGGAAACTGTCTCAAAAACAAAAAAAGAAAAAAAAGAAAAAAAAATTCCTTCCTTGGCCAGGCTCAGTGGCTCATGCCTGTAATCCCAGCGCTTGGGGAGGCTGAGGCGGGAGGATCGCTTGAAGCCAGGAGTTCAAGACCAGCCTGGGCAACATGATGAGACCCCCCCATCTCTACAAAAAATAAAAAATTAGCAGCGTGTGGTGGCTCGCACTTGTAGTCCTTGCTAGTCAGGAGGCTGAGGTGGGAGGATCACTTGAGCCTAGGAGGTTGAGGTTACAGTGAGCCATGACGGTGCCACTGCACTCCAGCCTGGGTGACAGAGCAAAACCGTCTCAAATAAAAAAAAAAAAGAAAGAAAAGAAAAGAAAACAAGAAAAAAAAAATTCTCAGGCCAGGCGCGGTGGCTCACATCTGTAATCTCAGCACTTTGGGAGGCTGAGGCGGGCAGATCACCTGAGGTTAGGAGTTCAAGACCAGCCTGGCCAACGTGGTGAAACCCCACCTCCACTAAAAATACAAAAATTAGCTGGGCGTGGTGGCATGCGCCTGTAATCCCAGCTGCCTGGGACACTGAGGCAGGAGAATTGCTTGAACCTGGGAGGCAGAGGGAGGCTGCAGTGAGCTGAGATCATGCCACTGCACTCCAGCCTGGGCAACAGAGTGAGACTCTGCCTCAAAAAAAAAAAAAAATCCTTCTTTTGTAAGGCTGATAATGTTTCATGGTATGGAAAAGCCACATTTTGTTTATCCGTTCATCCATAGATAGACACCTGGGTTGCTTCCACTTTTTAGCGATTGCAAACAATGCTGCTATAAAGTTTGAAGGAACTATTTTTTTTTTTTTTTAGATGGAGTCTCGCTCTGTCCTCCATGCTGGAGTGCAGTGGCGCAATCTCAGCTTACTGCAACCTCTGCCTCCCAGGTTCAAGCAACTCTCCTGCTTCAGTCTCCCGAGTAGCTGGGATTACAGGCGTGCACCACCAACACCTGGGTAATTTTTGTATTTTTTTTGAGTAGAGACAGGGTTTTGCCATGTTGGCCAGGCTGGTCTCCAACTCCTGACCTCAAGTGATCTGCCTGCCTCGGCCTTCCAAAGTGCTGAGATTACAGACATGACCCACTGCATCCATCCAGGAACTTTAATTTGGAAATATTTTCAAACTTATTTTAAAAAGTTGGAAGAACAGTACCAAAAAACTCCCGTGTATCATTTACCCAGACTCATCATTTTTTTAAAAATAAATTTTTATTTTTGAATAATTTTAGATTTGCTGAAAATGCAAAGTAATTACCACTCCCATCTCCATTTCACTCAGCTTCCCCCGATTTTAACATCCTACCTAACCGGGGTGCATACATCTGTCAAAACTAAGAAATGGGCACTGGTACCAGACTGTTAACTAAACTACAGACTTTGTTAGAATCCCACCAGTTTCTCCTCTAAAGTCTTTTTTTCTGTTGCAGGATCTAATCCAGGGTCCCACGTTGCCTCTAGTCAGACACCAGTCAGAATTGGTAAGAGATGACACAAGCCAGCTGAGACTGAAATGTCATTAATTGTCAAGTTCAAGGTGAAATCTCTCCCCGGTTGCGAGGAGGTGTGAGCAGGGCTCTAAGGAGGATTAGAGAGTGGAAAGGAAGCTGCTGTCTCTGACTGTCTGTGGAGAGGTGATGTGAGCACCTTGACCGCCTAAGGGGAAGACTTGGCCCAGGGCCTCTACGAACCCCACAGCCAGGGGCGGGAGGGTGCATAGGTCAAAGGTCCACGTGGGGAGCTATGCCTCAGCAGCCCCTTCCAGGCTGGAGGAGAAGGGAGGAGGGCAGCGGGTGCAGGGCTGGGGCGGTGCACAGGAAGCCAAGGGAAGCAAGCCTGGAAGCCTCTGCTCTTCCCCAGGAAGCAGGGTCCTCGGGTCATCTGCTAAGTGGGAGGGGAGCGGGGTGGGTTTGGGAGCCTTGCTGTGGCCCAGCAGGGCTGAGGATGCCCCAGAGTGTGGGGCAGGCACGTGCTGCCTCCAGGGAGGTGCGCTCCAGAGGCTGTGCAGGCCAAGGTGACACGAGGAGGCGGCCACAGGCTGATGCAGGGCTGCGTGGGCTGGCAGTTAGGACTGACGGTACAAGGAGGGGCAGTTAGGTGAGCAGCTTTGTTGTTGGGAAAACAAAGTGCTGTCCCTGTTCCACCTCAGACATGCAAAAGCAGCCACTGGCAAAGGCCTCCACCCCCTGGGTGGGGTCATGTGAGGAAGGCGATGCCCCTTCCCCGGTAAGCTGTACAGCTCTTTTCATGGCAATGGGTTTGTCTGACTCCCCAAGGTTTTATGTCTGTCCCCAGGGAGCTGTTCATCTACCCACAAGTGTTCTCTGAGCAGAACCTCCCAGGATGCTTGGATGAGAACAGGTGGGGTTTAAACAAAGGAAACCCCCAAAAGCCAAGCCTGGGCACTCGTGGTGGGATTCTGGCTGTGCGAGTCTGGGTGGGTGGGTAGGGGGACTGCCACCTCCCCTCAGAGTCTGTGACTTTCCTGCGTCTTGCCTCTGCACAAAACAAGCATGCTTCTGGGTCCCATGTCAGCCTGGAAATGGGCGGGTGGGGCTCTGTTTGTGGGTGCCTGCGACCTGCATTTGAAGACGGTGCTGCATTGCTTAAAATTGCAAACCCCTGTTTCTCTGATCACCAGTTTCCGGGGCTGCTGGTTTCTTTTTCCATAGCATCTTTCACACTATTTATCATGCATGCACTGTCTACTGTCCACTGTCTGCTTCCCCTGCCAGAATGTAGGCTCCTTGAAGGCAGGATCCTTCTCGGATGTGTCCACTTCTGCATCTCCAGAATAGCGCCTGGCAGAGGAAGAGCTGTTCGTGGATGCTGATCCAAGGAGGGTGTGCACCTCGGCCTGGTGACCCCAGGGAGTCAGCCTAGGGCCTCTCCCTGCAGATGCAGGATCTCCCAGAACAGGGGACAGATGCTCAAATGACACCAAGCTGCCCTTCTCCATCCTCCCTCCCACCTTCGGCTGCCTCTCTGTCAAGCATGAGCCACAATTCCCCCAATTTGCTAGCAAATAGTGGATTATTCCCTCCAGTACCTCCCTACTGAGCCCAGGAGAGACTGTGAGGTCTAAAGCTGTTTCTATGGCAACGGGATCAGGGATCAGGGATTTGATGCTACAGGAGCTGGTTAGGAGGCGGCTGGCTGCCTCCCCGCTCCTGGCGAGGGTCTTGTCTGAACTGGGGTGTGGGTGGGGTAGTATTGTCATGGGACTGCGTCATGAGATGGAAAACATCCAGACATTGACGGACCTTTATCCCAAATTCATCACCTTCTTTACTTCTCTAAGCCTCAGTTTCCACATCCCTAAAATGGGGATTAAAAGGCTGTTTTAGGAGTCACTGAGAAAGCTGCTATAAGGTACCAAGCATGGCCTGGGCAGAGCAGGGCTCGTGGATGTGAAACTGCCTGGCACCGAGAAGAACCTTGCCATGGCAGGGGTGGGCAGGCTGTGGGCTGACGCAACTCAGATCTGGAGGAGCTCAGGGCTGGTGGGAAAGCAGCCTTTGGTTGTAGGCAGTTTCCCCATTTCGCTTTCTGAATTCTCTCCCCAGTCTGCCAGCGGGCAAAAAAAGCCCCTCTCCAGCTCCAGAATACTTTATTTTCCCATTCGCATCCCCGCAGATAAATTTCAAGGCTACGCTTTACTCTCTTTCAAACGATAATCCCCCCTCCCCCCACCCCAGCCTCCCAAAGTGCTAGGATTACAGGCTTGAGCCACTGCACCTGGCCAGGGATCCACTCTTTTAGGGGCTGGCTCTCAGCTGGAGAAAACGTATGTGGGGCTAGTCAAGGCACCGCACTCCCTGCCAGTGTTTCCTAAATGGCATCTTGCCTTTCCCAGGAGACATGGCTTTAATCCATTCGAGGGGCACGAGTCCCCAGATGGCTCCAAAGAGTGACTCTTATGGCTGGGGTTCCAGGCTCCTGGACAGGCCCCAGCAGAGACCTCTACACAGCTGAAGTCTAGACCAGGGGCTCAGCTGGCCAGATTTACAAATGTGAATAAGATGAGCCTAATAGGGCTGTCTTCCCATCCCTCTCAAGTGCTGTGATTAGCCACAGAAAAGGTGAGTACTTGGCCAGGTGCAGTGGCTCATGCCTATAATCCCAGCACTTTGGGAGACCGAGGTGGGTAGATCACCTGAGGTCAGGAGTTAGAGAGCAGCCTGGCCAACATGGTGAAACCCCGTCTCTACTAAAAATACAAAAATTAGCCAGGCATGGTGGTGCGTGTGTAATCCCAGCTACTCGGGAGGCCGAGGCAGGAGAATTGCTTGAACCCAGGAGGCAGAGGTTGCAGTGCGCCAAGATGGCGCTACTGCACTCCAGCCTGGGCAATAGAGCAAAAACTCCATCTCGAAAAAAAGAAAGAAAGAAAGAAAAGATGAGTGCTGGAAAGGCCTGGAGAAACCACTAAACTCTGGCTGCAGACACCCAGCTACAGGGCCATGTAGGTGATGGGAGTGGGTGGGGAGAACCATAAGGCATGGCGGAGCCTGTGGCAGACTGGAGAGCATGTGACCCTTCTCTAGGGGCAGCCATTACCCAGCTCCCGTGGGCTGTTACCACGTGGGCACGTGACCCTTGTGGATGGATGATCTGTAATCCCACCTACTGGCACCTGTAATCCCAGCTACTCGGGAGGCTGAGGCAGGAGAATTACTTGAACCCAGGAGGTGGAGGTTGCAGTGAGCCAAGATCATGCCACTGCACTCCAGCCTGGCAACAGAGCAAGACTCTGTCTCAAAAAAAAAAAAAAAAAAAACAGAAAAAAAGTTGAAGTCCAATTTTTTCTCTTATGGTTTATGCTTTTTATACCTTATCTAAGAAATCTTTTCCTGACCTAAGGCCACTAAAATTTTCTCCTGTTTTCTTCTAGAAGTTTCATAGTTTTAGGTTTTCCATGTAGGTCTATGATCCAGCTTCAGTTATTTTTGTATATGGCAGAAGATATGGCTCTAGGCTCATCCTTTGGCATATTAATGAGCAATTAATTGTTCAACCATTTGTTGATATAATGACTTTTTTTTTTTTTAGAGACAGGGTCTTGCTCTGTTGCCCAGGCTGGAGTACAATGGTGCAATCATAGCTCACTCCATCCTTGACCTCTCAGGCTCAAGCACGCTGGCTCATGCCTGTAATCCCAGCACTTTGGGGGGCCGAGGTGGGTGGATCACCTGAGGTCAGGAGTTTGAGACCAGCTTGGCCAACGTGGTGAAACCCTGTCTCTACTAAAAATACAAAAAATTAGTGGGCTTGGTGGCGGGCACCTATAATCTCAGCTACTCAGGAGGCTGAGGCAGGAGGATCGCTTGAACCCAGGAGGCAGAGGTTGTGGCGAGCCAAGATCGCGCCACTGCACTCCAGCCTGGGTGACGGAGTGAGACTCCATCTCAAAAAAAAAAAAATTACAAAGTAATCTCACAATGTGTCAGGTGTGGTGGCTCATGCCGGTAATCCTAGCACTTTGAGAGGCTGAGGAGGGAAGATCACTTGATCCCTGGAGTTTGAGACCAGCCTGGGCACCATAGTGAGACCCTGTTTCTATTTTAAAATTTCATTTATTAAAAAGTATGTTTTAAAAAAAATCTCATGTTTTAAGAAAGTTTACAGATTTGTGTTGGGCTGCATTCAAACCATCCTGGGCCACATGTGTCCCATGGGCCACAGGTTGGACAAGCTTGTTCTATAGGTTTATTTTCACATTGCCCATCTTCCTTTGAGTGCAGGAGTCTGAGATGGAGATTAGCATGTAAGAGGCTTATAGGGAGCACTCTTGGACCAATAGCTTTGAGAGGGAAAGGAAAGCAGCAGAACTGAGCAAAAAGAGAAGTTAAGCTGGCACTGCAGTGTCAACAGAGACCTCAGCCTACCCTACGGACATGCTGAAAAAAATCAGACAACCCTTCTGAACTGCTTGGGTTGGGGTGAGAAGGCCAGGCCTCTGTACCCTGCATCAATCAGTCAGTCCAGTCTGAGCAGAGCCAATGACAGTGGCAAAGGACTAACAAAGTTCCAGGTTCTGCAGAGTTTGAGGGAGAAGCCCAGGAGAAGCCTCAGCCTTTTCCCAAGAGGATTCTCCTACTTATGTTCAAGGTCACACAATCTATGGACTCCAGACAACTGGCAGGACGTATTTGCATCCTAGCAAACTGAAACCACAAATGTTTTCTCTCTTCTATGTTTACTTTCTGTCTCCTTCCTACAGGTGATATGGGTGGCAAGGCCTATGTGGGGACGCTGCTTTTCTTAGGATAAATTTTGGGGAGGGGTAACAGCTGTTTCAGGATGATGAGTTATCCTGAAAAACCGCCCTCTCAACCACACCTAAAACTGCAGGTAAAACATTTTAAACACTCTTTGGCATACAAAGGTGAACTCAGAAGAAAGTGAAGGAAGTCCTCAAAGGTCCCAAATGAAGCAGGAGCACAAATCCATGGGGCCATCTCAGGGACTCGTTAGAACTTCGGGGAAGTGTTACACTGGAGACATTTGAAATTGGTTTATCATGGAAACCAAATCTGGTTCTAGTGAAAGGCAGCTTGGGCTCTAATGGCTAAAGAAGGAACACAGGTGTTTGGAACTTGTTGCTTTGGGAATTTAACTTCCATAAGGAGAGGATGATTTTGTTTGGCATTCTAATTCTTGGCGGAAACTTGGTCAGGGAAAGGTGTTTGTATCCACACTTTGGACACTGGGTATCTGGGCTTTCTGATCTCATGCTGTGCAGGGTAAACCCCTCCTTAATGACCTAGGTGTCTGTATTAGTCTGTTCTCATGCTGCTGATAAAGACATACCCAGACTGGGCAATTTACAAAAGAAAGAGGTTTAATGGACTTACAGTCCCACATGGCTGGGGAAGACTCACAATCATAGTGGAAGGCAAAGGAGGAGCAAAGGCACATCTTACATGGATGGCAGCAGGCAGAGAGCATTTGTGCAGGGAAACTCCCATTTTAAAAACCATCAGATCTCATGAGACTCATTTACTATCATGAGAACAGCATAGGAAACACCCGCCCCCATGATTCAATCATCTCCCACTGGGTCCCTTCCACAACACATGGGAATTGTGGGAGCTACAAGATGAGGTTTGGGTGGGGACACAGAGCCAAACCATATCAGTTTCCAATGTAGCTCAACATAATTTGAGATGGAAATAACCTAGAGTACAGGAGTTACTCGATGCTTTGTCTATCACTGGATTGCAGGAGCTTCAAGAAGACTTTTTATTTGTTTTTGTTTGTTTAAAATGAGAGTCTCACTATCTTGCCCAGGCTGGACTCAAACTCCTGGGCTCAAGCGATCCTCCCGCTTCAGCCTCCCAAATAGCTGGGACTACAGGCATGAGCCACCACACCTAGTTCTAGAGGGCTTTGAAGGGTCCTAACAAGGACTGCAGGTGTGTCCTAACACCTGCACTGGTCCTAACAAGACACGCAGGTGTGAGGACAATTACTGGGGAAACAGTCATATGGAAGTAAGTGCAGGGCTTTCTTAAGATTTGATTATTCTCTTCCCTGGAAGGAGTGGCTATAACTTGAAGCGGCCATAGGTTTTGCTGTTGATATGGTTTGGGTGTTTTGTTCCCTCCAAACCTCATGTCAAAATATGACCTCCAATATTGGAGGTGGGGCCTAGTGGGAGGTGTCTGGGTCATGGGGGTGATCCCTCATGAATGGCTTAGTGCCCTCCCCACGGTAATGAGTGGTAATGAGTTCACCAAGAGCTGGTTGTTTAAAGGAGCCTGACTTCTCCGCCCCCTTCACTTCTGCTCTCTCCATGTGATGCATCTGCTACCCCTTTGCCTTCCACCATGACTGGAAGCTTCCAGAGACCTCACCAGAAGCAGATGCTGGCACCATGCTTCCTGTATAGCTTGCATAACTGTGAGCCAGCAAAATCTCTTTTCTTTATAAATCACTCGGTGTCAGGTATTCTTTTATAGCAACAAAAACAGACTAATACAGTTGTTAAACCCAATGGAATGAAAACAGAGACTGGAGAGAAAATCTTCATCCCCTCTCCTCAACCTCTTAGTCAGCATTCAGGGCTGTTGTGGCCTCAACTGTGTTCCCCTAAAATTCATATGCTGAAGCCCGAACTCCCCTTCCCCTTCTATGTGACTATATCTGGAGATAGGGTCTTTAAGAGGCAGGTAAGTTTAAATGAGGTCGTAAAGGTGGGGCCCTCATGGAACTGGGGCTTTATAAGAAGAGGAGATTCTCTCTCTGTCTCTCTTTTTCTCTCTCTCTCCTTCTGCCATGGGAGGACACAGCAAGAAGGTGACCTTCTGTGAGCCAGGGAGGGAGCTCTCACCAGAACCCAAACATGCTGGCACCCTGACCCCCAATTTCTAGCCTCTAGAATAGCATGATAAAATGCATTTCTTTTGTGTAAGCCACCCCATCTATATTATTTGGTTATGACAGCCCAAGCAGACTAATACGAGGACATTGATGGAACACACTTACTACTCAGCACAGAGAACCTGGAGGAAAATGATACACTCTTCAAGCCTCTGTTTCTTCCCCCATGACCTCCATGCCGTGGGATAGGAAGGTTGAACCAGGGCCTCCCAGGGCACCATCTTGCTTCTTCTTGTCCCTCAAAGCTTGCCTAAGTGCAGCCTTCATTACAGCCCAATTCTTTACAGGGAGCCAGCCAGAGGGTGGTAAATTCCCAAGATCTGTGTCTGTTTTAATTTTGTTTGCTTTTATTTCAGCCTTTATGAAGATAACATATGCCTGTTGAAAAAATCAAAAGGTACAGAGAGCTTATAATAAAAAACAACAGCCTCCTGTCTTATCCTTCCTTCCTTCCCTGGTTCACCCCCTGGAGGTATCCTGGAGGGTTAGACTGCAGTCTAACCACTTCTAATTGCCCTCTTTCTGGTGGTTGTCTCTGAAAGTCTAGATAATGTACAAATATTACTATTTCTTGATTTTTCAACTTTAACCAAAAGCCATTGGATTCCCACTGTGAAACATGAAGATTCAGCTCACTTCCTTCTCTTCCCCCTCCGCCTCTCCTAGTTTGATGGTGGTTGTTATTTGGGTTGCACTGTATACCTTTTAACTCTAGTAGATGAATCTCTATTTTATGTGGCATCAACTTTTGACAGTATCTCTTTGTAATTCATCTCTTTTCCCAGCAATTCTTTCCACTCCTGATGACCATTTTGATTTTTACATTGTCAAAGTTCTCCACACTTACCATCTGTCCCTGAACTTCAACCACGTCTTCTCTGTGTTATCCATAGCTTGATTCTAAAAGTTGAAAAGAATAAGATGTTCGTATTTTTATGTCCGCGCAAATATTTTTTGCTGTTGGATCAAGCAGTATACGAAAATATTCACTTTGGGTCCAATGTCCAACCTTGGATCACTCATAGATTATTTCTAACATCAAGGACCAATAGATTCTCTTTTCTCACACTGAATCAATAGCTTACAATCATGTCACATTTAATATTTTTTGAGTTGGGTCATCATTTTCTCATATAATTGTTTATTTTTCCTAGAGTTTCTAATTGCCTTTTTTGTATTATGTACTTTAATCATATCTCCATCATACTATAAATTCCATGGCATTCCTTTTTCCCTAGGCAACCTCCCTTTTAGAGTCTACTCTTCTTGCTACAATTTTCACTGGTTGGTCTCTAGGCCTAGGGTTACAGGATCCTTGGTGTGTCAATTTTTTTCCCAGAAACCTCTGTGGCCAGTGGCACCTTTGCCTGAGTTCTTGTCCTGTGTCCAGGAAGAATGAGGTACACAGACAAGTGAAGGATGAGCAAGACGAAGAGGAGCTTTATTGAGTGTTACAACAGCTCAGTAAGACCCGCAACAGTAGGTCATCTCTGTAGGCAGGTTGTCCCATCAAGTGTTCAGCAATCAGCAGAGAGGAGGCCTTGGAAAGTGTGGCTCCCCTCTGCAGGTAGGTCATTTGGATGTCTCTGCAGGGCTCTGAGGTTCTCAACAGAGAGGGTAGCTCCTCTCTGCAGCCGGCTGTCCTGTCATATATCTGCTCAGCTCTGGCTGATCCTGGGGCTTTTATGGGCCTCAGAGAGGAGGAAGTGTATGGGCAGCCATGGGTGGGCTCGGAAAAGGCACCAGTTCCCACTTCAGTCAGTGGGACTGGCAGCCTGGCCCCTAGCCTTCAGGACCTCCCTGGCCTGAAGGTGATGCCTCACCAGGGACCTGCCCACTTCTGCCGGGAACCTGCCTCCTGCTGCTGTTCATGGCACCTGGGCTCAGCCTGACTTTTCTCCAAGATCAGAGCAGGCATTGACAGCAGAAAGCCAGAGAGTGGGGGCAGGCACTTCTGAGCCTGCGAGGGCAGGGGTGCCTTCCTGGGACCCCAGCAGTGCAGAGATGCCTGAGTCTGCTGCTGCAGTTTGGGTGGCTCCAGTGGCACCTGGGAGGGCAGGGCTCCTGCCTGCTCCTGGCCCCCCAAGAGCACAAGGAAGCTCAGATCTGCTGCCACAACTTGGGTGGCTGCCGCCCCACCAGGAGGCCCTGCTCTGTAGAGTGTACAGCCCCAGCCATGCCTCCCAGCATGATGGCAGCGCCAGGCCATCTGGAGCAGCTGCTGCCATCACTAGGGTCACCCATCACCTTGGTTTGCCCAGGACTGCAAGGTTCCCCAGGAGATGACTTTCAGTACTGAAACTAAAAAGTCCCAGCCAACTGGGATGAGTTGGTCACCCTGTCTAGGCCTGAGATCAAATCTCAGAACTTCCCTTGACTCTCTTCTAGGTTGGATTCAGTTTCCTGGATCTTCCTCTTTCTTTGTTTACTCCCTGATTTCTCTGGAGAACATCGTCAAGCAACTTTTAAAGAAAGGCAGCCGGGTGCAGTGGCTCACGCCTTCAATCCCAGCACTTTGGGAGGCTGAGGCGGGCGGATCCCAAGTTCAGGAGATCGAGACCATCCTGGCTAACACGGTGAAACCCCATCTCTACTAAAAATACAAAAAATTAGCCGGGCGTGGTGGCGGGCGCCTGTAGTCCCAGCTACTCAGGAGGCTGAGGCAGGAGAATGGCATGAACCCGGGAGGTGGAGCTTGCAGTGAGCCGAGATGGCACCACTGCACTCCAGCCTGGGCGGCAGAGCAAGACTCTGTCTCAAAAAATAAATAAATAAATAAAATAAAGAAAGGCTGTGTTTGTATATGTATATCAAATCATCACATTGTACACCTTAAATATACACAATTTCTATTTGTCAATGGTACTTCGATAAAGCTGGGGGAAAATGTTTAAGTGGGTGTGCTGAAGATAATCTGTGTCTTTACGTGTTTGAAATGTCTTTATTCTGCCATGAGGTTTTTGACAGATAATGTAGCTAGATATATAATTCCAGGTTGAAAATAATTTTCCCTTCTAACATGCAGCCATCCTGCACCCATTCCCTTCTAGCACCCAGTGTTACTGGTAGGCAATGGGGTCCTAGTCTGCCCTCCTTTCTTTCTGTACAGAGCCTGCTCCTCTTCTTTCTGGGTTCCCCAGCTCTGTTTCCTTTAGCTTTTGCATTTTGAGATTGTGTATGTTCCAGTCCTTCTATTGAACTTTTCATTTTAGCAAGCATATTTGTTCATCTCCGGAGCTCTTTGATGGTTCTCTGGGGTTTTCTTATTCCAAGAAAACTGAGCTCTCTTATAGATGGAATATATTCTGCAGTCTGCCTGAGTATATTCATTAGAGGGCTTAAATGCTATCTTCTGTTCCGTGAATTATTTCTGCTTCCTCTGGGCCAGTGTTTTTATTGCTTTCCTGCTTTTTCTCCTTCGCATGGATGGTCTTCAAATGCCTGGGGATCCTTCATGGCTCATTCACATGTAAGAGGGAAGGACACGTGTAAGAGGGTGGCAGGTTGGCATTTCCTCTGCTATGGAGTCAATTGGCCTCTCCATCCCCTCCTGTGTAGGCTGGGGTGGGGGCCTGTATGTGGGATGGGCAGGGATTTTCTCTGGAGCATCAACATCTTCACAGGTGCACACTCATAGTTGGCGGCCTTGCGGTTCAGAGGCCTTAGCTTTCCCCAGCAGTTTTCTTCTTTAGCGAAGAGCCTTCCAGGGTGTCGCTGAGTGAAATGCACAGAGGGCGGGAGAGGGTGAACCGCTACTTATGCAGTTATTTCATAAACGACCGTCAGTGACTCCCCTATGCTCAGCAACCAAATGTTGCTCTACAGAATCTCTTGCCCCTGAGCCCCGAGTCTCGGAGGCTCTGTCTGGTCACTGCCCCTCTCTCTGCAATTCTATCCTGAGCTGCAGCACTCTCTACCTGTGTAGCAAGCAACGCCTGCCATCCACTGTCTCCCAGGGATTGGTGACCCCCCACCCCTGTCCTTGTGTTGTGGGTTTATTCCTTTTAGTCTATTACATTTGCATTTCAGGGCCAGGGGGCGGAGGGGAGCTTGGAAGATTCTCATATGCACAGCCTTCAAAACAGAAGCTTTGCCTCAAGATTGAATTGGGGCTTGCCATGAAATAGAGGCTCCCATGACACAAATAAAATTGGACATTTATGGACGCTTGTAACACGCGAGCCTCTGTATTTTACATGCTTTGTCTTTTTTAGTTCTCATTGTTTTTATCCCCATTTTACAATTTAAAACTGAGATGTATAAAAATTAAGGAATTTGCTCCAAATCACATGGCAGGTAGAAAGTGGAGGCAGAATTCTAACCCCCGCCCACTCAAAGTGAAATCAGCCAAGTACCTGCCAAGCAGCTGGGGAGATGTTCCTGTGGGGCTGCTTCCAAAACCCCCACCCACATTTGTGTTACAGGAAAACTGCACACACCAGGCTTCCTCCAGAAGCTTCCCCCAAGAGAGGCAGCCTTGGGAGCCATCTGACCCAGCCTGGGGCAGGTATGGGGCTGCATCCTGCCCCTTCCTCTCTTCCATGCCATTAATGGGCCTCAGCTAGAGCCTCCCCTGGGGCCACCTCCTGCTCTGACAGCTGTAGGGAAGAGGAGGGAGCTGAGACTTCCTTCAAGCTGAGCCTAAGGCAGAGCTGTTCCACGGCATTCCCTCCCCTGGGCTGCAGGTAACACCACCCGAATGAGACGGGAATAAACACAGGGTGGGTTACAGGATAATTACAAAATTCCAGGCAGCAGTTTTGTCAGAAATGTTGGAACCAGAGCAACTCCATCTTGAATAGGGGCTGGGTAAAAACAGGCTGAGGCCTGCTGTGAGATAAGAGGTCAGCACAAGATACAGGTCATAAAGACCTTGCTGATAAAACAGTTTGCAGTAAAGAAGCCCACCAAAGCCGAAACCAAACCAAGATGGCAACGAGAGTGACCTCTGGTCGTCCTCACTGCTACACTCCCACCAGCACCATGACAGTTTACAAACGCCATAGCAACATCAGGAAGTTACCCTGTATGGTCTAAAAAGGGGAGGCATGAATAATCCACCCCTTGTTTAACATATAATCAAGAAATAACCATAAAAATGGGCAACCAGCAGCCTCGTCTGTACAGTAGCCATTCTATTATTCCTTTACTTTCGTAATAAACTTGCTTTCACTTTATTCTACAGACTTACCCTGAATTCTTTCTTGCACAAGATCCAAGAACCCTTTCTTGGGGTCTGGATTGGGACCCCTTTCCTATAACAATTTCACACGACTAGAGGTTATGGGCCGGTAAAACCCTGAAAACCAGGGTGTGTGGACCAAGCTGGCTGAGACCAACAGGACCCACCAAGGTGCTGGATGTGAGCCGGGTTCCTCCTAGGACCTCGTTATATGCTCATTAACATCCTAAATCACACACCTGCCAGCGCCAGGACAGTTCCAAGACCACCCGTATTTGGTGTAAAAATGAGTGGCACCACAATTCTGAGAAACGTCCACCTTTTTTCCAGGAATTTTCATGAATATCCCATCCCTTGGCTAAAGAAACCCATAAGGATGAAACCCCAAACCCCACTGTGCGATCCTGTCTTGAGAACGCCACACTCCCCTTTCTTGAGTGTGTACTTTTCGCTTTGCAATAAATCTCCATACTTTCACTGTTTTCTGACTCATCCTTGAATTCCTTCTCGAAATGGTGTCAAGAGCTGGGGTTGAGGTCCCAACGGCATTCGGGGACCTCCCCAGGCCCATCGGTATCATGAAGAGTAAAGTGACAGCCACTGCGTACTGAAGGACTACCATGGTCAAATACATCAGCTCCAATTCTCCATAACCCTTAAAGATAGGGACTAGCATCCCCATTCTCCTGATAAGAAAACTGAGGCTCAGCGGTGAAGGAACTTGCCCAAACCACCCAGCTGGTCAGCGGCAGAGCCGGACTTGAACTGGGTCTGAAATGTGCTCATGCCAGCGTGCCCTATAGACAGCGACAGGACTTCTACCTCCTCCACAGCCTGGCATGGCCCTGTTTAAATTTCGGTGCTGCAGAAGGAATAGCACTCGAATATAAAATTTTCTTTTTTAATTCTTAGCAAGGCAAGTTACTTCTATAGAAGGGTGCGCCCTTACAGATGGAGCAATGGTGAGCGCACACTTGGACAAAGGAGAGGAAGGGGGCTCTTATCCCTGAGGCACGTGGCCCCTGCTGCTGTGTCGTTCCCCTATTGGCTAGGGTTAGACCGCACAGGCTAAACTAATTCCGACTGGCTAATTTAAAGAGAATGATGGGGTGAGTGCTTTGGCTGGAGTCAGGGCAGAGCAGGTAGCAGGTAATCTGAATGAGTCAGGGTGGAGCAGGTGATCAGAATGAGTCAGGGTGGAGCAGGTGATCAGAATGAATCAGGGTGGAGGACATAATCAAAAAAGGTTGCTTTACGAGAAAGTTAAGTTTAAAAGTAGAAGGCAAAGAATTGAACATAGTGACATATTAATTCTTTGAAAATAAGTTTAGAACTCATATCTAATAGCCCTAAGGTGCAGCCAGGCCCCAAAGCCTGGGCTAAGGCTCAAGAGGCCCCTAGCCAAGGCGTTCCCAACGCCACTGGGTTGCGACCCTTGGGAGTTTTCAAAGGTGAACCTTGGGCACTGCCCCCTTCAGACCCATTGTCTGGGAAAAACAGCCACCTGATTGTTGGCCAAGATTCCGGATTAATCCTTCACCTGCCTGGCCCCAGCTGGCCACTTGACCCAGTGCTGTGCCCCAGCCAGGGATGTGTCCTTGCAGCCAGCAGCCCTTCCTTCAGCATTAATCACGTTTACAGCTGGCTCACAGAGCTGCCAGCCTGGTAGATGCAGCTGCGGAGAATGTGGGTTGAGGGGTGGTGGTAAAAAAAAAAAAAAAAAAACTCGCGGAGTCCAGGGAAGGGGGAGGGGGTGTGGGTGGGAATGACAGGAAAGGAACAGGATGTGAGGTCTAACTTTTAAGGGTAATTGTCACAAAGACTGGAGATTGTAGAGAAAACATTTGCAAAAGCATCTAGCCCACTGCCTCCCCTCTCCCAGAGGAAGTCAGTGCCAGATAGCAAAGAGGTAGGGAGGGGGTCTTGGTGCAGAGGGGGCACCAGGAAGGGCTGGAACGGGGCACTAGGTTCTCCGGGCGGGAAGCGCTGCACAGAGCCACTGGGCGGAGCGGCCGGAACTCCAGGGGAGCTCGCGCTGCCTGCCAGGCTCTTAGCAGGCTGAGCTCATGCAATTGCCCTGAAGACCCCGGATGGAGATCGCACAGTGCCCCCCTCACCGATGAGTCTCACTGCACTTTATGGCAGCCTTGCCTCAAGAAATTTCTATTTTCACCACCAAGGGTTGGTCTTAGGCTTCAGCCTTGGATCCTGCCCTCTGGGGACCCCTCTCCTCCTCCCCGACTTAGGAGGAGAAGGCAGGGCTGGGGCGGGTGAGCAGCCGAGGGTCTCCAGGCAGAGCTCCTCATGCATAAAACAGGCGGGCTTTTCCTCCGCAGCTAATCAGAACCTCTGGGCCGAAAGATGCAAATGAAGGGCCTCGTCAAGTCATTTCCCTTGCAAATGAAGCTGCCGCTCCGGCGCTTTTTCCTCTTGAATACCTCATCAACACCGCAGGTGACCCGGAGCCCGCTGCTCCGCTCGGCCCCGCCCCGGGCAGCTATTTGGCACATTTCAATTAGCGTAACGGGTGCCTGGTAAACAGCCGAGGCCGGCTGCGGGCACCTGCAATCCCCGACCCCCGACGCCCTCCCCGAGACCCTGGAGACGCGGCTCCGCCCCCACCGGTAATTAGGAGATTTTCAAGGCCTATGTCCCCAAAGCCCAGCCCAGCTGGAGAGATCAGCCCTGCGGTCCTGCCGCGCACTCCACCGCCAGCCTCTCGGGAGTCAAGGGATCCGCCTTCAGGGTGTAAGTGGGGCTGGGGAGCCTCGGGAGAGGAAGGGTGGTGTTTGGGGAGTCCAGGCCAGTTCTTAAGGCAGACGGCTACGGGCCACGTCCGCTGGCAGAGCTCAGCTTCAGATAAACCCAGGGATGAAGAAAAACTCAAGCCGCTCACCCTCTGGGTGCCTCAAAGTCTTTCTATCTGTAACATAGGCTAATGAAATTACCTTCCTTGTAGGGACTTAGGAGTAAATGAGATGATCTGGGTATAGCCTTTGCAACAGTATCTGGAACTTAGGAATTGCTCAATAGGGGCCAGGCGCGGTGGCTCACGCCTGTAATCCCAACACTTTGGGAGGCCAAGGCGGGCAGATCACCTGAGGTCAGGAGTTCGAGACCAGCCTGGCCAGCAATGGTGAACTCTTGTCTCTACTAAAAATACAAAAAATTAGCCGGGCGTGGTGGCGCACGCCTGTAATCCCAGCTACTCAGGAGGCTGAGGCAGGAGAATCGCTTGAACCTGGGAGAGGGAGATGGCAGTGAGCCGAGATGGCGCCATTGCACTCTGGCCTGGGCGACGAGCGAAACTCCGTCTCAAAAAAAAAGAGAAAGTGCTCAATAGATGCTAGCCACAATTTTTGTTAATATTCTATCAGCGCTTCCCTGAGTGCAGATATCAAACCCACCACAGAGTGTACAGTGATCCTACTACAGAAATAGCCACTTACCGTGGGAGGGAGGATGAATTACTTAACCTCTGTGCTGCTGTTCTTGAGCATAAATAATGTACCTATTTTGCCTGGCGGGGTGGCTCATGCCTGTAGTCCCAGCACTTTGGGAGGCCAAGGCAGGAGGATCGCTTGAGGTCAGGAGTTCGAGGCCAGCCTGGGCACCATAGCAAGATCCCGACTCTACAAAAAGTAAAAAAATTAGTTGGGCCTAGTAGTGTGCACCTGTAGTCCCAGTTACTGAGGAGGCTGAAGTGGGAGGGCCACTTGAGCTCCTCAGCCTCCTGGTTGAAGCTGCAGTGAGCTGTGATTGGGCCACTGTACTCTAGCCAGGGCAACAGAGTGAGATCCTGTCTCTAAAAATAAAGTACCTATTTTGTGGGGTTACTTGGGGGACTGACAGATAACAGAGCTCAAGTGCTCTTTAAGGACTTTGAACCAGATTGCTGCATCCAAATCCTGGCCCCACCCCACCTAGCTGTGTGACCTTGGGCAAACTACTTAAAGTCGCTATGCCTCTGTTCCTCCTCGTAGCATGAGGGCATGTAGTAGTTCTCACTACTAGGATTATAAGGCATTGCTAGAGAATACTTTTTATAAAGGAGTATCATGGCTTCATCAAATAGAACAAACACGTGTCCATGGTTTTATTTAACTCATTAATTCACGAGGGATCCTGCAAGGTGCTACAACCAAGTTCAAAGGAGAATTCAAAGGGCACTCCTAAGTAGGCAGTCAGGAACATGGAAATGAATTTACAAATAGATGCAAAACTGGCCACAAGGCAGGAATCAATTGCATTCCATCCAAAGCTTCCTTCTTGGCACTGAGCTTGGGTGTGGGGACCCCTTGCCAGGGCTTCTGAGGCCAGAGCTCCTGGGGTCATCATGGCCTGTCCAGCCATCCCTTTTCAGGACCTGTCACCTTGTAGGGAGCCTCCTAGGACTGGGACACAGGTTCCCCCACCCTCCGAATCATCTGCCCTCAAAGCTCCAATCCTCTTCCTTTCTGGGGAACATTTAGTGACATTTTGTGAAACTGTCTCCCATTCTCCAAGCCTCAGAGCCGTCCCACCCTCAGAAGTTTATCTTCCACCCTCCTAGCCCTTAGGGGTGGATGAGAGAGGAGAGAGAGGGGAGAGAGGGGAGAGAGGGGAGAGAGGAGAGAGAGGAGAGAGAGGAGAGAGAGGAGAGAGAGGGGAGAGAGGGGAGAGAGGGGAGAGAGGAGAGAGAGATCTGAATTCGGATTCTTTTAAAGTGAGGACAAATGACACATTACCACGCTGGGAAATCATCCTGCCCCAAATGGTCACTACTTTAAAATGTTACCTTGCGTCTGTTCAGAGGGGGCTTCTCAGTTCACCCAGGAGGGAGAGACCCTCAGAACTCTGCCAGTCATCTTCTCAGGGAAGCCTTTCCTGTCCTCACCTCCCACCTCGTCCCAGCAGCCCGGCTCTGCGTTGCCAGAACTCCAGGGCTTAGCTCAGGCCCTACAGGTGTGGTCTGTCTGCCTGCAATGACCCAGGAGCTCCCTGAGGGCAGGGCTGGGTCTTCATCTCCCCACTGTCTGGCATCATCCTAGCAGGGATGGAGCTCAACACATAGCCCAGCCGAAGTCCCCCAGATGAATGAGCAAACCCTGAGTCTTGGTTGAGGCTTGGTTCATGCAGCAGGCTCGTGCCTTGGCCCTGGGAAAGCTCCCAGATGAGTTGGGCTGGGCAGAGGTGCAGGGCCCTCAGCCTCTGGCTTACCCCACTCTCTTCCACTTTACTCCACTCCACTCTCATCTCCTCGATCCACCCCACCTCTGCTAGTTAGCGAAGCTCCTTGGAGATTCCTCTTGAATTTTCATTAATTTCTATTGAATAATTAAAACCAGGAAATTAATACTTTCATCCTAAACCTGAATTGCAGTGTGTGGTTTTTCATAATTATAATTCCACTGTAGCATTAAATGTTCAAGTGAGCCATCCCTCTCCAGGGGCAGAGGGGACAAAGAGCCATGTCCTGGGGGCTTAAACACAGTATTTGGCTCAGGATAGGCACGCAATAATTACTTTTTAATGGATGGATGGATGGATACATGGGTGGGTGGAAACAAAGACCTTTCCAGGACCCAGCAACTGATACCCCAAAACATGGCGCTTTGACATGAGGTGGCCTCAAGGTCTCTCTGACCTCCCCCGCAGTCCTCTGTCTCTCTCAGAGCACAGGATGAAGCCGATCTCTGAAGTTTCCTTATCTACCCGGAAACCAGACCTGCCAAAGAAGGATGCAATTGCCTTCCCTGAGGCTTTTCTTTTCTTTTCTTTTGAGTTTTTGTCTTTTTGTTTTTTTTGAGACAGAGTCTCACTCGGTTGCCCAGACTGGAGTGCAGTGACGTGATCTCAGCTCACTGCAACCTCCGCCCCCCAGGTCCAAGCAATTCTCCTGCCTCAGCCTCCCAAGTAGCTGGGACTACAGGCACACGCCACCACGCCTGGCTTATTTTTGTATTTTTAGTAGAGACAGGGTTTCACCATGTTGGTCAGGCTGGTCTCAAACACCTGACCTCAAATGATCTGCCCGCCTTGGCCTCCCAAAGTGCTGGGATTATAGGGGTGAGCCACCACACCCAGCCACTTCCCTGAGTTTTCATTACCAACTCATATTGCAGGAAGAAAGACTGCTGTCTGTCAACACACCTAGGCAGACTTGACACACTGCTCTGTGGGCCCAACAGACTCTGTCCCAGGCCATTATATGTTCTCTAAGCCCACAGAATCCCCCTAAAAATCATTTATCCTCTTAAAACATCCTTCTTGAAATCATCCCCATTTTCCCACCTTCCCTTCCCCTATGACAAAAGGTACATAAGTATCTGTGCTGGACACAGTAGCTCATGCCTATAATCCCAGCACTTTGGGAGGCCAAGGCGGGTGGATCACCTGAGGTCAGGAGTTTGAGACCAGCCTGGCCAACATGGCAAAACCCTGTCTCTACTAAAATACAAAAAATTAGCTAGGCATGGTAGCAGGTGCCTGTAATCCCAGACACTTGGGAGGCTGAGGCAGGAGAATCGCTTGAATCCGGGAGGCAGAGGTTGCAGTGAGCCAAGATCACACCATTGCACTCCAGCCTGGGGGACAAGAGTGAACCTCTGTCTCAAAATTAAAAAAAGGTATATAAGTATCTGTAAGCCACCAAGTTACTGGGTGATCATTCTACAATTCCCCCGTGCTATGCACATTACAATAAATTGTGAACGCCGTTTCTCCTATTAATCTGCCTTTGGTCAACTGATTTTCAGTGAAGCTTCACCCCTACATATCAACAGCCAAGAGAGCTGTTTGGAAGCTTCTGAAATTAGGGCTGACACCTCTACTTCCTGGGCTTTGTTTCTTTCATCGAAATAAAATGGAAATTGCAGGATACCAAGAGGGAGGAACCTGGTCAAAGAGGCTTTGCTTTTTCTGTCTTCCTTTTTTTTTTTTTTTTTTTTTTTTTTTTGAGATGGAGTCTCACTCTGTCGCCCAGGCTGGAGTGCAGTGGTACAATCTTGGCTCACTACAACCTCTGCCTCCTGGGTTCAAGTGATTCTCCTGCCTCAGCCTCCCAAGCAGCTGGGATTACAGGCCTGTGCCACCACACCTGGCTAATGTTTGTTTGCTTGTTTGTTTTTAGTAGAGATGGGATTTCACCATGTTGGCCAGGCTGGTTTCGAACTCCTGACCTCAGGTGATCCGCCCGCCTTGGCCTCCCAAGTGTTGGGATTACAGGCGTGAGCCACCGTGCCTTTTCTTTGCTTTTCCTGTATTCCTACCCAGTGCCAGGCCACCTCACATCCAGGTGTTCCCTGCCCTGCATCCAGCCTTGCCCGAAAGGTGGGATTCCTCAAACATGGCATCTATTCCGGGCTCTGGAACAGGCTGACTGATGAGAGGGAGCAGAAAGGTTTGGTCGCAGCCCACAGCCTGGACCCTCGGGGACAGCCAGGAGATTGCTCTCACAGGTGTGGACACCCTTCTAATCCCGATTACTACCTCTCTCGCTCCTGGCAGGAATTGGGGTTCCACCATGTCACCCTCATGGAGCTTTCGTTAGCCTTGTTTGGGATACAAAGGGGTAAGTGTCCCCTCATTTTAGAGAAAGATCAAGAGCCAGTGAACAGGATTTCCCAGCCAGGGACATGGAGCAGGGCACCTGCAGATGGTCCACGTGCTCTTGGCTGATGGCAGCCCACCTCCGGGAGGGGCCTGTGCACCTTTCTCCCAGGAGGAGGGAAGGACCCAATCATTATCCAGAGTCAACGGTGAGTCTCAGCCTCATGTTGTGGGTTGGGGGCAGCAGTGGTTTCTAAGGGGGTCTCAACAGGAAGAGGGTAAGGCTGACATAGCCAGGGGAGCAGGGAGAGAAGCCGGTGGGAGAGAGATGGGAAATGAGTGGGATATAGCCTCTAAGGTGAAGCTGCCTCCTAGGCCCACCTTGGGGGCTCCTGAGAGGTGGGAGATGCGGAGGGAGGGCTCTCCAGGTTCCACCTGCCCTTGTGTAAGTCAGGATGCCCAGGTTTTTTTTTGTTTTTTTTTTGAGATGGAGTTTCACTCTTGTTGCCCAGGCTGGAGTGCAATGGCATGATTTCAGCACACCGCAACCTCCGCCTCCCGGGTCAAGTGATTCTCCTGCCTCAGCCTCTCAAGTAGCTGGGATTACAGGCATGTGCCACCAAACCGGCTAATTCTGTATTTTCAGTAGAGACAGGGTTTCTCCATGTTGGTCAGGCTGGTCTCGACCTCCTGACCTCAGGTGATCCACCCGCCTCGGCCTCCCAAAGTGCTGGGATTATGGGTGTGAGCCACCACGCCTGGCCAAGTTTTTCAGGGCAGTGCTCCCACCTGGCCAATCAGAAGCCCCCGGGAGCCACATACCTCACCACCAGCCATCTAAGCGTCTCTCCATTGTGGGGCCCTCCCCATAGACACTGAGCTCTTTGAGAATGAGGATGGCTATGTTTACCACTGTATCTCAAGGTTCAAGTCCAGGGCCACCCACAGGACTGGAGTTCAGCAACTCTTAGAACAGGTCTGATCCTCACTCTCCCCTCCCTGCTCTGCTCCACCCATGCTAGCCTCTTTCCTCCATCTTGCACCTGCCTCAGGGCCTTTGCACAGGCTGTTCCTGCTGCCTGGAAGCTCATCCTTTTGGCTCACTCCCTCACTTCCTGCCCAAATGTCATCTCCATGAGATCGCCCTGGAAACCCAGGACTACCTTCCCACCTTCCACACTCCCTTGCCCTCTTGCTATAATTTTCTCTATGGCATGTATTAAATATTTGTTTATTGTCTGTCTTCTGCCAACTGCATTATAAGCTCCCCGAGAGCAGGCACCTTCTTTTGTACACAGCTGTATCTCCAGAGTGGTGCTTGCGGGCAGCAGGTTCTCAATAAACTCGATGAATGAATGAATGAATGACCATCCCTGGCCAGGGAAGGAGCACAGGGCATTGGGCCTAATAGGGGAAACCTGTTCCCTTTAGACCCAGCTGGCACGCAGGGGCCAAGTGGCCTGAGTTTGGCACCAGGGATTTCATCCTCTCCCTCGGTAGCAAATGGTCACCTGCTTCCAGGCCATCCTGTTCCCTCTCTGCTGGTGGCCATGGCTGCAGCAGCCCTCTCAGACTGAAGGCCCACTCTGATCTTTGGGACCACACTCCTCCAGGTCCTCCCCATGCTTTCCGGCTGTACCCTCATCCTCAGGACGAACCTCCGCACCTCCTCCCATCATCTCAGGCCCCATCTGCAAAGTTGGGATCAGAGAGAGGCCCAGACTGCGCTGGACAACTGAGCCAGTTTTCATTTCAAATCGAAGTTTAAAAGATGCCACTTTTAATTATGCTTGAGTGCAGTGTACCCTGAGGCCTTTTGTGGTAAATGGCTCTCAATAATCCCAGTTTATTCATTAATTATTATTAATTATTTTCTTAAGTAGTGGCAAGGGGACGCAGGGCCCCGCTCAGACCACAAGTCGCACATCGACTGTCAAATCCTCGATGAGCAGGCTCTGAAGAGTTGCCTGTGCCGGCTGCAATCTGGCTCGCCTGGGCCCGGGCTGGGGTGCCAGGAGCACTCTGGACTGAGGCGGGGCTTCCAGAGCGTGGGGCAGGGCTGGGGGAAAGGAGGGCCTGGAGGAGCCACAGGCCACACCGGACAAAAACACCTTCCACCAGGGTGGCACTTCACCTTCGGGAAGCTCCTTCACTGGATAATGAAGACTTTTGTCTTCAGCAAAGCGAGGAAGAAAAGAATTACCATTACCACCAGCCAAGGCACCTGACACATGTGGTCAGTGGTGAACTGGTAAACTCGTTCTCCAGAAACAAAACAATCATCTCAATCATCTAACATTTCTTTCCTCTTTTTTTTTTTTTTTTTTGATACAGGATCTTACTCTGTCACCCAGGCTGGAGTGCAGTGGCGCAATCTTGGCTCACTGCAGCCTCAACCTTCCAGGCTCAAGTGATCTTCCCACCTCAGCCTCTTAAGTACCTGGGACTACAGGCGCACACCACCATACCTGCCTAATTTTTGTATTTTTTGTAGAGATGGGGTTTCGCCATGTTGCCCAAGCTGGTCTCAAACTCCTGAGCTCAAGTGATCCTCCCACCTCGGTCTTGAGGCTTGAGCCACTGCACCTGGCCTACCATTTCATTATTTATGATTCTATAATATTCCACTGTAGGGGCATACAGGTCCCTTAACTTCTCAGTTCCTTACTACTGGGCCATTTCCCACTTTTCATTATTCTAAACAAATTTGATGAACAGGCTTTTGCATAGGTATCTACCCATACCCTCATTCACTTACCTAGGTGACATTTCTAAAGGTGAAATTAACTGATCAAAGGACGTGTGTTTTTAAGGCTTTGATGCACATTACTTAACTTTAACTAAACTCAGGAAAAACGGTGATAAATTATACCCCAAGGCCAGCACTTGGGAAGCTGAGATGGGTGGATCACTTGAGGTCAGGAGTTGGAGACCAGCCTGGCCAACATGGTAAAACCCCATCTCCACTAAAAATACAAAAATTAATGGGTGTGTTGGCATGTGTCTGTAATCCCAGCTACTAGGGAGGCTGAGGCAAGGGAATCGCTTGAACCCAGAAGGCGGAGGCTGCAGTGAGCCAAGATCACAGCACTGCATTCCATCCTGGGCAATAGAGTGAGACTCGGTCTCAAAAAAAAAAAAAAAAAAATACACACACACACACACACACACCCCAAGGATAGATATTTATAGGGGATCACACTGATCTTTATATACGAGGTCTAGAACAAGGCAAAATGCAAATAAGAAAAAGTCCTGAATTCTAGTACTTGCCAGTTTCCATGGTGTAATACTCCCATCCTGGCCAGTATGGAGATACTAACAATTTAACAACTGGCTTGCAAAATTCCTGAAAATCTAACAACCGTCTCTGGGAGCTCATGGGAGCTGACCCTGGCACCTTAGTGTGTGTGATGAGATTTCCTCCTTCTCTGAAAGGAGGTCATGGTAATTTCATCTGTCAACTTGACTGGGCCATGGGGTGCTAAGGTGCTGGTCAAACATTCTGGGTGTTTCTCTGAGAGTGTTTCTGGATGAGATTAACATTTGAAGGCTTGGTGCAGTGGCTCATGCCTGTAATCCCAGCACTTTGGGAGGCCAAGGCGGCCAGATCGCTTGAGCTGAGGAGTTCGAGACCAGCCTGGGCAACACGACAAACCCCATCTCTACTAAAAATACAACAATTAGCTGGGCGTGGAGGCGCATACCTGTAGTCCCAGCTACCTGGGAGGCTGAGGTGGGAGGATCACTTGAGCCTAGGAAGTTGAGGCTGCAGTAAGCCGTGCTCACACCAGTGCACTCCAGCCTGGGCAACAGAGTGAGACCCTGTCTCAAAAAAAAAAAAAAAGAAGCGAAAGAGGGAGGCAGGAGAGTCAGCATCAGAGGAATGAGATACAGGAAGGAGTCGACTGGTCATTGCTGGCTCTAAAGATGCAGGAAGGGGTCGAGAACCAGGGAGTGCAGGCAGCCTCTAGAAAACAGAAGAGGAAGAAAATGGATTCTCCCACAGAGCCTCCAGGAGGCAAGCAGGCAGCCCTGCCGACACATTGATTTTAGCCCAGTGAGGGCCGTTCCGGACTTCTGATGTTCAGGACTAAGATATATTGTGTTATTTTATGCCACTAAATTTGTGGCCATTTGTTTCCAAGACGGTGGTATTGTCCCCATTTAACCAGGTGATGGAACAAAATTTCAGAGACATAAACTCTGTGGGTCACAGCTAGTGATGGGGGCCCAAAACAGGGTTTGACCCCAGGGCTGTCTGACTCCATGGCCCACGTTCTTTGTTGTATCCCAGAAGAGAAGCCACTGTTTACACGAAAGCACCTCTGGGAAGGTTAACAACTTCGTCCTGTGTCAGGCACGGGAACTGCGTAGCCTTTCTTCATGAAACACCAGAAAATAAAAGAAACCGGCCGGACACGGTGGCTCTGTCACCCTAGGACTTTGGGAGGCCAAGGCGGGCAGATCAGTTGAGGTCAGGAGTGTGAGATCAGCATGGACAACATGGCAAAACCCTGTCTCTACTAAAAATACAAAAAAAAAAAAATAGCCAGGAGTGGTGGTGGGTGCCTGTAACCCCAGCTACGCGACAGGCTGAGGCAGGAGAATTGCTTGAACCCAGGAGGTGGAGGTTGCAGTGATCCAGGATCGCGCCACTGCCCTCCAGCCTGGGTGACAGAGCACAAGACTCAGTCAAGAGAAGAGAAGAAAAGCGGAGGGGAGGAGAGGGGGAGAAGAAGAGAAAGGAAAGGGAAGAAGAGAAAGGAAGGAAAGGAAAGGAAAGGAACAACCACAAGCATCCACATCCAGCTTAAGGCAGAGATGAGTTTGCAGGAAGGAGGGGAAGCCCAAGGGCCGGAGTGAACCAGGAGCTGAAAACCAGACGGTGGCTGCGTGAGTGTGGCCAGCGCAGGCCGAGGCTTCCTGGTCCTGGGGTCCAGGGCTTGGACTCTGACTCCTCCACGGAGATGAGAGGTGTGGCCTGGGGGATGGACATGCAGAATCGAGACCCCTGCATAAAGCCAGGCCCCTTCAGTTCTGCGGTCTCCGTGGAAGGACAGAGCAAAAACACCCATCCCCAGCACAGGGAGATTGGGAGAGGGTCTGTCACTATGGGAGAAGGAAGATCAGAGATATTGGCAGAGCGGTCTCCAGAACTGATTAAAATCAGGCACCAGCAGATTCAGGAAGCCCACTTGAGTCCTCAGCAGGCCCCAGCCCTGGACACAGGGGCTCAGGACACAGCCACTACTAGACAGGAGACTGTACCCTCCGGGCCTAGTGCCTTACCAAGCACTGCTCCTGGGAGAATGTTTGCTGAACGGATGGTGATGGGGAGAGGGAAAAGAGAGGGGAAAGTGAGGGTGTCTAAGTCCAGCTTGAGACAAGGCCGGGGGATTCATAGTCTCCACCCACCCTCTGCCTTCAGAGGTCCAAGGATGGGGTGGGCACCAGCATGGGGCTGGGGGAGCCATGGGGGCCAGGGGTATCTGCTGTGGGCTCAAGGAGCCCTCCCAGGGCTCAGACCCCAGCCTGAAACTCTCCCAGCACTCCAAAAGCCAAATCCCACCCAGCTCTGGGCTGCTTCATGGGGCCCCAGACTGGAGAAGACACCCCACGAAGGGTCTCTAAGGAAGAGGCGCTGGTGGTCAGGCCTGGGCAGCTGTGGGAGCTGAGAGTTTAATGGGGAGAACGTGCTCTGTTGGCTTCACGCTCCAACATCAGGGGGAACCAGCTGCACCGTTTCCCCAGAATCACGGTCTCTTGAGCCCAATATTCAAATATATGCAGACGTCGGAGCCTGGACTATTTTTAGCTGAGACTCAGAGGGAGATGATCTCAGGCTGACTCGGAGAGTGGCCCAGTCCCAGAGGAGCGCAGAATCAACCTGAAAAGTCAGGCTTGGGGACCACCCCCTTCTCCTGCTGTAAGCGCCTGGATTCTGCACCCCAGGTGCCCTGAAGGTCTGTGTTGTGGGTGTTTATTTGGGGCGGAGGGACTGGTCTGCATCCCTGGGGAGCTGTGTTCTCTTTCCTTCGATGCCTTTTTTCAGCAAACACTTTGCTTTTCTGCGAAAAGACAAAGCGGGCTGCATGCTGGAGCCAGCGGCCTGGCTAGGGGGCCGTTTACCTCCCGACTCGGGATGCGTGGCTCAGCCTCTTATTATCTTGAAAGGCAGCAGAAGTCTGACCCCTTCTGTGTGAGCTTCCCATGGCTGTTATAGTCACTTACCACCGGCTGTGGCTTAAAACCGCGGGAGCGTATTTCCTCACAGTTCTAGAGGCCAGAAGTCCAGCATCAGGGTGCCAGCAGGGCCGTATTCCCTCTGAAGGCGCCAGAGAAGGGTCCATCTTTGCCCTCCCAGCTTCCGGCGGTCACCAGCAGGCCTTAGTGTTTGCTGGCGCAGCTGCATGGCTCTGATCTCTGCCTCTGTCTTCACAGGGATTTCTTCCCTGTGTGTCCCCGGGTCCTCTTCTGATAAGGACACCAGTCATTGGACTTAAGGCCTCTGCTAATCCAGTCTGGCCTCATCTCAAATTGAAGAACATCTGCACACACCCTATTTCCAAGTAAGATCCTATTCACAGGCACCAGGGGTGCCTTCAATGCATCTTTTGGGGGGAACACAATTCAACCCACAGCATCTTCTGTGTTGTTCTGCCCAAGGACAGCCACCCCCCAGCAGCCGCGGTGAGAAGTTCCCCCAGGTTTGGGGTTTCCAATCTTGGGTGGCGGCAGGCTGGGAGCCAGGGACCGCTTGAGCCTTACTGTGCTCTCCTGCTAGGAGGGGCGGCAGCTCCTTGCCCCTGGAGACAGCGCGGCTCCCCAGAGCAGCTGAGTGTCTTGCAGTCATCAACAGCCACCTCATCTCAGAGGCAGCACCTGGAATCTTACCTGCCTCACCTCCTTTAGTCCTCAAAACACCTGTGTCCCAGGATTATGTCCCTTATTCTACAGAGGAGGAAGCTGAAGTGCAAACTAAGAGGAAGTTCCGAAGCAGCAGGTTGGGGTGCCAGGTGCCAGCCTGGTGAGGAGCTCGGGGCTCTCGCGAGGACCGTGACGGGGCTTTCACCCCATCTTCCCTTCTGAGTCGGGCTTGTTGGGATGGGGTGGTGGGGTCTGCACCTGCACAGCCAAGGAGGAGCAGGGCAGCCTCACCCTAGCACAGTCCTGAAAAGAGGGCCCCGCCCCCTTTAAGGGAATACGTGATTCCCTTTTAGAGAGTGCTAGGCCGATACTTGGAGGAGCCAGTGTGGTCGGGCAGAAAGGGGTGGACAAACCTAAACCCTACGGACCTCTTTTTTGAGACCCCAAACTGCCTGGGCTCTTGCCTCCCAGAAGTCAGATCTTCCCCAGGGGAGGGTGTGGGAAGGTGGGGTTAGGGAACATACAGGGTCTTTGGGAGCCTTCTAAGTCAGCCAAGGCAGCTGGGGCAGCTGCAGGGCCAGAGCACAGGGAAGGCAGGTCCCCAGGTCTAGCTGCTCGGCCTCCAGCCCCGCCAGGCCCAGCTAAGAGGGTGCTTTGGCTGCCAAGAGAAGAACCCAGGGTGGGGACTGCCTCCTGGACCTCCACAGGCAGCTGGCCTCCTACAGTCCTGCTGGGACCTGGGACCCCGTCCTCTCTGCTGCCCTTCAGCTTCCCTGGCTGTGAGGGACAGAACTTGTTACCAGCCTCCCACTCATGTTATTTCTCCTGCCCTTGAACTTCAGGACTGTCTTGGAGCCAGCCGAGGCCTGTTTGCATCCTTTGCCCCCAGGTCCAGCTGGATCCCCCACCTTTTCCTCCACTGGATTCAGCCTAGTGGGCCCTGGGCTGCAAGAGAAGTTGCTTCAGCCCAGGGGCTGGGGCTGGAGGCCAAGGCTTCAAATGAGGCCTCCCCAAGTTGGTACTCAACCTCCTCTCCCTCCTTGGAGGGCAAAGCCATGAGGGCTGCAGAGAGGAGCTAGCCAGGTATGATGGGTAAGTGCAGTGGTTCACAGTAGAACCACACTAGACACATAGAGGAGTGCTTTATGAAATGCTGATGCCCAGCTGGGTGCGGTGGCTCACGCCTGTAATCCCAGCACTTGGGGAGGCCGAGGTGGGAGGATCACTTGAGCCTAGGAGTTTAAGACAAGTCTGGGCAACATAGTGAGACGCCCCCCCACCCCCATCTCTATAAAAAAAATTAGCCAGGTTTGGTGACGCATGCCTGTGGTCCCAGCTACTCAGGAAGCTGAGGTGGGAAGATTGCTTGAGCCCAGAAGTTTGAGGGCTCCAGCCTGGGTGACAGAGTGAGACCCTGACTCTAAAAATAGGAAATTTTTTTTTTTTGAGATGGAGCCTCAACCTCCACCTCCTGGGCTCAAGCGATTCTCCTGCCTCAGCCTGCCGAGTAGCTGGGATTATAGGCGCGCACCACCATGCCCAGCTAATTTTTGTATTTTTAGTACAGACGGGGTTTCACCATGTTGGCCAGGCTGGTCTCGAACCCCTGATTTCAAATGATCTGCCTACGTCGGCCTCCCAAAGTTCTGGGATTACAGGCATGAGCCGCCCTGCCTAGATATTTTGGTTTTTGGTTTAATTGGCTCAGGTGAGTCCATGGGCTGAGGGGCTTCATCACACCTGTTTCCTCACCTGTGAGTGGGGAGGGGTGGTCACCTGGCAGGGCGGTGGTGAGGCCGGCCCGTGCCTGCCCTTCCCTCCACTGTTCAGAGTTGGGCCAGGGCTGAAGGAGGCGTGGCCAGCTTCAGAGGAAGGTGTGGGAGCCGCAGCTCTGCCTGGCACTGACATCTGGGCTGCAAATTCTTTCTAATTCTCAACTTCTCCCCCACTACTGCCAGCCAGCCCCTTCAGCTTCATTTAAAAGTTCAGACAGGATTCAAAAGTAGGTTGATATATAAAGACCTATTAAAACTCAATACTAAGAAAACAACTCAATTAAAAAATGGGCAAAAGACCTGAACAGACACTTCGCCAAAGACGATACACAGATGGCAAATATATATGTCACGTCATATGTCATCAGGGAAATGCAAATTAAAACAGCAATGAGATACCACTGCACATCTATCAGAATGGCCCAAATCCAAAACACTGACAACCCCAAATGCTGGTGAGGCTGTGGAGCAACAGGAATTCTCATTCAGGGCTGGTAATACAAAATGCTATAGCCACTTGGGAAGACAGCTTGGCAGTTTCTTACAAAGCTAAACATACTTTTACCATACGATCCAGCAATCGTGTTCCTTGGCATTTACCCGAATTAGTTGTTGGAAATTGTGTCCAGGAGCTTCTGGACAGCTGAACATGTGGAGGTTCCTGGGAGGTGGCCGTCCAGGGAGGGCACGGAAGTTCCGTGTCCTCCGCCCCCTTCATACCTCACCCTACGCATCTCTTCATCTCTACTCTTTGTAAAATCCTTTACAATAAACCGGTAAACCTAAGTATGGCCATGTGACTAAGCTCTGGCCAATGGAGCACAATCAGAAGCAGCATGAGCTGACTCCCCCTCTCCTTTTTCTCTTTCATTGGATGGAATGAGGCCTTAGAGGGGACCCATCTTGGACCGGATGAGGACAACAGTCCAGAAATGCTGGAAGACCAAGCTGCATCTTTGGCAGATTATATTTTCCAAAGATAGAGGCAACACTATATCCCATTCCACGAGCACTTCTTCTGCTGTGACTTTGACACCCCTCCCATTGAGGGGTGGCATCTATGTCCCCTCCTCATGAGCTGCAGCAGGAGGAGCTTTGTGACTCTCTTGACCAATAGAGTATGCCAGCATTGACAGCATGTGGCTTCCAAGGCTAGTTCAAAAAAATGCCTTTCACTTCCACCTTATTCTCCTGGGATGTTCACTCTTGGAACCCAGCCACCATGCTGCACGGAAGCACAAGAGTCCTTGGAAAGGCCTACATGGATGGGAACCATGGCCCCCAGCCCAAATCCCCTGCTGAGCTCCCCAGCCGACAGCACCAACTTGCCAGCCACATGAGTGAGCTGTCCTGGAAGTGATTCTCCAGCCTTGGGGCAAGCCACCTCAGCTGATGCCATGTGAAGCAGAGACAAATTACCTCCACCAGGCCCTGCCCAAATTGCAGATCTGTGAGCAAAACAAATGACTGTGACTGTTATAAGCAGAAAAGAAAATAGAAAAGAAAATGGATTCCACTCAAAAACTTGGAAGTGAACATTTATAGCAGCTTTATTCAGAACTGCCAAAACTTGGAGGCAACCAAGATGTCCTTCAGTAGGTGAATTTGTAAACAAACTGTGATCCATCCAGACAATGGAATATTATTCAGTGCTAAATGGAAATGAGGCACCGGGCCACGAGAAGATGCAGAGGAATGTTAGATGCATGTTACGAGGTACTAGGGGGAAAGGAGCCAATCTGAGAAGGCTACAAACTGTAGGGCTCCAACTACCTGATGATCTGGAAAAGGTGAGACTACGGAGATGGTCGGAAGATCATGGTTTTCCAGGGTTAGGAGGAGGCAGAGATGTACAGGGGTAGCACAGAGGATTTTTAGGGCAATGGAACCACTCTGTATGGTGCCATAATAGTGGATACATCTCATTAAAGATTTGTCAAAACACGTAGAATACACGGCACCAGGAGTGAGCCCTAATGTGAACTGTGTTTGGTTGATGATACGTCAGTGTAGGCTCATAGATTGGAACACATGGACCACTCTGGTAGGGGATGTGGATGGTGGGGGTGGCCTGTGTATGTGGGGGAGGTGGCATATGGGAAATCTACTTTCCACCCAACTTTGCTGTGAACATAAAACTGCTCAAAAAAATAGTCTTTTTTTTTTTTTTTGGAGACAGGGCCTCACTCTCACTCAGGCTAGAGGGCGGTGGTGCGGCATGATCACAGCTCACTGCAGCCTGGACCTCCCGGGCTCAAGTGATCAAGCGATCCTCCCACCTCAGTCTCCCAAGTAGCTGAGACCACCGGCACTTGCCACACTAGCTAATTTTTAAATAATTTTTGTAGGCCGGGCGCCCTGGGTCGTGCCTGTAATCCTAGCACTGGGAGGCCGAGGTGGGTGGATCACCTAAGGTCAGGAGTTTGAAACCAGTCTGGTTAACATGGCGAAACCCTGTCTCTACTAAAAATACAAAAATTAGCTGGGCGTGGTAGCAGGTGCCTGTAATCCCAGTAATCCCAGCTACTCGGGAGGCTGAGGCAGGAGAATTGCTTGAACCTGGGAGGCGGGGGTTGCAGTGAGCCAAGATCACACCACTGTACTCCAGCCTGGATGACAGACTCCATCTCAAAAAAATAAAAATAATAACAATTTTTGTAGAGATGGGTTCTTGCCATGTTGCTTGAACTCCTGGGCTTAAGTGATCCTTCTACCTCAGATTCTTCCACCTTGGCCTCCAAAAACGCTGAGACAACAGGCGTGAACCACCGCACCTGGCCTTTTTTTTCTTTTTTCCCCTAACTAGGCTCAGTTCCTAAAAGAAGGCCTTGGTCAGGTTTCTGAGCCCTACCCCCCTCCTGCTGGACAAGATCATGGAAAATGCCTGGCTCAGCTATTCTTTTCTCAGCCTCTTTTAAGCAGCATAGCAGAGAGGGACAGAGGTAGAGACAGAGAGGGACTGAGATCTGGGCTCTTCCTCCAGCTGTACGATATGGACCAGGCCCCTGTTCTCTTCGGGCCTCCATCTGTAAAATGAGGGGACAGGAGGAATTCTGATGGCCTGTGGCTTTGATCTCTGTGAGCAGATTTGGTTGTATGAGGTCTCTCCCCTGGCATTACATGCTGGAACAGAAGAAAATGGCCATAGTCACTGTTAATTAAAAACTGGTACCAAGTTATTGGTACTCTCACGTTTGAAATACCTACTAGTACCTGCTTGGTCTAGACCAGCTGTTCTCAAAGTATGGGCCCTGGCCCCCTGTAGTAGTAGCAGCAGCACCCAGAGGTTTTTTCTGTTTTTGTTTTTGTTTAGAGAGATGAGGTCTGTGTTACCCAGGCTGGTCTCTAACTCAAGCATCGGCCTCCCAAGTGCTGGGATTACAGGTGTGAGCCACCATGCCTGGCCTTTTTCTTTCTTTTTCTTTTTTCTTTTTTTTTTTTTTTGAGACAAGGTCTTGCTCTTTGCCCAAGCTACAGTGCAGTGGCACAATCATGGTTCACTGCAGCCTCAAACTCCTAGGCTCAAACCATCCTCCCACCTCAGCCTCCCGAGTAGCTGGGAACACAGGCGCATGCCACAAACCTTGGCCTTTTTTTTTTTTTTTTTGTAGAAACGAGGTCTCATTACGTTGCCCAAGCTCGTCTCAGACTCCTGGGCTCAAGCAAGCCTCCCGCCCACCTGGAGCTTATTAAAGACTCAAATCCCAGGGCCCAACCCCAGATCTGCTGAATCAGAAACTCCGCAGGTGGGGGCCAGCAACATGTGTTTCAGTAAGCTCAGGAATCAGGTGATTCTGATGCATGCCAAAATTTTAGAACCACTGGCCTGGAACAGGGTGTGTGAAGCTTGGCGCTGCTGATGCTCCAGGCCAGATCATCCTACGTGGTATGGCTGTCCTGTGCACTGGAGGATGCTGCCAGCATCCTTGGACTCTACCCCACTGGAGGCCAATAGCATGCCACCCCTGTCTCAAGTCACAACAATCCAAAACAGTGCCAGCTGTCCTCCAGGGAACAAAACTGCCCCAGTGGAGAACCCTTGGTGGGAAGGAAGGCCCTGATTGTGCAGTGACTCAAATACAGGATCACATAAAACCTGGAGCGAAGGCCTGGCGCAGTGGCTCATGCCTGTAATCCCAGCACTTTTGGTGGCCGAGGTGAGTGGATCACCTGACGTCCGGAGTTTGAGACCAGCCTGGCTAACATGGTGAAACCCCGTCTCTACTAAAAATACAAAAAGTAGCCGGGTGTGGTGGCACACGCCTGTAGTCCCAGCTACTCGGGAGCCTGAGGCAGGAGAATCGCTTGAACCCAGTAGGCAGAGGTTACAGTGAGCCGAGATTGTGCTACTGCACTCCAGCCTGGGTGACAAAGCGAGACTCCGTCTCAAAAAAAAAAAAAAAAAAAAGCCTGGAGCGAAGACGTGCATGCAGGGTCACCATGCCAGGCTGTCACTCTATCCAGCCATTTGCTCCTCACCATGACTTGAAAATGATCCCCATTTTATAGCAAATCCCACCTCCCTGCTTACAAGCTGTGTGACCTCGGGCAAGTTACTTGAACTCTCTGTGCCTCTCGCTGTAAAATGGAAATATTAACATAATAGTACTTACCTGCTAGGGTAGCTGAGTGCTTGAAATGACAACTCAAGCATGGAACAAACTCTCAGCCCAGTGCCCGAGGAGGTAAACACCGGCTCATTTTCTCATTATGTGGCTCAGGCTCTTAGCAAAATGGATTTGTGTTCTCTGACCTCGTGCGGCCACTGTCACAGCCAGCTGGAGGTAGGCAGAGGCCAGCCTGAGGTGAACATGACTGAGTTCACCACTGCTTGTCAGGGTGCCTGCAGTCACGGCTCTGGGGCAGCCAGGAGATGACCCTGGGTCACTGCCACCAGCAGGGACTTCCTTTGGGCGGCTTGGAGCAGACAGCACCCAGCTCTGCAGACCTGAGCACCCCATGTGCCCCAAGTGACATGGAGCAGAACCCGGGGACCCCGGCTGTCTGCCCTCCACCCTGGGCGAGCTCCGGATGCCGCAGGAAAAGACGAGAATCCAGCACAGTTCCTCTTCTGCACCTCACATCCCAATAAAATATTTATTATTTCAAGAAATAAATCTTTAAAAAAAAGAGAGAAAAAGAGTGTCTCTATTGCTTTCCCCCACAGGTTAGTCCTTGAGAACCAATGAGATTTTTTGCCATCGTGGTTTCTGTGGCTGCAGGGGCCAGCCAGGTCTGGAGGGGACTCCCACAGGAAGCGTCCAGCCTGGCCCCTCCACCAACTCTCAGCATCCCGGGGCTGCCTCCCGGGAAGGGTGGAGGAGCAGGCCTAGGCTGGTGGGTGGGGTTGCCTGGAGAGGGAGCGGGATTATAAAACTGGGTGGGTGGCAGTGTTCTGAAGGCCTGACCCGCTGAGGCAGGCGGGGCTCTGGGCATGGGGGGGAGGGAAAGGGGGCATCCTGGGGCAGGCGTGCCACTCGGAGAAGGACAGCTAGATCCAGAGGCGGTTTGAGGCTGGAGGAAGCTGGAGGTAGGGACAAGGACTCGGCACTGATGGGGTGGGGGGCTACCTAGGGTAAGTGGACAGGGCAACTGGAAACTGGGCAGGGCGTACCATGGGGCTGAGGGTCCATCCCAAGCCCTTGTCTGCAAAAAATGCCAGGGAGTGCGGGAGTCAGCACCTGCGGAAGTGGCTAGTGCATGAAGGCCACCCCCCAGGCAGGGGTCCCAGAGCCTGATCTCTGAGGCTGGACTGGAAACCTGCCCCTTGGAGGGGGTAGGGATTGAGGCTTTGGAACAAATCCACCACCTGGAGTTGCAGGTCATGCCAGGATGGGTTTTGGGAGAAGCCCAGAGTGAAAAGGGTTGGAACAAGCAGGAGAGAGAAACAATTCAACCAGGGTCTGGGTGGTCCCTACACCCCCAACTGTGGTCCTCAAGTGTAGAGGGAGGGTGGGGGAATCGGGAAATCGGGAGGGAAGGGACTAAGGGGAGGCACAAACAGGACCCCTCGGCTTAGCCTTCTCCCAGCCCCCTGCCCCTCTGTCCACATCCCAAACACCAATGGGCCCTGTGTGCCTGGCTCCCCTCACAGGAGAAGGGCGAGCCCCCAGTTTCCCTGCCTGGAGCAGGTACCACCCAGGCCCACTCTCCAGGGCCATGGGGAGGGCCCCTCCTTGGACCCTTCAGGGACCGTGGGGCAGCCTGGTCCCTGTTCCTCTCCCTTGCAAGTCTAGAGGCCCCATCCTGGGCCCAAGAACGACTGGGCCCCTTTCGCCACCTGGCCCAGATCCGGCCTTGCACAAAGCCAGGGGCCTCCGACCACCTGCTCCTGGGCCATGCGGACTCTGAGCAGTCCGACACCTGCTTGGCCACGATGCTTCTGTGAGTCCCCAGGAGAGAACCGGAGCCTGCCTGGGAGGTCCCAGGGGCTCGGCATGCTGCCTCCTCCTATTCCCGGGCACGGCTCTCCTCTGCCAGCTTCCCGGCTAAGGAAGGAAGCTCCGGCCTGGGGGGGTTGCGAGGAGGACAAGCAGCCAGGGCTCAGAACCTGCTGGTGCTTTCTCCCGCGGCAGGAGAGAGCCAGCGTGGGTGCCAGGCAGGGCGGCAGAGGCGGATTCACAGACAGCCCTGGCACAAGGCCACCTGGCCCTTGCGGAAGTCGCGGCAGGGGCAGAGCCGGCGGTACTTGGTGTTGGAGCCGGCGCAGCTGAAGAGCAGAGGCTCCTTCTGCAGGTAGCACTCCTGGCCAGGCTGGGCGAACGCCGGGTACAGGTGGTTCATCTCCGACTCGGTGCTGTCACAGGGCACCTGCAGCCTGGCAGGGACCACACAGCACCGTCACTCAGCGTTGGTCACTTGGGCAGAAGGGCTGGGGCGGGGTAGGGGCTGCCCCCAGCCTAGTCCTGCCTGCTCCCCTTCTCTGGCCCATCCCATCCCAGCCTGGGTAAGGAAATGTGTTACGGCTCCTTTATCCCACCTGCTGTCCAAGGGACCCCTGGAGAAGAGAGGGGCCTGGCCTGGAGGGGCTGGGGACCCAGGCAGACCCAGTAGGAGGAGCACCTGGGACAGCTTTCATGGTCTGGGACAGGACGATGCCCACAGGCTGGGCAGGGGGCTGAGTGGGTGGAAGAGAGCAGGCAATGGAAGGAGCTTTCCCTGGTAGTTTAGGGTTTGGCCAAGAGTAGGGCAGCAATGACCTGGATAATGGCCTGGAGGATCCCTTCTGGATCCTTCCTGACTCATTGGAAAGCATTACATCCCCCCACACTGGCAGGGCTGAGGGCCGGTTCTGGGCATGAGAGCTCTCAGTGAACCCGGCTGGGCCAGCGATGATAGCGGCTGGGTGGGGAGGGTGGGGGAACACTCACTTGAGGAAGGCGTCCTGGCTGTTCAGGAAGGGGAAGAAGGAGGGCTCACAGATTAGCCCGTGGTCCAGGCAGGTGTCGGTGCAGGCCCTCCCAGGCACGGCCAGCCAGGCCCGCAGGGCGTGCGCGGGGGGCCAGGCCCCAGGAGCCAAGCTGGTGTTCCGAGCCCACTCGAGGTGGGTGGCATTGGGGGCCAGGACAAAGGGGCTCTGCGGGGCGTGGGCCTCTGGTAGGGCAGGGTCTGGAGCTCTGCAGAAGTCCTGCAAGGAGGAGAGCAGTGTCAGGGTGGGGAAGTGCGACCCAGGTGTGCCTGGGAGACACCTGAAGGTGTGGCCCTGCCGTGCCAGTACGAGCCACCACTACTGGGCGCTTACTGAATACCAGGTAGCTTTACCTGCATTATTTCATTTACTTCTCATGGACACTCGTGTCTCCAGATCGCTTACAGGAATTATGGAGGCTCAGAGGTCACGGCATCCGCCCAGGGCCTTGGGGTTGGATGGCAGAACAGGACTTGGATTCAGGGCCCTCTGCATCCTGTGTGCCCTGGAGCTGCCTCGATGCTCAGGTCAGGCTGGGGTTCCTACCCTGGGGCCCACGAGCCCTGCCCTCCATGGGGACAGGGCCCCAGGCTGGCTGTGAGGCTCTCCCTGCAGGGTTCAACTCCAGGGGCCGGAGGGCCCCGCGAATGCTTTTCTGTGAGCTTCCAGTCTGGGTCCAGTCCTGGGTTCTGGCCACGGCCCTGACCCTCACCCCCTCACCTGAATACACTCTCCCTTCTGGGGGTTTCAGTATTCCCATCTGTAAAGGGACAGGGGAGAACCAGACTCTCTCAGCCCCTAATATTGGTGGGGCCAACAAGATGGAAAGGGAGGTCACGTACTATCTGTGGAAATTTCTTACAGCCATACGGCCACCTGCCCCAGGGCCCTGAGCCCAAGGCCCACCCCAGGCATCACCCTGGACACCCGGGGCCTGCAGAGCCACGCTCCATCTGGGCCACCTGCAGCCCTCATGGTGGCTCAGATCCACCAGGATGCAGTGGAGGGCCAGGACTCCCCAGGAATAGGGCACGCCCTCCTCCTCACCCACGACTTCCAGGCACTCTGAGCACCCGTGGGAGGAGAAGGAGTGTACTCCTTGGACAGGTGCCTGCCCAGGCGCTCCCTCGGGGGCTGAGGTGGCCGAGTTTTTGAAACCGTGGGGCTGTCCCCTGGTTTCTCAGGGCAGAGATCCTAATCTCCCATTCCAGTCTCACTGCCATCCTTAGCAGGTGGGCGGAGAGTCTGGGGATCTTCACTTCCCATTCAGTTACCAAATCCCAATCAGTTAGCAGACTTTCGAACCACTGTTTTCTAAGAACGGAAGTCTTTGTGTTTCTGTTAGTGCCGTGGAGTTGGGCTCTAAGGCTGGGCCCAGACAGCAGGAGTGCCCGGAGTGTGCTGCTTTCCAGGCCCGCAGTCAGGCCTGCCTGTCTCCAGCCCTGAGGGAACTCTGGGAAGAGACTGGACAGGCTGGAGGAGGGAGCAGGGAGTTGGATGGTTTCACGGGTGCAGGGCCCTGGGCAGACAATGAAGCTGGCTCAGCCCCCTCCTCTGGTCTGACAGGATCTGGGGCAGGGACCAGAGGGCTCACTGACCTGGTGCTGGATGTAGGCGTGGATCCGCTCCAGCATCCCCTCGCAGGTGTACTCGTAGGGTAGGTAGGGGTCTACCTGTGGGAGGGATGGGCAGACACATGGGGCGGGAGAAGGCCCAGCCGTCGGGGGCCCTGCCATGCTCGGCATTGGGGGTGGAGGTCTGGTGGGCTCTCACATCCTGTGCCATGCCCAGGGAGCCGACCACCCCATCCACCTGGCCCTTCCACCCAGCTCAGAGTCCCCGTTCCCCGCACACCCTCCAGTAGCCCTCCGGGACTCAGGCTCAGGACCCACAAGGCCCAGCCTCATCCCTCCCCACCCCCTCCCAGGTCCCTGTCCCAACTGCAATGAGGATAAAGCTCAGCGCTGTGTCCCCTACTGGGCTTTGACACCTCCTCTTCCCACAGCCCACCCACCCTCTTAGGCATCACCTGCTCCAGGGAGCTTTCCCTGAGCCCCACCCCCACTCCTGTTACAGGAACACTTTCCTTGGTGACTCCCAGCACCCCAGACTTCCCCCAGCACAGAATGAGCCCCTGTGTTATTGTCTCCTGTGTATTCGTCATGTCTCTCATAAACTTATGGACACCTTGAGGGTGGGGACTATGGCTTGTTCACACTGAATCTCCAGTGCCTGGCACAGTGCCTGGCATACAGTGGGTGCTCAGGAAATAGTCATGGAATGAAAAGGCATCCCCAGCTCTGCCTGTATCCTGCCCAAGACATGGGACATTCATGCAGAGGAACACAGGGGCATCTCCCAGTCAGCGGGAATGAGATGACATTTGTAAAGTACCCTGCCCCCACAGGCACAAACCCCCAAACAGAGGCCACAGGTTGTCTGTCTAAATATCTAATAGTTAGCCCGGCACGGTGGCTCATGCCTGTAATCCCAGCACTTTGGGAGGCCGAGGTGGGCGGATCGCCTGAGGTCAGGAGTTCAAGACCAGCCTGGCCAACGTGGTGAAACCCGGCTCTACTAATACAAAAAAAATTAGCTAGGCGTGGTGGCAGGTGCCTGTAATCCCAGCTACTTGGGAGGCTGAGGCAGGAGAATCACTTGAACCTGGGAGGTGGAGGTTGCAGTGAGCTGAGACTGCACCATTGCACTCCAGCCTGGGCAACAGAGTGAGACTTTGTCTCAAAAATAAATAAATAAATAAATATCTAATAGTCACACAGCAACCTGTCCTGTGGGCAGATGCATGCAGTAGCTTGGGTAAAAGAAACCAGGGGAGTGGAGGGAAGAGTGACAGAGGAGTAAGGGGGTACTCCTGCCTCCCCCCGACTTCTTAACCAACCAACCCCTTCCTGTTCCATTAACCTTCTCAGGCCCAGTGCAGAGCCACCGTGGAGAAAATCACTGACCTGAAAGGGCAGGGGCAGCAGTCAGGACTCAGGAAGGAGCCATCCCGGACTCAGAGAAAGGTCTGTTTTAGGCTTCAACCTCCCCACCCCACCATGCCTGGTGGCACCTGACCTGGCCCAGCCCATCTCCTAATGAGGCCGCTTTCCCGTCTTTAGCCAGTGGGTGAAATCTAACTGTTTGACTCAAGCCTGCAACCACCTCCTTTCTTCCTCATCAGCGTTGGGTGGTGCTAGAAAGTCCAACTGCGCCAAGCTCGGTCCTGCCTTCTGTGTACCCCACTTCTTAGGAGACTCGTCCTGGGGCCTCTGGCCAAGGGGACATCCCTGACACTCAAGGGTCCCAGGGAAGCGGCAGTCACTGATGTCCTTGAAGCCGGACATTGCCCCAGCACTGACGTCCCCCTGCACTGTGCGTGGGTATTCTCAACGCTGGGGCAAGTTCGAAGTCCCGGAGAATCTGCAGGTCCCATCCCCAGCCCAGCCTTGAAGCCCCGTGCTCTGCACAGCCCTGTCCCGACCTGCTCTCATTCCCGAGCCGATGGCCCAAGAAGACCCTGGCAGCCAGTTGCTGCCCCAGCTGGTTCCCTAAACACTCATGACGAAGTCCTGGGAGCCTCTGAGCCCCACACACTTCTGGGGGTCTTGCGGGGACAAGGCTTCACTCTCAGGTTATAAATAAAACTCCCCAGAGAAGAGCTTTCCCCTCCAAATGCCGCTCCCCGGCTCCGTGACAGCAAATCTCTGAGTTACTCTTGCTCCTGTGTCTGTAAGCCCTTGTCACAAGATAATTCAAAGGTCCCTGTGTGAAGCAAACACTCACGGCCAACGACGACGACGACGTTCCGCCTGCCACGAATCTCCTGCCGGAGGAGCCAGCCTGCCTGGCCTGGAAATTACCCCCATTAGGTCTAATTACAGGTGTGCGCCCTAATCAGTCTCGACAGAGTGACAGGTGCTGATCCTGCCTGGGAACTGCTGGCCTGCGGGAATGACAGCAGGGAGGGGTGCAGCGGAAGCCAGTGTTGGCATCACCTTGAATGGCCTTGCTCTGGACACAGAGATGTCCACAGGCAAACCCAGGGAGGTGCAGAGACACAGAAGGGGTGCCGGGCCCTGGTTTTCCATGGCTGTCAGGCCCGGGGCCGGCTCGCTGTGTCTTAGACCTCCCTCTTCTCACCTCTTCTTCTCACCTCTTTCTCCCCATCCTGGCCGCTCCTCCCTCCCTCTCCCTGTAAAAGGCCACATGACTTGCAGAACAAGCCACTCCCCATGATGGCAGCCCTCATTTGCTCTCAGCCTCCACCAGCTGTCCCTAAATCTGTTTTCTAAAATAGAATTATTAGGCCGGGCATGGTGGCTCATGCCTGTAATCCCAGCTCTTTGGGAGGCCGAGGCGGGAGGATTGCTTGTGCCCAGGAGTTCGAGACTGGCCTGGGCAACAAAATGAGACCCCCCCCCCACCCCACCCCATCTCTATTCAAATAATATAAAAAGAAAATTTTAAAAAAATAATAAAATGGGAAGATTAGAATTACCCAGAGTTCTTGTTTAAAATGCAGATTCCCACGCGAAGCTGGGTCCTATTAAATGGGAAGGTGCGGGATAGGCTCGAGGATCTGCATTTAAGGCCCTCCCCCCGGGTGACTCTTGGGCACATAAATGTTTTTGAGCTGCTGTGAGCTGAGGGGGTGAGCTGTTATGCGGAGGGGTGGGGCCCACAGAAGGGAGGGGTCTGAAGGCAGAGGGGCCTCCGTTGGTTTGGGGCCCAGCACAAATCTCAGCTGGTCAGATTTGCAATACCTTGCTTCCTTAATCCTTTTGTAATTGTTATTTTTTAATTAACTAATTAACAAAATTAAACAGATGTTCATGTAAAAAAAAACCAAACAGGAAAGCAATGAAAGGGAAGTTTCCTCTCACCGCAGACAGTCAGTCCTTCCCCCAGTTATCAATTTCTTGTGTGTCCCACCAGAAATACCCGCGACTATCGCAGCACCTTCATGCACACAGCCCTCCCCCGACCCCGCTTTCTGGGCCTCCCGGGGGGGCAAGTTATCCCCAAGGTGGAGTGTCTCGCTCTTTTAGCTTAACAATGTGTCTTGGAGGTTGGGCCAAACGCTGCTCCCCACATTGGAAAAGTCTATGTAGTCCCCCTCCCCAGCCTTGCCCGAGCCCCTCTGCAGGAGAAGTCTTAGAGGATTGGTTTGCAAGGGGAGGGGAGAGGGAGGAGAGCAGAGGGAGGTGGGTGGAGAAGTGGGAGAAGAAGCTGGAGGAGACTGTGGGGTGACAGGAGCCCCCTTGCCTACCTGTACGCCTTGTTGCCAGCTTCCCCGTGCAGGGGGCTGGGGTTGGTCAGTTTCCAGCAGTGAAATTAATCAGTTAACCCCCTTCACTCTTCTTTCCTATGCACTGAGGTCCCTACCTAAGGCCTCCTTCCTGGCACTGGTACTTCTAGCCCCATTTAAGCCTATAAGCTGGTACCAGTCAAATACCTGGCCCTCTTCCTAGGGCGTGGCCAAGGGGCCAAGTTCCTATTTATCTTTTTAAAATTTTTTTGAGATGGAGTCTCGCTCTGTCACCGAGGCTGGAGTGCAGTGGCATGATCTCGGCTCACTGTAACCTCCACCTCCCAGGTTCAAGCGATTCTCCTGCCTCAGCCTCTTGGTGGATCACAGTCGTGTGCCACCACGCCTGTCTAAATTTCTTTTTGTATTTTTAGTAGAGATGGGGTTTCACCATGTTGGCCAGGCTGCTCTCAAACTCCTGGCCTCAAGTGATCCGCCCGCTTCGGCCTCCCAAAGTGCAGGGATTACAGGTGTGAGCCCCTGCTCCTGGCCTCTAGTTGCTTTTGCTCTACAAGGCCTTGCCAGAACTTAAGCCACCAGCCCAGGACAGGGGACAACACTGCGTTGAGAGCTAGCAAGGGAGCTTTTTATCCCTCCCCACTCTGTCTAGGCCGGTGCTTTGCTAGGATCCAGCATTACAAGGTCACACAACCTCTCCCTGCAGCAGGGCCATCAGCGCCCCACCCTCCGTCACCGGTGACTCCACCTCAAGGCTGTCTCTGGCCTGCCGAGCCCATCTGTGTGCAGGCCAAAAGTGTCAGGAACTGGCATCCCAGGCACCACCCTCAGCCACAGATGGATGGGAAGAGGAGGATACCTACCCTAGCCTCTTTCTCCTCGGGCAGGACAGCTCTGGGATGTGACCTACCCCATCTTGCAGAGGCCCCCGTGGTGATGAGCTCCAGGTGCCACCTGCTGATACACACCCTGCCTCACCTGGCACCTCCGTGCCTGCTTCCTGGGGTTGCCTCCCAAATAAGCTACTGCTAAAATCCCTGTTTTCATGTTACTTCCTGGAGGAATCCAATCTCAGACAGTCCCTAACTTTGAGAAACCTGCCATGTTGGCCAGGCTGCTCTCAAACTCCTGGCCTCAAGTGAGCTGCCCGCCTCGGCCTCCCAAAGTGCTGGATTACAGGCGGGAGCCACCATTCCCGGCCTGGAGCAATTATTTTTGCTCAGCCTATCATCTGAGCTATAGCAAGAAGGGGATCCAGGAGAACCATAGTGAGAGGAGGCTCTCTCGTTCACCAGGTCTGAGCCTCCCCAGAATGAAGGAACCAGCCAAGCACAAGGCACGATCAAAAGCCACAAACATGTCCACTGCGGAGATGAGCATCAGGCACAAGCCCCTCCTCACTCTCACCCAGCCCACACATGTGCACCTACACACACCAGCACCCACGTTCGCTGGAGACCCAGGGTGTTCTGCCCCCTTGCTACTCGAAGCGTTGCCCCGCATTAACAGACGCTCTGTATGCACATTATATTTTGAAATGTGCTGTGTAAAGGCTGCAAAGCCACACCTGCAGCAGTTTCAAGAACCTCCACACATCCATCGTGAAAACATTCAGTTAGCACCTGGCCCTCAAAAGTGCTCCATAAACAATTTGAGATCCAGGGCTGCCATGTAAGGTTGTGCAGGTTGCTCACTGCACAAAGGCATTCCCCACACATCACACCTGAGTAGATGAATGGGATCCCCCATTCCATTCTCCAATCCACATGCCCTGGCTCAGGGCTGTGTCTGACCAGGGGAGGGATGGACACCTTTGCCAACCCAGGCCTGCAAGTCTGAACTCACCCAGAGGGGGGCACCGTTTTCTAATCAGAGTGAAGACCAGCAGTGTGGACTAGTGGGGGGTCTCAACTGTATGTGGCTGCTCTCACCTGAGTTCTCATAATGGCCTTGATGGCTGCTTCAAACTCCTCTGAGTTGTTGTAGTCGACTGTCCACACGTGGGGCTTGCCGATGAAGTTCTCCGCGTAGGGATGCTGGGAGAACACCTGGCAAGGGTACAGAGATTGCAGATGCCCCCCGTGCCTGCCAGTGGGACAGGGACAAAGAAAGGTACCCCATACACTTGTCCTATCTCCTTTTGCCCCACATCTCAGTCTGCCTCTTCCAGGACCTGCAGGGGTCTCTGTCCCGGCCCCTCCTGATCGGGGACCAGGATGCTTTCCACTCACCTCTCTGGAGGTGGGCTTGCCTCGGAAGAACTCGTGGTTGAGGGAGCTGTGGGGCGGGCTGAAGCGGGACTGCAGGAAGATGCAACCATTGGCGATGGCCTCCAGGGGGGCGGGGCCCTCGTAGGGGAAGCCAAACCCGATGAAGAGCTGCAGAGTCAAGGGGCGCAGTGATCAGGGAGGGCTGGGCCGCCACAGCCCAGTAAGCACCAGGATGCCGGGGACAAGGTGAGGCTTCGGGATATTCACAGGAGGCAGCTGGGCCTGGAGCGATTATTTTTGCTCAGCCTGTTATGTGAGCTATAACAGGGCTGGAAAAGCCAGCCCAGAACATCTTGTGCCACGGGCAAGCACTTCCCCTCTCTGGGCCTCAGTTTCCCCATTTGTGAAATAAGGGGGTCTAATTAGGTATTATCAATGGTCTCTTCTTGCTCTATCAGGCTATGATTTATGATTGTGGAGGGAGGAAGAAAAGAACAAGGGTTTCAGGCCAAGAAAGCTGCAGGCCCGCACCTGCAAGAGACCTCCAGGAACCTCACTCACTCATCCCAAAAACATTTATTCAGCATCTAACTTGTGTGAGGCTATTTACAACAGCAAAGACATGGAACCAACGGAGGTGCCCATTAACGGTGGCTTGGATAAAGAAAGTATGGTACATAGACACCATAAGATACTACGCAGACATAAAAAAAAACAAAATCATGTCCTTTTCAGCAATATGGATACAGCAGGAGGCCAATATCCTAAGTGAATTAAAGCTGGAACAGAAACCAAATACCGCATATTCTCACTTATAAGTGGGAGCTGAACATTGGGTACTTATGGGCATAAAGATGGCAACAACAGACACCTGGGGACTCCCAGAGTGGGGAGGAGGAAGGGGGTAAAGACGGAAGAATTAACTACTGGGTACTATCCTCACTACCTGGGTGACAAGATCCTTCATATCACAAACCTCAGCATTATGCAATATACCCAGGTACCAAGCCTGCATATGTACCCCTTAAACCTAAAATAAAAGTTGAAAAAAAATTTTGAGACGGAGTCTTGCTCTGTCACCAGGCTGGAGTGCGGTGGCACCATCTCATCTCACTGCAACCTCTGCCTCCCGGGTTCAAGCAATTCCCCTGTCTCACCCTCCTGAGTAGCCAGGACTACAGGCGCCCGCCACCACACCCAGCTGATTTTTTGTTTGTTTGTTTGTTTGTATTTTAGTAGAGACAGGGTTTCACCATGTTGGCCAGGATGGTCTCGATATCCTAACCTCGTGATCCGCCCACCTCGGCCTCCCAAAGTGTTGGGATTACAGGTGTGAGCCACCGCACCTGGCCAAAATTATTATTTTTTAAGTAACTTGTGCTAGGAGTGCACAGGGCTGGCCTCAAAGGCACTTAATAAATGATTCTGAATCCAGGGCTGTTCTGTGAGGTTGTTCAGGTTATTCACTGCATGCAAGCATCTCCACTGCCCCCAACACACACACACACACACACACACACACACACACACACACACACACCCCCAAGATGCCTTGGGAAACAAGCTATGGTGAGATCAAGAGAGGGCCTGGGGCCAGGTGCAGTGGCTCACATCTGTAATCCCAGCACTTTGAGAGGCCGAGGTGGTAGGATCGCTTAAGCCCAGGAGATTGACACCAGCCTGGGCAATGTAGGAAGACACCATCTCTACAAAAAATTTAAAAATTAGCCAGGTGTGGTGGTGTATGCCAATAGTCCCAGCTACTCGGGAGGTGGAGGTGAGGGGACTGTGTGAGCCTAGGAATATAAGGTTGCAGTGGGCCCTGATTGCACCACTGCACTCCAGCGTGGGTGACAGAGCAAGACCCTGTCTCATAAAAAAGAGGGTGAGGGGGTGCCTAGAAGCTGGCTGGAGACTCTCCAGCCTCAGCTGATACTCCAGGGTCCAGTCAGGGTTTTGCCCACTGTGTCAACTGCTGCTCCAGCAGTACAGCTCAGGGACCCCTGAAGCAGTCACTCAGGACTAGTGGCTCAATGGCACTCTAGCCAGGACCCTTCTCTCCACCCACCCAACCACCCCCCAGCTCAGTGTCTCCAAAAGCTAGGCCTGACCCAGGAGTCCATTTGGCTGGACTGGTACTGCAAGGGGGAGGATGGGCAGTCCAACTCTACTTCCCCATCACTGAGCCACGGCTCTGCTGCTCTGCTGGCCCTGCCCAGGTCCCTTTCTCTATAGGACCTCTCCTGCCTGGTGGGCACCCACATCTCTGCCCCTGGGCTCTGGCCAGATGTGGGGCTCAGGGCAGCAGAGCATGCTGGGGTATGTCCATATGTGGAAGGGGCCTGAGTGGTGGTGGCAGGCATGGGTGGTGACCTCAGTGTCTGCAGCCGGCAAGTGTGAGAATGGTGCGGGGGATGGGAGCTCACTTTGGCCTTGCGCAGCAGCTGCTGAAACTCAGGCTGCGGTAAGAGGCCGTGGTTCTTCACAAAGGCTGGCACCTCGGGGGGCCGCTGGCTCTCGTAGTACACGGTGCCATGGATCTCCATGTATTTGTTCAGGATGCCCAGGAACTTCTCCTTCCCCTGGAAAAAGAAGAGGAGGAGATGGGAACCACATGCAAACCACAGAAGGCAAAGTCCATGGAGGAGATCCCTTTGGTCTGGAAGTCAGAAGATGTGGACCCAGTCTCAGGTTGGCCATTAACTGGCTGTGGGACACTGGGAAAGGCCCCGCCCCTCTCTGGCCCTGAAAACCTATGAATGGCAGAGATTGGACTAGAGCAGAGGCTTCAGGATTACTTTTAGCCATGAAACTGTTTTCTTTCCAAAGGAACCCTATGGGGACCAACATTTAAATGGATTCACGTGGTGCCACTTGGCATCTGCTGAACCCCTAATGACCTCTAAGCTCCTCTGAGGAGCTGTGGAGCTCTCTGTAGTCCATTCATCCATCTCTCTCTCTCACCCATCCCATCCATCCTATCCATCCATCTACCCACCATCCATCCATGCACCCACCATCCATCCATGCACCCACCATCCATGCATCCATCCATCCATCCATTTGTCCACCTGCCCATAACTCTATGCGTCCACCCACCCATCCATCCATTCACCCATCCATCCCTCTCAAACATCCACCCATCCACTCATCCACCCACCCATTCATCCATCCATCCCTCTCACACATCCCTCCACTCACCCATCCACCCATCGACTCATCCATCTATCCATCCATCCTCTCATTCATCCATCTTATCTGCCCATCCCTTCTTTCACTGAAGGAGGGGGACCTCTGATGGAAGCTCCATATTTGGAATTAGAACTCAGAGGAATTCCACCCTAGAGAAAAGGATGAAACAGAGCTAGACCAGTCCTTGCAGGGGCTGAATCCATTTTGTCTTAATCACCATATTGATCAAGGTGATCCGAGATTGCTAGGGCCCCCAGCTATAAGCCAAGAGTAAAAGTAAATTCTCTCTGGAGTAAAATAGAGTCATCCTTGATCTTAAATTATCTCTACAATTTTTCATATTCATTTTCCAGAACTCAAAAAAAAAAAAAAACATTGAAATCCCAATCAAACTCCCAGTACTTTTTTGTAGAAATTGATAAGCTGATTCTAAAACTCATTTGGAAATGCAAAGAACCTAGAATAGACAAAACAACTTTGAAAAAGAACACAGTTAGCAGGCTTATATTACCGATGTCAAGACTTCTTATAAAGCTACAGTAATCCAGATAGTGTGGTATTGGCATCAAGATAGACAAACAGATCAATGGAACAGAATACAGACTCCAGAAATAGACCCACACACAGTGTGGTCAACTGATTTTCGACAAAGGTGCAAAACATTTCAGTGGAGGAAGGATGGTTTCATCAGTAAATGGTCATGAAACATGATATCTACACGCAAAAACGTAAAAGAACTTTTTACTTATTATATGTAAAAGTTCATGCAAAATGGATCACAGACTTAAATGCAAAACCTAAAACTATAAAACTTATACAAAAAAACAGGAAAGAAATCTTTGTAACCTTGGGTTAGACAAAGATTTCTTAAATACAACACCAAAAGCACAATCCCTAAAAGAAAACACTGGACTTCATTAAAATTAAGAACTTTTCTCTTTGAAAGACATTGTTTTGTTTGTTTGTTTTTGGGACAGAGTCTCCCTCTGTCGCCCAGGCTGGAGTGCAGTGGTGCGATCTCGACTCACTGCAACCTCCGCCTCCCAGGTTCAAACAATTCTCCTGCCTCAGCCTCCTGAGTAGCTGGGACTACGGGCGCACGCCACCACACGTGGCTAATCTTTTGTATTTTTAGTAGAGATGGGATTTCACCTTGTTAGTCAAGCTGATCTCAATCTCCTGACCTCGGGATCCACCCCGCCATGGCCTCCCAAAGTTCTGAGATTACAGGCGTGAGCCACCGTTCCCGGCTGAAAGACACTGTTAAGAGAAAGACAAGGCCAGGCGCAGTGGCTCATGCCTGTAACCCAGCACTTTGAGAGGCTGAGGCGGGAGGATCGCTTGAGCCCAGGAGTTTGCGACCCGAATGGGCAACATAATGAGACCCCGTCTCTCTG